>NC_000004.12:5732508-6039005 GCF_000001405.40 Homo sapiens
AGAGTCATCATTTAAAATGCATTTGCCTATGAGGGAAAAAAGGTCAAAGACTTTTACACTCTGCCATGTATCTGCCCCCGTTGACCCTATGATGGTCACTTGATTTGTCTGATTCTCTCTTCCCTGAGTCAGTTTCTGCATCTGTAAAATGGGCATGAGAATGTCTCTGCTAAGGCACCGAGGAAAGGTGACACGTGATGATAGACATGAAAATGCTTGAGGTTGGGCACCATGGCTCATGCCTGTAATCCCAACATTTGGGAGGCCAAGGTGGGTGGATTGCTTGAGCTCGGGAGTTTAAGACCAGCCCAGGCAACATAGTGAGACCCCATCTCTAAAATAAAATCCAAAATCAACCGGGTATGGTGGTGCATGCCTGTAGTCCGAGCTACACGGGAGGCTGAGGTGGGAGGATTGCTTGAGCCCGGGAGGTGGAGGCTGCAGTAAGCCGTGATTGTACCACTGCACTCCAGCCTGGGAGACAGAGCAAAACCCTATTTCTAAAAAGATAAGTAAATAAATTTTTTTTTAGAAAATACTCAAAGGAGGAAACGTCATTTTTATTTCTCTCCCTTCCCTCTCTCCATTGGTTTTCTCTTGGAAGTCCCAGGCACCTATGTCTCTGACACCAACTGTTCTCTTATGGCCATTAGTGGGTTTCAAACAGCTCATTTGATCCCTTCTTATAAACCTGGAGTGAGCGTAAGGACCTCAGCATGCTGCAGAATGAGAGTTTGAGGCAGGGTGTGCTGTGGCTTGTACTGATGAGGGACGTGCCAATATTCTTACTCTTCATTTCCGATACCCTGAAAGTCTTTTCCGCTTCTCATTTTATTTTGCAGTGTAGACGTTGACCTGTGTATCTACAGCCTTCACTTAAAAGACCTGCTGCATTTGGACACGGCACTGAGGCAGGAAAAGCATATGGTAGGTGGAGATGTTCGCATTCCCTCCTTTTCATGGGGACAGGAGCTGGGAGACAAGGACTCTGTGTGCAGTGAGTCCCAGAGACCCTTGAGAGGCAGACATCAGTGGAAACAGAGCCGCTGTGAGGTGGGGGAAAGCGGCGCTGTCAGGCATGCAGCCACAAAATGGAAAAGCACTTCACGCCTGTTGGTGGGGCATGGCCTTGACTTCAACCAGAGCTGTAGGGGCCTCAGCAGAAAGATGAGTGCCTCCTCCCGGGCTACACCTCCTGCTGGAGATAGAGATAAAAGATATTTAAAAGAGAACAATATGTTTAAAGGAATGATAATAATGATAAGAATATTTATGAGCATGAATTTTCTTGAGTCTTGCTATGTACGAGGTCCCAGGAGTATTACACTTAAACCTCAGCACAACCCAGAGGGGCGGGTGTCATTATCATGTCCACTCTGCAGGTGAGAAAACTGAGGCACAGGGCAGAGGATTTACCCAAAGTTATAAAGCTGCAGGAGTGGCACTGAGATGAGAAGTTCAGTACCTTTTCATGGGGCCACGTGTTCTCTTGACTGAATGAACAAGAACTCAGAACTGTGGATGTGGGGAAAACAACATTAGTCTCTGCCAGATGCACCTGGCCTCTGATTGAATCAGCCACGGACCTGAGCTATGGGAAGCCAGAGAGAGGAGTCCCACTTTAGCCGCAGAACCCCGGTGGGTTTATTCAGGCATCAAGATGACGGGGGTTAAAAAAAAGTGTTATTTCTCCATAAGGCACATTCTCTGAATTACTGAATGAGGAATGAGACCCTACAGAGAGAAGGCAGATGAGAGAAAGAGGAGAGCTAGAAACAGGTGGACAGACACACAGATATGTCTACAGGGCACTCTTACAAACTGGAGAAGAGCAAGAACATCACGTTGGAGGCCAGGCATGGTGGCTCACGACTATAATATCAGGGTTTGGGAGGCTGAGGTGGGAGGATTGCTTAAGCCCAGGAATTTGAGACCAGCCTGGGCAACATGGCAAAACCCTATCTCTACCAAAAACAAAAACAAACAAACAAACAAACACTTAGCCTGGTGCAGTGGTGTGTGCCTATAGTCCTAGGTACTCAGGAGGCTGAGGTGAGAGGAACACTTGAGTCCAGGAGATGGAGGCTGCAGTGAACTGTGATCACACCACTGCACTCCGACCTGGGCAACACAGCGACATCCTGTCTCAAAAAACAAAAAACAAGAATAGCACACTGGGGATGTGCCTGGAAGAAGCTTGGGCTCTGTGTGAGCAGGACTGACTGGCCTCATAAACGGGTGCCAATGTTTGAAACCGTAAATATGCTAGAATTCAAGAACTAGAGCATGGCCCTTCACCCCCTCTATCCCCAGCCCCATGGAGGTCCCTGGATGGGGGCCACCAGGCAGCCTGTGTCCAGCTTTCCTCAGTGAGCTACACCTGGCCCTGGCTGTTTTCTCCAAGGCTCCATGCTTCCTGAGAGGACCAGTTGTTTCTGGGCTCAGAGCCTGTCCAGTTGGCAAGCAGAGTAGTCCTGGCTGGCCTCGCCCCACAGCCAGCGAGTGTCCACAGGGAGCAGCTTACAGTCCTGGAGGGAGCGTTCAGCATCACTCACCATCCAGCACAGGGGTGTGGCCTCTGCACACTGCCAGGCACTGTGTCAGACCCCAGGGGCAGCCTCTGCCTTTGTGGAGCCCACTCTCTGGGGCAGTGGGGAGGGCAGTAAACAGATGTCACAAAATAAACGGTGGCAGGCAGCATGGCAAAGGCCTGTGACAAAGCATCATGCGAGTGTGAAGGGGGCACCTGAGGGAATGCAGAGCTGGGGAGATGGTCAGGCTTCCCTGTGGGGAGTCTCGTGGGTGGAAACCCAGGGAAGTTCCAGGAGCACTGGATTAAGGGACAGTCCTAGACCCTAGTCCACCCTTTGACAATTAGGAGCTGTGTGACTTTGGGTAAGTTGCTTCACCTCTCTGGGCCACTTTAGGAAAGGCTTAAATAAAATATCCTTTCAGCTATTGCTATATGGAGTTACTGGGAAGTCAAGCTGCCCTGCTTTGAGAGGGTTCTGTGGGTAGAACTCTGGGCTCCATATCACAGCTGTGTGGCTGGCATGGTCACAGCAGTGATTATTCTGCACGTACACTCTGGTAGGCTCAGTGCTTTAAATGTTTTACTTTTTTGAAGCTTTACATGCCACTTCACTAACGAGGAACCTGAGGTTCAGAGAGGTTAAGTCACTTGCCCAAAGTCACACAGCTGGTGATGGCAGAATCAGACCTGGACAAGGTCTGTGTGAGTGAAAGGCCCCTGCATGCCCAGGTGTGGCCCTGCACCCTGCATGTTAAAGGTGCTCAGGAGAAATGTGTTGCATGTGTGATTGGCACCGCCCTGAAAGAGCTGCTTCCCAGCAGGGTCCTTCCTGCTCTGGGGAGCATAACTCTATCGTCGTGTGCTGGGACTGTAAGAACCTGGTGAGCCGCTGGGAGCTGTGCTGCCTGGAGACTTAAATACTCTGTTTCCCTGGTAGAGATGAGCTGGGGTTCAGAAGTTATTCAGACCACATGAGACCCTCATGCATCCCAGAAGCTTAGAACTCCCTGGCTGGCCCTGAGGAGGAAGAAACTGGCTCTGGGCTTGTCCAAGAGGCAGGAGAAGCTGGAGTGTAACCTCTATAAACAGAGTGGCCAGGATGAGAACAGATTGGGGGCATGGAGGAAGATTAAATAAAGGGGAGCACCAGCACTAGGGGGTTCTCATGGTGCTAGAATATTACTTTGATTGTGGCTGCACTTACGTGAATCTATACATGGGGTAAAATTGCATAGAACTACACACACACACACACACACACATGCACACACATAAATGTGCATAAAGATGGGTGAAAACTGAAGAAGGTCTGTAGACAGCAGTATTCAACCAGTGGCAATTTCCCAGTTTTGGTACTGCACCATGGTGACATCAGAACCACCCCTGGGGGAGGAGCACACAGCACTTTGTGCCTGCACACCTGGCGTTATTGCATTTCACTTAATTGCGCTTCAGAGATGCTGCATTTTTTTTTTTTTTTTTTTACAAATTGAAGGGTTTTGGCAACTCTGCATCCAGCAAGTCTGTTGGCTCCATTTTTCCAACAGCACATGCTCACTTCATGTCTTTGTGTGACATTTTGGTAATTCTTGCAATATTTCAAACTTATTCACTATTATTGTGTTATGGTGATCTGTGATCAGTGACCTTTGACGTTATGATTGTAATTGTTTGGGGACACCACATGCTGTGCCAGTATGAGACAACAAACTTAATTAATAAATGTTGTGTGTGTTCTGACTGCTCCACCAACTGGCCATTCCCTCTCCTTGGGCCTCCCTATTTCTTGAGACACAGTAATATTGAAATTAAGCCAGTTAGTAACGCTGCAATGGCCTTTAGGTGTTTGAGTGAAAGAGAGTCGCGTGTCTCTCACTTTTAAGTCAAAAGCTAGAAATTATGAAGCATAGTGAGGAAGGCAGGTCTAAAGCTGAGATAGGCTGAAAGCTGGGCTTCTTATACCACACAGCCAAGTTGTGAATGCAAAGAAAAAGTTCTTGAAGGAAATTAAAAGTGCTACGCCAGTGAACACACGAATGATCAGAAAGCAAAACAACCTTATTGCTGATATGGAGAAAGTCTGAGTGGTCTGCATAGAAGATCAAACCAGACACAACATCCCCTTAAGCCAAAGCCTAATCCAGAGCAATACTCTAACTCTCTTCAATTCTGTGAGTGCTGAGAGAGGTGAGGAAGCTGCAGAAGAAAAATTTGAAGCTAGCAGAGCATGAGGTTTAAAGAAAGAAGCTGTCTCCAGAACAAACAAAAGTGCAAGGTGAAGCAGCAGCAAGTGCTGATGGAGAAGCTTCAGCAAGTTACCCAGAAGATCTAGCTAAGACCATTGAGCAAGGTGGCTGCACTAAACAACAGATTTTCAATGCAGATGAAATAGCACAATATGGTCATGGAAGAAGATGCCATCTAAGACTTCATAGCTAAAGAGGAGAAGTCAATACCTGGCTTCAAAGCTTCAAAGAACAGGCTGACTCTCTCGCTAGGGGCTAATGCGGGAGATGACTTTAAGTTGAAGCCAGTGCTCATGCACCACTCCGAAAGTCCTAGGGCCCTTAAGGGTGATGCTAAATCTACTCTGCCTGTGCTCTATAAGTGGAACAACAAAGCCTGGATCACAACACAGCTGTTTATAGCATAGTTTAAGCCCACTATTGACACCTACTGCCCAGAAAATAAACTTCTTTTCAAAATGTTACTGGTCATTTTCAAAACCCCTGGTCACCCGAGAGCTCTGATGAAGATGTACAAGGAAGTTAATGTCATTTTCATGCCTGCTAACACAACATTCATTCTGAGCCTATTGATTAAAGAGTAATTTCAACTTTCAAGTCTTATTATTTAAGAAATACATTTCCTAAGGCTCTAACTGCCATACATAGTGATTCCTCTGAAGGATTTGAACAATGTAAATTGAAAACCTTCTGGAAAGGATTCACCATTCTAGATGCCATTGAGAATATTCATGATTCATAGGAGGAGGTCAAAATATCAACATTAACAAGAGTTTGGAAGAGGTTGATTTCAATCCTCATGAATGACTTTGAGGGGATTCAGAACTTCAGTGGAGGAAGTCATTGGAAATGTGGAAATAGCAAGAAAACTAGGATTAGAATTGGAGCCTGAAGATGGGACTGAGCTGCTGCAATCTCATGATGAAACATGACTGGATGAGGAGCTGCTTCTGATGGATGAGCAATGAAAGTGGTTTCTAGAGAAGGAATCTGCTTCTGGTGAAGATGCTGTGAACATTGTTGAAATGACAAAAAGGATTTAGAATACTATGTAAACTTATTTGATAAAGCAGCTGCAGGGTTTGAGAGGATTGACTCCAAGTTTTAAAGTTCTACTGTGGGCAAATTGCTATCGAATAGCATGGCACGCTGCAGAGAAATCTTTTGTGAAAGGAAGAGTCAGCTGATGTGGCCCACTTCAGAGTGGTCTTATTTTAAGAAACTGCCACAGCCACCCTAACCTTCAGCAACCACTACCCTCATAAGTCAGTAGCCATCAACATTGAGACAAGACCCTCCACCAGCTAAAAGATTACAACTTTTTTTTTTTTTTTAAGACGGAGATCTCAACTCACTGCAAACTTTGCCTCCCAGATTCAAGTGATTCTCCCGCCTCAGCCTCCCGAGCAGCTGGGACCACAGGCGCGCACCACCTCGCCCAGACAATTTTTGCATTTTTAGTAGAGACGGGGTTTCACCATGTTGGCCAGGATGGGTCTCAATCTCTTGACCTTGTGATCCACCTGCCTCCGCCTCCCAAAGTGCTGGGATTACGGGTGTGAGCCACCGCACCCAGCCCAACAACTTTTTTTTAATAATCATCTTAGGCTCAGATGATCATTAGCATTTTTTAGGAAGAAGTTATTTTTAAAATTAAGGTATGTACTTTTTTAGACATACTGCTATTGTACACTTAGACTACAGTATAGTGTAAACATAGCTTTTATATGCACTAGAAAACCAAAAAATGTGTGCGGCTTGCTTTATTGTGATATTCACCTTACTGAGGTGGCCTGAAATCAACCCTACAATACCTCCATGGTATGCTTGTATTATTTTTGTACCTTCATTTGAATCTATAACTATCTCAAAGTTGGCACTATGGAAAGGGAGAGGATGAGGGCTGTAAACATTACTGATTTATTTGGGGTCAGGAAGAAAGTAGACTCGAAACTAACATCTTGCAAAAATAATGTTATTATATCTTATACCATATCAGTCTTCAGTGAGTAGAAAGCCAGGACACCACTTTCTCCTTAGAGCTCATTGTCATTGGCAAATATAATGAAGGTTGGTGGGCAGAATTCTGGGTTCAAATCTCAGCTCTGTCGCATGTGGCTGTGTGGCAGGAGGCAAGTGGCCCCTGCAAGTTGCTGGGCATTTTCTCATCTGTAAAATGCGGAAGATGGTACCAACCTCCCCGCATGCCATGGAGATCAAGTGATAGTATGTATAATACATACATTAGGCTGGCCCAGAAGAGTGATTAACAAGCCTTAATCCATTAAAAGAAGGATCAAAAACTGTGGCCCTTGAGCCAAATCTGGCCATGTCCTTCTTTTCCATATTGCCTGTATGCCTGTGTGGCATATGCCACAACCGCAGAACTGAGTAGTTGCAAAAGAGATCATATGGCCTGCAAAGCCAAAAAAAATTTGCTGTTTCACCCTTTACTGAAAAAGTTTGCTAACCCCTGCATTTAAAAATGCCTTACCAGGCGGGATGCAGTGACTCATGCCTATAATCCCAGCACTTTGGGAGGTGGAGGCAGGCAGGTTGCATGAGTTCAGGAGTTCGAGACCAGCCTGGGCAACACAGAGAAACCCCATCTCAAAAAAAAAAAAAAAAGCCTTACCGGTTCACCAAAGAAAAAGAAAATGCCTTATTATATCTAAATGACCATATTATATCTAAATGACCTTTGACAAAGAGGCAAAAGCACTTCAATGGAGGAATGATAAGCTTTTCAATAAATGGTACTGGAGCAATTGGACATCCATAAACAATAACAACGACAAAAGAACCTCAACCTAAACTTCACACCTTATACAAAAATTAATTCAAAAGGGATCACATACTTAAATGTAAACAGTAAACTATAAATCTTTTAGAAAAAATATTGCCAGGCATGGTTGGCTCACGCCTATAATCCCAGCACTTTGGGAGGCTGAGGTGGGTGGATCACTTGAGGTCAGGAATTCAAGACCAGCCTGGCCAACATGGTGAAACCTCGTCTCTACTAAAAATACAAAAATTAGCCGGGTGTGGTGGCACATGCTTGTAATCCCACCTACTTGGGAGGCTGAGGTGGGAGAATCGCTTGAACCCGGGAGGTGAAGGTTGCAGTGAGCCAAGATTGCACCACTGCACTCTAGCCTGGACGACAGACTGATACTCCATCTCAAAAAAAAAAAAAAAAAGAAAAAGAAAAAATATAAGAGAAATTCTCCAGGATTTAGACCTAGGCAAAGAGTTTTTAGACTTGACACCAAAAGCATGACACACAGAAGGAAAAATTAACTGGAATTCATCAAAATTAAAAACTTTTGCTTTGCAAAAGACCTCTTTAAGAAGATGAGAAGACAAGCTACAGAGTGAGAGAAAATGTTTGCAAAACAGATGTCCACCAAAGGACTAGTACCTAGACCAGATAAGGAAATTTCCAAACTCAGCTGAAGACAGGAAGCAATCCAGTTAGAAAATGGGAAGGACATGAACAGATATTTCACCAAAAAGGATATATAGATGGTAAGTAAACACGTAAAAAGGTGTTCAATGTCATTAAGCCAGCATGAAAATCCAAGTTGAACTCACAATAAGATATCACCACACACTTGTCAAAATGGCTAAAATAAAAAATAGTGACACCACCAAATTCTGGCAAAGATGTGGAGAAACTGGATCACTCATACATTGCTGATGGAAATATAAAATGGTACCTACGGCCATACTGGAAAACGTTTTGGCAATTTCTTATCAAACTTAACTTGCAGTTACCAGAAGACCCAGCAATTGCATTTGTGGGCATTTATCTCAGAGAAATGAGGACTTACGTTCACACAAATGTTCACAGCAGCATTGTTCATAATAGCCCCAAACTGGAAATAATCCAGATGTCTTACAGGGGTGAATAGATCAACAAATTGCAGATACAGCCCCCTCTGTACTTCCTGGGTATCCCCACTTATGGGAGGGTTCTTCCTAGTTTAAAGGACATCTCCATCCATTGAAACAGGAGACTGACATGGATAACTTTTCATTTCCAGTTCCATACAACTATCCCGCTGATTCTTTCTTCAAAGAAGCAAACCCTCCTTTGCTTTTTATATTTTCTTCACACATGGAAATGGGGGATGTGGAGGGCCTTGCACAGAGTAAGCACTCAATATTTGTTGAATACATGCATGAGGAAGAAAGGAAGCTTTTTAAGGAAGCTTCATGAAAATGTAATGCATTATGGGCCATTGTCATGATTTATAATCGGAGTTCCTTTCCTTCAGCAAAAAATATACGTGAAGAGAGGGTGAAAGAGAAGAAAAGAAGGAGAGAGGCAGTGGGGGAGGGAGGGAGAAGAGAAAACAGAAAGCAAAAGACAAAAATACCATTGATTAAACTTTTCTTTTGTTATCTTTCCTTTCTTGGCAATAGATGTTTATTCAGATTTTTAAAATGTGCCTCCTTGACCTTCTTCCTAAAAAGAAGTCAGATGATGAACTATACCAGAAGATCCTTTCAAAACAAGAAAAAGTAAGTCTTCAACCTATGTTTCAAGGTAACTTAAAAATAGTTTATTATAATATATACAACTTATGATGCAAAAATTTTTTTCTTTCATGTATAAAATAGCTTATTACAATATATACTTTTCAACACAGTATAGTGAAATATAAAAGTATGTATACAAATATTTAAAAAGTGTATTATTAAAATTTGGAATACTATTTATAGCAAAGAGAATAATATTGGTCATATCTACTACTCAAAGACGGTCACTGTTAATGTTTTTTTCTGCACACATTTGGGATATTTTTAAAGACATAATTTGTTTATTGGTTATAGCTATGTATACTACTTTGTATTCTATTCTCAGTCTTTTATGGAAAGTTTATTTTGTCTCAGGCGCAGCAAAGAGTCAGGGCTTGGAGTCAGACTGGTTGAGGTTGGTATCCTGGCTTTATCTTTTACAAGCTCTCAGAATCGTAGTTTCCTTTTTGTATAGTGAGATAATTCCTGTTCTGCGAGAGTGCAGAAAGGATAAGAGAGATGTGTATGATACACCTAGCAATGTCATAGTTGGCTGTGAATATGTGATGGCTGCTGTCATCCTCATTATCACAACCACCACCAAAATCATCATCATCTTCATTATCACCACCAGTTTTATTTTGTATCACCATCACCACCACTATTACTATCACAGTTCTCTTCTTCATCATGTCATTGTTGTCATCACCATAAACACCATCATCTTTGCTATTGTCACCACTGACATCATCATTCTTTGTCTTTACCACCATCATCATCATCCTCATGACCGCTGTCATCACCAACACCATCACCATCCTCATGTCCTCATTACCATCATCATGAGCATCATTTTTATCATTGTTGTAATTATTGGCATTCTCATTACTACCATCACCGCCATCATCATCTTCATTACCACCATAATCATCATCACCATCCTTATTGCCATCACCACCACCAATGTTGCAGGGCAGGCAAGCTCCAGAATAGGGTTTAGCCTGGGAGGGTACTTGGCTTCACCTAGGAAGGAATTCAAGGGAGAGCCAGTGGTGTTAGACAGTAGTGTTTTAGTGAATGGTGCCACTCCTTGCGGAGCAGGGCTAACCCGTAGGCAGTGTGCCCAGAGTTGGTAACATATGGATGCTTGGCAACTGTATTTATACTCATGTAAACCCACTTTCAATTACATGCAAATGAAAGGGCAGTTCATTGCAAATTGAGGGACAGGTTATTTAGAACTTTCTAAAAAGGGGACAGTAACTTCTGGGTTGTTGCCATGGAAAAGGGTGGTAACTTTTGGGTTGTTGACATGGCATTTGTAATCTGTGGTTGTGCTGGTGGGAGTGTCTTATGCTAATGAGCAATGAGGGCAGCAAGGGATCACTTTCATCACCATCCACTGGTTCCTGCCGGTTTCTTCACTTTATCCTGTCTGGACCAGATCCCATTTTGATCAGCAGGGTTGTGATCAGAAAACAAGTCCTGCCAGTCTCCTACCTCACCTTATCCTCACCATCATTGTCATCATTATTCTCGTTACTACTATCACCAGCCTCTTATTCATCATCCCCTGCCATCATTTTCATTATCATCATCATTGTTATTGTCATCATTTTCATTACTGCCATCGTCATCGCATCATTGTTGTGATAGTCTTCATCAGCACCACCATCATCACCATCTTCATCAGCACCACCATCACCACCTTTATCATCTTTCCTGCTACCTCTACCTTCACCTTCATTAGAGTCCTCATTGTCATCGTCATCGTCCTTGTTCCTACCACTGTGAGATCTGGGGGTTTGGGAAGGAATGTTTCTTCTTTACTCCACTGGATTCCATGAGGAAGGATGACTCACTGCATCCCAGGAAGGAGGAAGGACATCATCATCTTCACTGTCATCCTCAGTATCACCACCATGGTCATGGTCCTCAGGCAGTGCACGTCGTGCTTGACATACATTATTTCATTTAATAGTTATGACAGCCCTGTGAGTGGCCATTGTTATTTTTGTTTTACAGCTGAAGAAACTGAGACTCCATAAGTTCAAATGACTTTCCAATGGCAAAAATGATAATGATGATGATGACATTTATAATGGTATTAGTAATAATGAAACAATACTGTCTGTTATAATAGAAAGAATAAGAGCCTTGGAGTCTGCAGACCTCAGATCAAATTCCATCTCTACGAGTTAAACAAGGCTGTCTGAACTTAAGCAAGCATGTTAATTATAATAGTGGCTACTATTTGTTGAGATAGGCTAGCCAAGTGATTTAAATGCATAATTTCATTTAACACTTGGAATGACCTTAAAACTTTCAGAAGAGGACAAGGAGTGCCCAGAATTTGGAAGAGTAAGGACAAGCCTGGCACTGCCCCTTCCTGCCTGGGCATCTTTGGACAAACTATCTTACCTTCCATAAACCAGCTTTCTCACCTGGAAATGGGTCATAATTTCTCTTTCACAGAGATGCCGTGAGGATTAGAAATCACATATGGCCTCAGCTTGGGTCTTCAATAGTAGTTTATATCAATGTTATTTTTCCTAGTGAACCTTGACCCATGCCACACTGTTGGCTATGTGACAATGAATATAGAGAAAATAGAACTGCCTCCCACACACTATCTTGGGGTTTGTGAGTCTATACTTAGGACTCACCTTTTCCTTCCTGAGTTCAGAATCATTTGAGAGAGTCAGGAGGACAGATATAGAAATGTAGCTTTGTTACTGATTAGAGGCCAGCTTGGACGATGTGGCTTACATGCACAGCTATCATGGCTTCCTAATACTGAATCCCAGAATTCACTCAATTGCCTAGCTAGTCACGGGCAATGCTGGGCCACCTCAGGCTTCCCCACACAGAAACAGGGCCTTGGCTACCCAGCTCACTCTAGGCTGATATCACACCAGAGCAATGGCCTCCCCTGATTGGCCCATCACAAACAGGAAGAGGCTGGGCAAGTTTCTGGCCTTTAAACCAACCAATCAAATACACACCACTTCCTGCCCTGGGGTGTTGTTCTTTCCCAGGAAAACCAGAAGAGGAGCAAAGAAACATTCCTTCCCAACCCACTGGATGTCATGATATTTTCCAGGACTTCATAATGATTGAAAGATACTATTTTATTGATTTTTAAAGTATGGTCTAGTTTTTTTTTTTTTTTTGAGGGAGGATATAGAGGAAAATAATCCATTATTCTTGAGGCTCTATGTTTAATGAGAAAATGGGTCAAACCTCATGTACAACAACCCCCAGAGCATTTAACTATTGTTTAAAAATATTTTGTGAAATTTGAAAAATAAAAGCATTTATTTTTCTAGAATTTAAGACACGCTAAACTTTTTCTTTGTTTATTTGCTTTCTTTTTTCTTCTTCTTCTTCAGGATTTGGAGGAACTAGAAAAGGGACTTCAGGTCAAACTGTCAAACACAGAAATGTCGGGGGCTGGTGACTCTGAGTACATCACCCTGGCTGATGTGGAAAAGAAGGAGAGAGAATACTCTGAACAGCTAATCGATAATGTGCGTGCCAGACTTTCTTTCCTGTACACAAATTTTGGTTCCTAAAACAGTTAAATTGGCTACATTAGAGAGATGATAGTTAGAAGTGTGCCTAATACTTGAATTCCCCTATCGCATTCTGCCCTAGAGGCAGGATCCAGTTTCTGATGCTAAGTGATAGGGAAGAAGTAATTAAGCAGCAAAGATTCACAAAGGGAGGTTTATTTTTTATATCATGAATTATCCTCATTTAAATTTCAGATTGGTCTTTTTATCATTCAAAGCAAAGGTTGCTATAACCCTTGATGTCATCACTGCCCTTTGGAATAGAGTAGAAGAAAGCTGCTAGGCATCACTCGTGAAAGCAAGTTTTAAATTCCAGACAGAATGGCTTCTCTGAAACATCGTTTTTCTTTTCTTTTGGGTTCCACCACCCCCTGTTCATATATTATGTATTAAACAAACATGTCCTTGGCACTTGCTCTTCACCAGGGATTGTGCTGGGCACTGGGGACTCAAAAATCATTTAGACATGGCCCTGCCTGAGAGAGGCCAGGAGAGACAAACAGGTGAACAGATGAGGGCTTCACAGAGTGACACATCTTGTGATAGAAGGAAGCACAGGAGAAGGCCCGAGGCAGGCACAGTGGAGGGAAGAGTTCATTTTACCCCAGGCTTAGGAAAGCCTCCGTAGAAGAAGGGACCATGGAGAGGCTGGCCGGGAGAAGTGTGGGTGCTGGCCAGTGGTGGGGCAGAGATGGGAGCTAAAGAGGGCTGAGAGCAAGTCGAGGTAAGGTAAAGCCAGAGGGATCTGGCCAGAGGGCTTGTTTGTGTCTTAAGCCAGCGAGATGGGAGTGTCTATTGCCAGCGAGGTGGGAGTCACTGAAGCTTTGAAGCAGGGGGTGGCTGGCTTCAGCTTCTGCTTTAGAAGGGCTGCCCAGGCACTGAGTGGAGGGTGGTGAAGAGCTACTGGGCTAATCCAGCAGGAACTTTATTAAGGCAACTGCAGTAGGATGGAGAGGTGAGGAAACGTGTGAGAGAAGCTGTGGTGGTCTACCATGGGGCGGCAGGTGGGGAGGAGGAGGGGGTCCAGGGTCAGTGCTGCTGAAATAAGCGCCCCAGAGCAAGATGCTCATGGGAGGGAGGGAGCCAATGCTCCTGTCCTCTGAATAGGTCCAATATTGAGAGGAGAGGCTTGGAGATGGAGGGTCTCCATGAGAGCCCAGGTTAGAGGACTTTGAGGGCCAGAATGTTCTTAGAACTGTGGGCCAGGATGCTAAGGAAGAGGGCCAGCCTGGATTCCGGTGGTCCACAGAACCCCCAACGCTGTGTGCAGTATCTTGTCCATGTCTGCCTTTCTCAGGGACAGGGTTCAGAATTTTCATAAGATTCTCCAAAGTATTGGTGACCTCCAAAAATGGTGACCTCTGGCCTAGAAATGGTGTGTAAAATGGGAAGAGAAAAGAGCTTTGGTGCCAAATCCTGGATCCTGCCCATATTTAAGGAGGAGCGGATGAGAAGAATTGGGACAAGAAAGCAGAGGAGGAATTGGATGGGCTTTGCAGAAGCAGGAGAAAATCATGTCATGGACGCCAAGAGAATCAGGAGTTTGTAAGCAGAGCGGGCTGTGTAGAGTTGGCAGGTGACAGTCTGCAGTCACGTGGCAGGTGGAAGGCAGGTCATCTGATGGCTCCAAGGGGAAGAGCAGGGTGAGAGCCTGAGGGTGTCAGGCAGGTTTGAGGTCCCTCCTGGCAGGGATGAGAGGAGGAGCAGCATGTATGGGGTTTACTGGGAGGCAATGGGGCCCTGAGATGGGGAGCCGCATTGATGAGGGGTGTTCATCTGGGTGCAGGCTTCCTCCTGGCAGAGCCAGACCGACACCGCAGTTGAGGCTGACAGAGTTTCATGATCTTGAGTCACAGCAACAAAATCATGGGTTTCTGGTGACACTAACCCCTGCCCCCTCCCATGCCCAGTCCAGCCAGAAGTGTCCATTTCAGCCTCTCAGAGGCTGAGCCAAGATGGAGGCAACCTCAGCCGTGGAGTTAAATGGACCTGAACCAAATCCGGGCTTTCACTGGGTCCATGACCTCTGACAAGTGACCTAACTCCCCCGAGCCTGTTCCTACACCTCTAGATACATACTTTATCATGATATCAAATGTGTGAAGCACAGAGCCTGGCGAACAGCCTGTGGGCCATGAGGGAAAGTTGCTCCGATTCCTAGTGTCATTGTCCTTAGAGCTCTGACTGGCTGTGATGACTCAATTAAACCTCCTGCATTCTAAGCCACTTGGGAATTCCCAGCTCTGCTCCTGATAAAATGAGGGGGAGGGAAGATTTTAAAGCAAAATGTTTTCATGGTCAGCATCCTCTCTGCCATATTAAGCTTTTGTACTTTTAGGACAATAACTAATATTTAAACATCTGTTTATGCTTTTACTTCCAGGAAGTATTTAATCCCATTTAAAATTGCCAAAGCTTCCATGAGCACATTGTCACATTTCATCGGCCCCTAGGTAGCTGTAATGACCTGTGCAAGAGTCTGTAGGCTGGACAAGCTACTGCTTTCTTTCCTTAGCAGCAGTGCTCTCGTGTCTGCTGAAACACCATTGCAAAACTGACTGACACTGGAACCAGACAATGGAACCAGAAAGAACTTCACTGTAGAACGTGATTGTTGCCAAGATAAACTCACTGAAACTGTAGAATTGTTTAGAATCTTTGTTTGTGATAGGGAGTGAATTGTAATTCCCGAGCACGCACCGTTTGGCTTTCTTAAGTAAGTTTTTCACCTCACTTCTTGCTGCTTGTGCTCATTTCACAGATGGAAGCTTTCTGGAAACAGATGGCAAATATCCAGCACTTTCTTGTGGACCAGTTTAAGTGTTCCAGCTCCAAAGCCCGACAGCTGATGATGACTCTGACGGAAAGAATGATTGCAGCCGAAGGGCTATTGTGCGATTCTCAGGAGCTGCAGGCTCTGGTAATGCTGGAGGGGGCGGGAGGGAACATAAAGATATTCAGACTAGAGATATGGAATCCTGAGGCTTGACATCCTTAAATCTAACAGATTCATGTTGTAGCTGGTTATATAGAGCCTCAGGGAAAAAAAAACCAACAACAACAGTAAATTCATTCATCCATTTATTTATTTATCCATCCATCCACCCATCCATCCACCCATTGACCCTTCCATCCATCCATCCATCTACCCATCCATCCATCTGCCCTCCCACCCATTTATCCATCCATCCATCCACCCATCCATCCATCCATCCACCCATCCATCCACCCACCCATCCATCCATCTGCCCTCCCACCCATTTATCCATCCATCCATCCCTCCATCCATCCATCCACCCACCCATCCATCCACCCGTCCACCCATCCACCCACCCACCCATCCACCCATCAATCCACCCATCCATCCATTTACTCATCCATCCATCCATCCACCCATCCATCCATCCATCCATCCATCCGTCTATCCAATGAGTGAAGGCTCTGGCCAGCTCAGTATTACTGGAGCATAGAACACTGGTCCTAAACCTGAAATTACACATTGAAATTATCTGGGAGCTTTAAAAAGTACTGATTCTTGGGCCCCAGATGGGTCTCCATCCCAGAGTTTCTGACTTAATCAGATTGGGGTGCAACCTGGCTGGGCATTGGGGTTTTTAGAGCTCCCCAATGACGATGGTGGGAGCTGGGGTTGACGCCCACTGGTGTAGACAGAGCATTGATTGACTTTCCTGATTGCCCTGTTTTGCCTGCAGAGTTCTTTAACAATGCCTTTTCCTGGCCTTCACTCTGAGGTTCTAATATGATTGGTCTGGAGTGGAGGCCCTGGCATTGTGGGTTTTAAAACTCCCTGAACTATTCTGACGGGAGGCCAGGGATACAAACCCCTGGTGCATGGGTGTCCAACCTTTTGGCTTCCCTGGGCCACATTGGAAGAAGAAGAATTGTCTTAGGCCACACATAAAATACATTAACACTAACGATAGCTGATGAGCGGAAAAAAAAAAAAAAAAAAAGGTCCCTCCTTATTTTTGTGAAGCCTGCCAACCACAGATAAGCAAAAAAGTCCTCACATTCAAAGGGTTGGACACCCGTGGGAGAGAAATCTGCGAATCCAGCTTTGACTCTGGGCTCTGTTGTTTGGAGCTGTGTGATCTTGAACACATTACTTAACCTCTCTGCGCGTCTGTTCCTCTATTTATAAAATAATAGTGCTAAGAGTTGCCACAGACAGGGCCTGGCTAGATGCTGAGTGACTCCTAACACCCCAGTCACCATTGGGTTCCTCTTGGTACACATTGGGCTCATCCTGTGTGCGCCAGTGTGTACTAGGGCCAGGGAACGAGCCCTCTGATGCTGCCCTGCACCCATTTCCCCGTCCTGTGCACCAGCCCGTGTGGCAGCTCGGCTCAGAACCCTGCAGTGGCCACCCTGCCCTCAGCACAGACTCAGCTCCTCAGACCCGTGGGAAAGCCAAGCCTCAACGGATCTTTGCCTCCCCTTGCACACCACATGCCTCTCCCAATCCGCTCTGCTCCTCCAGGTGTGATCCACAGACCACAGCATCGGCAACACTGGGAGCTGGTTAGAGTGCAGAATCCTGTCCTCCACCCTTCCCAAGCAGGATCTGCACTTTAACAAGACCCCCACATCCACACAGTTGTTTGAGAACTTCATGTGCTTTTTCTCGGTATATACACACATGGCCTTTTTTTTCTGTCAACACTGCCGAAAGATAGGTATGGAAGATATTTTATTCACAGCACGCAGATAAGGAGCCCACTCAGTGATCCACCTAAGATCCCCGTCCTCTCTAATGACATCGCTGAGCCTGGGCCTGAAGCTTCCTGGTTTGCTGCCCAAGCCCCTTTGAATTGGATTTCAGTTTGATAAGGCTGCTGACTCATTAATGCTCTGCAAAGGTGAAAGACTTTTCTTCCTATATTTTTTTCTTTTGCTATCAGCAGGATATTGATGCAGAAAAAAGAAAATACATCCTTAGCTGACTCTGGCCAGAGTATCAGCCAATAACTTCCAAATAGGAAGAAGGAAAGGGATCCTCCAGTTTAACAGCATGACTGTCCTTCAGCCAATGTTTAATGAGCACCTACTGTGTAGCACATGCTGTTCATGGAAACCATATTGCAGAGGTTAGGAATGCAGGCTCAGGGAAGAAACTGGAGCTCCCACTGCAGTCTTGCCACTCGTTAGCTGTGTGATCTTGGGCAGATAATTTAACCTCTCTGTGATTTGGTTTCATTTTCTGTGAAATGGGGGCTATGATAGCACCTGCTCTCTCACAGGGTAGTTGAGGGTGTTAAAGACTTGGCAGTATGTAAAGTTTTTAGAGCAGAGCCCGGCACGTAGGAAGCATTCAGTACTTGTTAGTCATTAGAGTCCTGCAGGCCACATGTCAGCAGGAGAAATAGACAGCAAAAAATTACTGTAATGATGCATGGACAGGGCTACACAGTCTATGTTTGTATAGAAGAGGGATGGATTCACTATGCCTGCATACCGGGCACCAAAGGGAAAAAAGATGGCTTCCGTATCTCAGAACACAGAAGAGTTGGAATTCCCAGGGCGGCATCCCATCTTTCTGGCCTGGGCATTTGGAGCTGAAATGTGCATCTGTAAATATTAAAACTGGAAGAGCCCTTCAAAGGGACCCTGACGGTCATCAGATTCAGTTTCTTGAGACTCACAGGAAAAAAAACAGCTGCCAAGACAGATGGGACTGGCTGTAGATAATGGTGAAAACAGCTGACACTCAGGGAGGCTCACTGTTCCCTGGCCGTTGTTCTCAATGCTTCACGTATTTTGACTTACTTAATCCTCATGTCAAATCTGTGTGGCAAGGGTCAGGTGAGGAGCTTGTGCTCAGGTCCTGGGAGCCAAGTCTGAGCCTGGCACTGTTGACTCAGCCACACTCAGAGCACATCAGGGCCCCCTTCCCCCATTCCACATCCCTCTTCTCACGCCACTCTCTCCACTTCCATCCTCCCTCCAATATAAGCACATCGATTGCACCACCACTGCCGAATCCAGCCAGCCTGTGTTGGGTTCTCAACATGCTCTTTAGAGGTGGCCAGAGCCGCCCTTCCCGCGGCCCACCTGGCACCTCCGCTTATCCTCTTGCACCCTCTAGGGTTCACGGGCTGCTGGAATGAGCCTCGCCGTCCTTGTCCATCGCTGGGGGATGTTCTTGCCCTAGTCTTGTGTTGTGGGAACAGAGGCCAGTGCAGCTCAGCGCACAGTGTGGCCATGGCTGGTCAAGGGGACGTGGGCGACTCAGGCCTGGCCCCTGTCTTCAAGGGCTCTCAGTCCAGGCTGGGACTGCCCCTCACAATCACCTCCTCGAAGACAGGAGCCCTGGGGCAGTGGAGAACAGAGTAGGGGACCAGTGAGGGTGGGGACAAGCAGGGAAGGACCACAGAACCCATGAGGACATAGAAGGACCTGGCTGGGCAGGGGAGTGAGAGGAGGCAGTGAGGGTGTTCCAGGAGGAAGGCCCCGCATGTGCAGAGGCTGGGCAGCCGGGACCAGGCAGGTGTGCAGGACAGGGCCCCACAGAACTTCCTGCACCATGCCTGGGGTGCTGGACTTGATCTCAGGGCAGCAACAGGAGGGTTTGGGGCCATGGCTGACAGAACCATCAGCATCTCTGAAAGGTCCGCTGTTCTGTGAGGTGGGGTTAGAGCATGGGGCAGAGATGGGAGGCTGGGGAGCAGGACTGGCCTGTGGCCTCGGCCCAGCACAGAGGTGCCTAGGCCTGAGCTGGGCGTGGCTGGGAGTGGGGGGTGCAGAGTCTGTGCCGAGGGAGATGCCAACGTCCGCCGTCCGCTCCTCCTTTCCCCCTTACTCTCATTCCACAAGCAGCTGCTCTCAGGTGTGCAGGGCCCTTGGCTGCCTCCGGTTGACATTTCCCCCTGTCTTTTCTGAGAGTCCCTGAAATGATGAGGTGGGGCTGGGGAGGGCCTTCTGTAGAATCTGACTGCGGGGAGTCGTGTTGGAAGCCAATCATTCCCCTGAAAATCTCGGCCGTCCTCAGCAGTCAGGCTCTCTGGGGCTCTAACAAAAGCCAGGAACTGCTGGCACTTTGCATTTCCTCCACAGCCCTGTGGGGGCCACAGGGCCAGATTGGCCGGGGGAGATGACTATAAGCCAGGTGGCTTTTCCTCCTTGACCGTTTGTAAATCTGGATTCCCTCCTAGGAGGGTGGCCCTCTGGGGAGCGCTACTGGTGACTAAGTGCCTACATGCTAAGCTGCGTCAGCCTCCCCGCACCCTAGGAGAGACACTTAATCCCCACCTCGGGGGCAGACGCAGATCTCGCTCATGAAGGAGAGGGGGAGTTCATCCCTCTGAGCTCCGCTCTCCCAGGCAGTGCCATTAGTTAATGACCCTGGTGGCTTCTTCTCAGCTGTTAATTAACATGCCCTGGTGGTTCCCAGGACACCCCAGCTATGGTCCTGTGTGTTTCTTTTTGCAGGACGCCCTGGAGAGGACGATGGGGCGGGCGCACATGGCAAAAGTGATTGAGTTTCTGAAGCTGCAAGTCCAGGAGGAGACCAGGTGCCGGCTGGCTGCCATCTCCCACGGCCTGGAGCTGCTGGCTGGTGAGGGGAAGCTGTCCGGGCGGCAGAAGGAGGAGCTGCTCACGCAGCAGCACAAGGCCTTCTGGCAGGAGGCAGAGCGCTTCAGCCGGGGTGAGCCGTGGGCATGGGTGCCGCCGTCCACAACACTGGCCTTCTGGGTCCCTGGGGCTGTGCAGTGAGAGGGCTGGCAGCCTGGGGCAGTGTGCCCATGATGCCGGGCACAGGCTGCCTTTCTGCTTCTGCCCTAGGGACTGGGTCACTGGGCTGCTCTCTGGGGCTCTCTTCCCTTCTCTGTACAGCAGAGTCCATGAGGGCCACTGCCCAGGGCAGGGGTCACCTGCTGCACTCACTCACCAGGGATTCCGGCTGATTGAGTCCCCACGTCCTGCAGCAAAGCCACCAGGAACTGCAGAGGGACAGAGGAGGGTGAAGGGTCTCACTAGAAATTTACACAAAGTGGTCCCTGTCGCCCAGCGGCAGCTCATGGTCATGCTGGAGTCATGTGGCCCTGCTCAGCGGCAGAGTGGGTGAGGGTGGGCCATGGTCCAGCATGTGGGGCAGGAAGGGGAGCCGTGCATGTGTCCCACACATGCTCCTGCCCCAAGGCTGACCCTGGGGTGGGGGTGGGGCAAGGCTCAAGACGTGGAGGCATCTGGGCTTAGCTGAGGTCACACTACTAGTGGGACCTACAGAAAAACCCAGGTGTGTCACCAGCAGGGCGGGCACCATCTCTGCAGCCGACACCAGCTTCCCCAACCTCCAGACAGGAGAAAGCATGAGGGTCCCCACTGAAATTCTGGCTCACAGAGTCACCTCCTATGCTGTGGCTTTTTTCAATCCCAGAGTTTGTCCAGCGAGGCAAAGACCTGGTCACGGCGTCTCTGGCTCACCAGGTGGAGGGAACGGCAAAACTCACGCTGGCCCAAGAGGAGGAACAGAGAAGCTTCCTGGCTGAGGCCCAGCCGACTGCTGACCCGGAAAAGTTTCTCGAGGTGACTCACATCCCCAGCCTCTGCACATGTGGGTGAGCCAGTTGTAGCTCTGTTCCCGTGACTGAGCACGGGACGCCGGAGGTATTCATCAGGCATGAGGTTATCTGCCTACTTCCCATGTGTCAGCCGAGTGACCGAATCTCAGTCCCTTAGCCCCTACATCCCTAGGGTCCTAGTGGACTGTAAGCTGGTGATAAGAGTTGTGCTGCCCTCACTGGGCTGCTGAGAAGAGGAGGGGGTAGGATCCGTAGAGAGCTTGGCAGAGTGCAGACGCATGGCAGGAGCACACAGATGGTGGCAATGGCGTGAAGGGAGCAATGTGTGGCCCAGAGGGGACAAGCATGTCCCGGAGAGTAAGGCAGGCTCACACACCCAGGGACAGGGCCCTTGTGGGTCGGCTGCAAGTCCAGGAGAAGGAAGGGAGTTCCCAGCCTTGCATGTGGGGTTGAGTGGTCAGGGCCAGGAGGTGGCCAAGGTCAGAGGTACCCTTGGTCTTGCCTGAGAAGGGGACAAGAAGACCTGAAGGAGGACAAAAAGCAAGATGTCACCCTCCAAGGAAAAGGAGTCAGCTGGCCCCAGTGCAGGCTCTAAGGACCTGGACTCGCCAGTTCTCAGAGAGACCACCGAGCTCTGGTTTCGCTCTGCTTGCTTTCACTAGTAATGGGCAGTGGGGCTGGGAGAGGACCAGCTTGTCCGTAACCGTCTTGCAGGCTGGTTAAGCATTGGGCGCTGAGGCCAGCCACACTTGGGTTTGGGTGCTGACTCTGCCACTAAATAGCTGGGTGACCTTGGGCATGTTGCTTACCCTCTGGCCCTCAGCTTCCACATCTGTGAAATGGGCATAATGGCACCTATATCACAGCATTGTTAGGATTCAGTGAGACCAAGGAAGGGGCAGCCCCAGCCTCACTGTTTGCCTGGGTCCGCCTGCCCTCCGTCAACACTTGGTACAGCACATCTCAGTTCTGCCAAGGGGTGGGTGGCACCATGTCTGGGTCCAGGCTCAGCCCAGAATAGAGGCCCAGGGGCTCTCCCTGGGGGCCAAGCTGGTGGTGGTGGCACCACTGCAGTGAGAAGCCAATGGAGGGGTCCCCCGAGAACAGAGGACAGGCCTCTAGGTCCCTGGTCCAGCTGCCTCCCTCACCCAGGGGGCCTCTTCCAGGCCCATACTTGGAGCTTCTGCATTTGCCACAAAGGGGTAGGGTAGGTTTTTCTATCTTTGAGACCCATTTGAAATAAGAGGAAGATAAGGCTATTCAGCTCCTCGTTATTTGGATATTTCTGGGCCCCTGTCCTTGATGTCACAGAGCCCAGTGTGAGTCCAGAGTGTGGAGACAGTGCCTGGGTGACCTTGGTGTCCCAGGGCCTCGGTACAGTCCTCGGAACGCCTCAGCGCTGGCGTTCAGGACACGTGGGACGCAGGCAGGGAAGGGTGAATGAGCGCATGCGTGCCTGAATGAACCAGGACATGGACAAATGGGCAAACGAGCGAATGAAGGAGGATGGAATGGGTGGGAGAATGAACGAACGACACCAGGCTCCCAGTACACACTCAGCACCCACCTTTTTCCAGTCCCGCCCTTCTCTCTCATCTCACCTCCTGCCCGTAGCATCACCAAAGATCTTAGGGGGTTTACCTCCTGGTCTCTGCTGCTGCTCGCTGAGCCTGGCTCCCCATCTTCCCTCCAAGGAGTCCTTCCTTGTCCTTAGAGACTCCATTGAAACATCTCCCCAACAGGGAATTTTCTCCTGCAACCCTTCCCTGAGAAGGGTCTGTTCCTCTGTCCTTCTGCCCCACCTCGCCCCTCGCTGATGCTCTGTTTAGGGCTGGCTGGGTCTCCCCCTGCTGATGCCCGGGTTAGCCCAGTCTCCTGCTGCTCTGCTGGGGTCCTCAGGGAAGGGCCTCCACCCCGTGGTCACAGTGGGGCCTGGCTGGTTGCTGACTGCACTGACCTCCAATCGCCAGTCTGTGTCACCCCTGCTGGGTTCCCATCAGTGGGTCTTCCATGGCCTGGGTGGTCAGAAAGTGATGTCTGGGTGGCTGCAGCCAGGACAGAGGAGTGACAGAAGTGGTCCAGTGGCCCCTCCTCATCCTGGCTTTAACAAAAGCGTGGTGGTTTGTGGTGTTTCCTGGAAATCGGATTTGCTGACCCTGGCATCAGCTGTGAAAGCCATGTGACAGCCCCATGCCTCAGTTTCCTTGTGTGTAATACAGGTGCCAACATCCTTCTTTCTAACCTGAGATGCAGGGGATGGTTGGAGAACCTTCTGGAAAAAAAAAAAAAAACCCTGCATGTTTCTACCAGACTCAGCTCTTGTTTTCCTCACAGGCTTTTCATGAGGTCCTGGAGAGGCAGAGGCTGATGCAGTGTGACCTGGAGGAAGAGGAGAATGTCAGAGCCACCGAGGCTGTGGTTGCACTCTGCCAGGTACATGGCCTCTGTGGGGACCAGCAGAGAAGCCCCAGGGTCTGTGTGTGTGCGAGAACCTCACATCCTCCTGGCTGGGGACCCCAGAGGTGGTTCAGGTCCAACCCCGCACTCATTGGCCGGTGATCCACGCAGGCTGTGTCCCCTCCATGCGATCCTCCTTGCCCACATCAGAAACCGAGGCAGTTGGCCTTGGTCCTCTCTGAGGCACCGTCCATTTTTGGGGTGCTGAGGATTCTTATCTCCACACATCCCTGTCAGCAAAGCTCTTTGGAAATCCGTTCTCCCCAGGTGAGAAATAGGCCCAGGGTTTCTGGGTGTCATCAGTGTAAAGTGGTGATGAAGAAGGGGTTCTGGGCTGAAATGGGGACGTCAGAGATCACATGCCACACCACCTCTTTCCCCTGTGCAACCGTGTGCAGGTCTGGGGTGGGGAGGTGAAGCTGGCCATGCTTGCCCTGCAGGGTGACTTTCAGAGAGCAGGAGAGGGCACCTGAGCCCTCTTTAGGGGCAGGAGTCACAGGATGCCATGCTGAGCCAGACAGAGCCCCTGCCTCAGGCAGCATCCTCAGTTGTTGGAAAGACAGGAGTGTGGACACCTGGCTATGAAGGAATCAACCAGTGGGTGTTGGGCAGCACTGGGAGGAGGAGAGGGCCTGGGTCTGTGTCCTGGCTCCCCGCTTCCTCACTGCGTGACCACAGGAGCATCACTTGGCCTCTAGCCCTCAGTTTCCCCATCTGTGAAATGGGGACAGTCATAATTCTTCTTCATGGTGTGCTAGGAGGACTGTGTTTGGGGACCCGAGACAGCAGCTGGCACTCGGAACACCCCAGGGCACGTTGTCTCCAGTGACAGCTTCCCTGCTTCTGAGTGCAGAGGAGAGGCAAGGGGCTCCTGGGTGAAGGTGACGTCAAGGACAGCAGCCTGTAGGAGGCATTGCTGAGCCAAGCATTGGATGAGACCAGGCCCAAGTGGACAAGGAGTCAGCGGGCATCCCCATCAGGGAGAAGCTCATGCAGTGGTGGGAAGTGCAACTCCTCACCCGGATGGGAGCTGCACTGGGGTCAGTCATGTCTCTGTTAACCTGCTAGGGCTGCCGTGGTGAATACCACTGACTGGTGGGTTAAACAACAGAAAAGCGTTCTCTCAAGGTTCTGGAGGCTGAAGCCCGAGATCACGGTGCCAACAGGATTGACTTCTGGTGAGGCCTCTCTTCCGGGCTTGCAGACAGCTGCCTTCCCGTTGCCTCCTCACACGGTTATTTCTCTGTGCTTGGAAGACTGAAGGGCAGGGGAGAGAATGAAAGAGAGGGCTCTGGTCTCTCCCTTTTCTTATAAGGACACCAGTTCTATGGGATTAGGGCCCCACCCTGATGACCTCATCTAACCTTAATTACCTCCTTAAAGGCCCTGTCTCCAAATACAGCCACATGGGATATTGGAGGTTAGAGCTTCAACATAAGAATTTGATTACTTAATTACCTCCAAATACAGTCACATGGGATATTGGAGGTTAGGGCTTCAACCTAAGAATTTTGGAGGGAGACACAATTTAGTCCAAACAGTGTCCTTCAAAACGTCATGTCCATCTGGAACCTCGGAATGTGGCCACACTTGGAAATAAGGGCTTTGCAGATGTAATTGGTTAGATCGCACAGTTGGTTAGGTCCTACTGGATTCGGGTGGGCCCTAATTCTAATGGCTGGTGTCCTTATAAGAAGGCCATGAGAAGACATAGAGACACAGGGAAGGAGGCTGTTTGAAGACAGAAGGAGGGACTGGAGTGATGCAGCCACAAGCCGAGGAACACCTGCAGCCACCAAAAGCCAGAAGAGCCCAGGAAGGGCCCCTCCCAGAGCCTTTGGAGGGGGCGAGGCTCTGCCAACACCTTGGTTTCATACTAATGCCCTCCGGAACGGTGAGAGAATAAACTTCGTTGTCTTAATGCACCCAGTTTGCGGCGCTTTGTCATGGCAGCCACAGGAAACTAAACGGAAGGCGATCTTTGTTCAGGGCTAGCTCCTATCTTAAGTGCCTCTTGAGTATTTGATTATTTAATTCTCATGAGATTCATGAGGAAGACACTGCATTTTCCTTCCTTCCCAGATGAGGAGTGAAGAAGTGTTTTCTCCAGAAATGGGTAGGATGGGGCTCAATTTGTCAAAGCCCTGGGGCCCACAGACAGGAAAGGAACAACTTTGTCCCCAGAGGAGTCAAGACTCACATCCCTGGCTGGGCATGGGGAAACCAAGTTCTAATCTTCCTCTGAGTGCTAACATGCTGTGTGACCTTGGCTGGTTACATAACCTGTCTGTGCTGGCCCATGTATCTTGCCCAGGTTTTACACAGCTAGCAAGCGGGGAAGGTGAGATTTAAAATAAAGGCTTTCTAATGTTAGTGCTGATGTGCTCACCCCAACCATGCTGCTCAGTGTTGACGGCTGTTGTGAAACCTCGCTTCTTGTGTTTTTAGTTTAAAAGTATGTAAACAAGAGACCACAGTAAAGGGGATGCAGCACAGAGCAATTTATTGCAAAGGAGAAAGAATGTTCTGAAAGTTAGGTGCAGAATAGACAGGATGCCCTGGGAGATGATTCAGAGCAGATGAGACAGCCTTGACTTACCGGGGAAACTCCCTTTCTGGGGAGTCTTATGTGATTATTCATAAGGGCGTGGGAAGAAGCATTATTAGTAAGCATGTTGTGGAGGGCGGTGGGGGCGGGTCCTCTGAGTGCCCAGGCACAGTAGCTGTACACACTTGTTCATACGTCACATGTCTCATTAGCATCTTAAGTCTCCGTCCAAAGGTGTGTTTTTTACTATTATAATGGCGCAGAGGGTCAGTCTGAGGACAGATAAAATCAAAGTGCACCTGCCGACTGCAGGAGACGTTGCCTACTGCAGATAACTGCTTGAAAGAGCCAGACTACAGTGTAAATGCTGAGGCTTACTGTGTTGATGGTTTGGTCGCCGCATCCCAAGGACATGGTCACTTCCTTGACTACCTATCCTGCCTTACGTGTGGGCTGTGGAGCATAATGGTGAAGCCCAGGCTCTGGAGCCAGACATCTGGGGTTCAAATTCCCAGCCGGGCCACTTATTTCCCCTGCCGGAGGTGAGCCCAGGTGGCCCAGAGGCTATGGGCGGCGGGGGTGGTTTCAGCAGCATTCTCCTCCTCACCCCCTATGGTAGCTTATTGGATTCTCACCCATCCTCTCTAAAGCAGTTCTCAAACCTTGCTGTGCATCAGAATGTCATCAAGATTAAGGAAATTGAGGTACAGGTTAGATCACTTGCTCACAATTACACAACCAGGCTGACAGCCTGAGTAAAACCCTATCAATGATTGCTGCAAAGGGTAAGCCAAGCAGTATATAAATGTAAACCCAGAACATCTGAGACGGGTCTCAGTTCATTTAGAAAGTTTATTTTGCCAAGGTTGAGGCTGCGCGAGCCTGGGACACAGCCTCAGGAGGGCGCGTCCTGACGACACGCGCCCAAGGGGGTCCGGACACAGCGTGGTTTTATACATTTTAGGGAGACAGGAGACATCAATCGGTACATGTAAGAAGTACATTGGTTCGGTCAGGAAAGGTGGGACAACTTGAAGCAAAGACAGGAAGACTCCAAGCGGGAAGTGGGCTTCCAAATCACAGGTAGGCAAGAGATAAACAGTTGCATTCTTTTGAGTTTCTGATTATCCTTTCCAAAGGAGGCAATCAGATCTGCATTTATCTCAATGAGCAGAGAGATAACTGTGAATAGATGGGAGGCAGGTTTGCCCTGAGCAGTTTTCAGCTTGAGTTTTCCTTTTTGCTTAGTGATTTCGGGGGCCCAATATATTTTCCTTTCACAATACGGAAGTTCCTGGCCAGCCCCAGCGGGTGCTGGTAACTACATCAGTTTCAATAAAGAGTTGTCAATGATGCCAAAATGACATCCTTAGGAAGTTATGCATTTGGTTTTTCCCTGTGTGGGCCTAGTTGCTGGGCCTGTGAGAGCTTCAGTGAAGAAAGTGAAGACAGCCTTTTAACGTAACATCAGGAGAGGGTGACAGGTGTGACGAGGGGTGATACCTGCTGGAGTCTCTCTCCTAGGAGGAGGTATATGAAATGTACTGCATAAGAAGGTGTCGAGGGACACAGTGGAGATGGGTGTGAAATTCTCCACATCTGTGTGGGTGTTTTTTGTTTTTTGTTTTTTGTTTTCAGACAGAGTTTAGCTCTAGTTGCCCAGGCTGGAGTGCAATGGTGCGATCTCAGCTCACTGCAACCTCCGCCTCCTGGGTTCCAGAGATTCTTCTGCCTCAGCCTCCCGAGTGGCTGGAATTACAGGCATGTGCCACCACGCCCAGCTAATTTTGTATTTTTAGTAGAGGCAGGGTTTCACCACGTTGGTCAGGCTGGTCTCGAACTCCTGACCTCAGGTGATCCACTCGCCTTGGCCTCCCAAAGTGCTGGGATTATAGGCGTGAGCCACCGCTCCCGGCCTGGCCCAAGGCCTGTGTCAGCATGTCTCCCAGAATTAGTCTGGAGGGATTTCCTTAGATTTACTTTGCCATTTCATCACAAGCTTTTAGGTTCCAGGTCGCCTGGCATATTTTACATTTCCTCAATTTGGAAATCATTGCCTTTGGTTACTGGAAACTGCTTTTCCTGATACTCCATAGGAGCAGGCTAAAATCCTCCATTGCCGATTGGAGAGCTGGCTGCGCCCTCCTGGCTGGGCGTCCTTGGGCCAGAGCCTGGACTGTTCTGAGCTCTGGTTTCCTTCTCTGTGCAATGGAGACTGGGAGCCCATTTACTTTAAAGGCTGGGTGTGCCGAGGAGAGCAGGTCCAAGGCCCAGACCTGGCACATGGTAGGTGCTCAGTGAATGCCTCCCCGCCTGCTCCACAGGGAGCATGATCTCAGGAGATGTTGAGCCCAGTGGGGATGAGCCCAGATCTGGGTCCAGGGTCCTGGGTGTGAATCTCAACCACCAAAATGAATGACTGAAGCAGGTGTCACAATCAATCGAGGTTTATTGAGCCAGCTCGAGGGTGCACCTGGAAAAACGCAAGTCACAGACTTGGCTGTTTTTTCCAAAGAGGTTCTCAGGAGGTTTAATATTTATACATTTTCCTTTAAAAAGGCGGGGGGCGGGGGGTGGTTGGGGGGTGGGGCAGCAATGAGAGGAACAGTTACACACTTGAAAGACTTTCGTTAGTGCCTAGTAAATCTACAGTTTACGTAAGATCAGGCGAACATTTGAAGAAAAAGAGAACAGAGGAAGCAGGCGTCTCATCTTGTCTTTGTTCTGTACCTGGGAAGATAAGCCAGCCGTCAACATGATCAGCATGGAGTCTTTTGAAAGGGCGGGTTTCTGTTTAGTCCTTAGGGAAGAAAGCCTTATGGTGGTTGGCTAGCAAGGGAAGGGGTACAATGAGTTGTGTTCCACCTCTCATCCCGACCTTTACGGCACCGGGAATTCAGCTTCCAAGGTTTCTCTGGGGTCCCATTGGCCAAGAAGCCCCAACTGTTAATCAGTTGGCAGCTTAGAATTTTTTTTTTTAATTATTATTTAAGTTTTAGGGTACATGTGCACAATGTGCAGGTTAGTTACATATGTATACCTGTGCCATGCTGGTGCGCTGCACCCACTAACTCGTCATCTAGCATTAGGTATATCTCCCAGTGCTATCCCTCCCCCCACCCCCACCCCACATCAGTCCCCAGAGTGTGATGTTCCCCTTCCTGTGTCCATGAGTTCTCATTGTTCAATTCCCACCTATGAGTGAGAATATGCGGTGTTTGGTTTTTTGTTCTTGGGATAGTTTACTGAGAATGATGATTTCCAATTTCATCCATGTCCCTACAAAGGTAATGAACTCATCATTTTTTATGACTGCATAGTATTCCATGGTGTATATGTGCCACATTTTCTTAATCCAGTCTATCATTGTTGGACATTTGGGTTGGTTCCAAGTCTTTGCTATTGTGAATAGTGCCGCAATAAACATACGTGTGCATGTGTCTTTATAGCAGCATGATTTATAGTCCTTTGGGTATATACCCAGTAATGGGATGGCTGGGTCAAATGGTATTTCTAGTTCTAGATCCCTGAGGAATCGCCACACTGACTTCCACAATGGTTGAACTAGTTTACAGTCCCACCAACAGTGTAAAAGTGTTCCTATTTCTCCACATCCTCTCCAGCACCTGTTGTTTCCTGACTTTTTAATGATTGCCATTCTGACTGGTGTGAGATGGTATCTCATTGTGGTTTTGATTTGCATTTCTCTGATGGCCATTGATGGTGAGCATTTTTTCATGTGTTTTTTGGCTGCATAAATGTCTTCTTTTGAGAAGTGTCTGTTCATGTCCTTTGCCCACTTTTTGATGGGGTTGTTTGTTTTTTTCTTGTAAATGTGTTTGAGTTCATTGTAGATTCTGGATATTAGCCCTTTGTCACATGAGTAGGTTGCGAAAATTTTCTCCCATTTTGTAGGTTGCCTGTTCACTCTGATGGTAGTTTCTTTTGCTGTGCAGAAGCTCTTGAGTTTAATTAGATCCCATTTGTCAATTTTGTCTTTTGTTGCCATTGCTTTTGGTGTTTTAGACATGAAGTCCTTGCCCATGCCTATCTCCTGAATGGTAATGCCTAGGTTTTCTTCTAGGGTTTTTATGGTTTTAGGTCTAATGTTTAAGTCTTTAATCCATCTTGAATTGATTTTTGTATAAGGTGTAAGGAAGGCATCCAGTTTCAGCTTTCTACATATGGCTAGCCAATTTTCCCAGCACCATTTATTAAATAGGGAATCCTTTCCCCATTGCTTGTTTTTCTCAGGTTTGTCAAAGATCAGATAGTTGTAGATATGTGGCATTATTTCTGAGGGCTCTGTTCTGTTCCATTGATCTATATCTGTTTTGGTACAATTACCATGCTGTTTTGGTTACTGTAGCCTTGTAGTATAGTTTGAAGTCAGGTAGCGTGATGCCTCCAGCTTTGTTCTTTTGGCTTAGGATTGACTTGGCGATGTGGGCTCTTTTCTGGTTCCATATGAACTTTAAAGTAGTTTTTTCCAATTCTGTGAAGAAAGTCATTGGTAGCTTGATGGGGATGGCATTGAGTCTATAAATTACCTTGGGCAGTATGGCCATTTTCACGATATTGATTCTTCCTACCCATGAGCATGGAATGTTCTTCCATTTGTTTGTATCCTCTTTTATTTCATTGAGCAGTGGTTTGTAGTTCTCCTTGAAGAGGTCCTTCACATCCCTTGTAAGTAGGATTCCTAGATATTTTATTCTCTTTGAAGCAATTGTGAATGGGAGTTCACTCATGATTTGGCTCTCTGTTTGTCTGTTGTTGGTGTATAAGAATGCTTGTGATTTTTGTACATTGATTTTGTATCCTGAGACTTTGCTGAAGTTGCTTATCAGCTTAAGGAGATTTTGGGCTGAGACAATGGGGTTTTCTAGATATACAATCATGTTGTCTGCAAACAGGGACAATTTGACTTCCTCTTTTCCTAATTGAATACCCTTTATTTCCTTCTCCTGCCTAATTGCCCTGGCCAGAACTTCCAACACTATGTTGAATAGGAGTGGTGAGAGAGGGCATCCCTGTCTTGTGCCAGTTTTCAAAGGGAATGCTTCCAGTTTTTGCCCATTCAGTGTGATATTGGCTGGGGGTTTGTCATAGATAGCTCTTATTATTTTGAGATACATCCCATCAATACCTAATTTCTTGAGAGTTTTTAGCATGAAGGGTTGTTGAATTTTGTCAAAGGCCTTTTCTGCATCTATTGAGATAATCATGTGGTTTTTGTCTTTGGTTCTGTTTATATGCTGGATTACATTTATTGATTTGCGTATATTGAACCAGCCTTGCATCCCAGGGAAGAAGCCCACTTGATCATGGTGGATAAGCTTTTTGATGTGCTGCTGGATTCGGTTTGCCAGTATTTTATTGAGGATTTTTGCATCAATGTTCATCAAGGATATTGGTCTAAAATTCTCTTTTTTGGTTGTGTCTCTGCCCAGCTTTGGTATCAGGATGATGCTGGCCTCATAAAATGAGTTAGGGAGGATTCCCTCTTTTTCTATTGATTGGAATAGTTTCAGAAGGAATGGTACCAGTTCCTCCTTGTACCTCTGGTAGAATTCGGCTGTGAATCCATCTGGTCCTGGACTCTTTTTGGTTGGTAAGCTATTGATTATTGCCACAACTTCAGCTCCTGTTATTGGTCTATTCAGAGATTCAACTTCTTCCTGGTTTAGTCTTGGGAGAGTGTATGTGTTGAGGAATTTATCCATTTCTTCTAGATTTTCTAGTTTATTTGCGTAGAGGTGTTTGTAGTATTCTCTGATGGTAGTTTGTATTTCTGTGGGATCGGTGGTGATATCCCCTTTATCATTTTTTATTGCGTCTATTTGATTCTTCTCTCTTTTCTTCTTTATTAGTCTTGCTAGCAGTCTATCAATTTTGTTGATCCTTTCAAAAAACCAGCTCCTGGATTCATTAATTTTTTGAAGGGTTTTTTGTGTCTCTATTTCCTTCAGTTCTGCTCTGATTTTAGTTATTTCTTGCCTCCTGCTAGCTTTTGAATGTGTTTGCTCTTGCTTTTCTAGTTCTTTTAATTGTGATGTCAGGGTGTCAATTTTGGATCTTTCCTGCTTCCTCTTGTGGGCATTTAGTGCTATAAATTTCTCTCTACACACTGCTTTGAATGCATCCCAGAGATTTTGGTATGTTGTGTCTTTGTTCTCGTTGGTTTCAAAGAACATCTTTATTTCTGCCTTCATTTTGTTATGTATCCAGTAGTCATTCAGGAGCAGGTTGTTCAGTTTCCATGTAGTTGAGCGGTTTTGAGTGAGACTCTTAATCCTGAGTTCTAGTTTGATTGCACTGTGGTCTGAGAGATAGTTTGTTATAAATTCTATTCTTTTACATTTGCTGAGGAGAGCATTACTTCCAAGTATGTGGTCAATTTTGGAATAGGTGTGGTGTGGTGCTGAAAAAAATGTATATTCTGTTGATTTGGGGTGGAGAGTTCTGTAGATGTCTATTAGGTCTGCTTGGTGCAGAGCTGAGTTCAATTCCTGGGTATCCTTGTTAACTTTCTGTCTCATTGATCTGTCTAATGTTGACAGTGGGGTGTTAAAGTCTCCCATTATTAATGTGTGGGAGTCTATGTCTCTTTGGAGGTTACTCAGGACTTGCTTTATGAATCTGGGTGCTCCTGTATTGGGCGCATATATATTTAGGATAGTTAGCTCTTCTTGTTGAATTGATCCCTTTACCATTATGTAATGGCCTTCTTTGTCTCTTTTGATCTTTGTTGGTTTAAAGTCTGTTTTATCAGAGACTAGGATTGCAACCCCTGCCTTTTTTTGTTTTCCATTTGCTTGGTAGCTCTTCCTCCATCCTTTTATTTTGAGCCTATGTGTGTGTCTGCACGTGAGATGGGTTTCCTGAGTACAGCACACTGATGGGTCTTGACTCTTCATCCAGTTTGCCAGTCTGTGTCTTTTAATTGGAGCATTTAGTCCATTTACATTTAAAGTTAATATTGTTATGTGTGAATTTGATCCTGTCATTATGATGTTAGCTGGTTATTTTGCTCGTTAGTTGATGCAGTTTATTCCTAGTCTCGATGGTCTTTACATTTTGGCTTGATTTTGCAGCGGCTTGTACCGGTTGTTCCTTTCCATGTTTAGCGCTTCCTTCAGGAGCTCTTTTAGGGCAGGCCTGGTGGTGACAAAATCTCTCAGCATTTGCTTGTCTGTAAAGTATTTTATTTCTCCATCACTTATGAAGCATAGTTTGGCTGGATATGAAATTCTGGGTTGAAAATTCTTTTCTTTAAGAATGTTGGATATTGGCCCCCACTCTCTTCTGGCTTGTAGAGTTTCTGCCTAGCGATCAGCTGTTAGTCTGATGGGCTTCCCTTTGTGGGTAACCCGACCTTTCTCTCTGGCTGCCCTTAACATTTTTTCCTTCATTTCAACTTTGGTGAATCTGACAATTATGTGTCTTGGAGTTGCTCTTCTCGAGGAGTATCTTGGTGGCGTTCTCTGTATTTCCTGAATCTGAATGTTGGCCTGCCTTGCTAGATTGGGGAAGTTCTCCTGGATAATATCCTGCAGAGTGTTTTCCAACTTGGTTCCATTCTCCCCATCACTTTCAGGTACACCAATCAGACGTAGATTTGGTCTTTTCACATAGTCCCATATTTCTTGGAGGCTTTGCTCATTTCTTTTTATTCTTTTTTCTCTAAACTTCCCTTCTCGCTTCATTTCATTCACTTCATCTTCCATCGCTGATACCCTTTCTTCCAGTTGATCGCATCGGCTCCTGAGGCTTCTGCATTCTTCACGTAGTTCTCGAGCCTTGGTTTTCAGCTCCATCAGCTCCTTTAAGCACTTCTCTGTATTGGTTATTCTAGTTATACATTCATCTAAATTTTTTTCAAAGTTTTCAACTTCTTTGCCTTTGGTTTGAATTTCCTCCTGTAGCTCAGAGTAATTTGATCGTCTGAAGCCTTCTCTCAGCTTGTCAAAGTCATTCTCCATCCAGCTTTGTTCCGTTGCTGGTGAGGAACTGCATTCCTTTGGAGGAGGAGAGGCGCTCTGCTTTTTAGAGTTTCCAGTTTTTCTGCTCTGTTTTTTCCCCATCTTTGTGGTTTTATCTACTTTTGGACTTTGACGATGGTGATGTACAGATGGGTTTTTGGTGTGGATGTCCTTTCTGTTTGTTAGTTTTCCTTCTAACAGACAGGACCCTCAGCTGCAGGTCTGTTGGAGTACCCTGCTGTGTGAGGTGTCAGTCTGCCTGGGCTGGGGATGCCTCCCAGTTAGGCTCCTCGGGGGCCAGGGTTCAGGGACCCACTTGAGGAAGCAGTCTGCCTGTTCTCAGATCTCCAGCTGCATGCTGGGAGAACCACTGCTCTCTTCAAAGCTGTCAGACAGGGACATTTAAGTCTGCAGAGGTTACTGCTGTCTTTTTGTTTGTCTGTGCCCTGCCCCCGGAGATGGAACCTCCAGAGGCAGGCAGGCCTCCTTGAGCTGTGGTGGGCTCCACCCAGTTGCAGCTTCCAGGCTGCTTTGTTTACCTAAGGAAGCCTGGGCAATGGCGGGCGCCTCTCCCCCAGCGTGGCTGCCACCTTGCAGTTTGATCTCAGACTGCTGTGCTAGCAATCAGCGAGACTCCTTGGGCATAGGACCCTCCGAGCCACGTGTGGGATATAATCTCCTGGTGAGCCGTTTTTTAAGCCCGTCGGAAAAGCACAGTATGCGGGTGGGAGTGACCCGATTTTCCAGGTGCCATCTGTCACCCCTTTCTTTGATTAGGAAAGGGAACTCCCTGACCCCTTGCGCTTCCCAAGTGAGGCAATGCCTCGCCCTGCTTCGGCTAGCACATGGTGCGCTGCACCCACTGACCTGCGCCCACTGTCTGGCACTCCCTAGTGAGATGAACCCAGTACCTCATGTGGAAATGCAGAAATCACCCATCTTCTGCGTCGCTCACGCTGGGAGCTGTAGACCGGAGCTGTTCCTATTCGGCCATCTTGGCCCCTCCCCCCACCGGCAGCTTAGAATTTTACTTTTCTTCCTCAGTCTGCTAACCAGGCATCTTGGGAGAGTTTGTTCATTCATTCATTCGTTCATTCATTCATTCATTCAAGTATTGTTAAGCACAGCTTTGTGCAGCATGTGTATGCTTGGCATTGCAGCAGCAGCAGCAGTGAGGCCAGTGTAAGGGCAGTGGGGAAGCTGGGGAGGAAGGTAGGGAGAAAGGGGCAGAAGAGGAGGGGATGAGTCCAGAGCGCCTCATCTTGGAAGACGTTGCAGACTGTTCCAAGATAGTTGCATTTACTTCTGAGTGAGACAGGAAATCACCAGCATGTTTTGAGTAGGGAAGTGACTTGCTTTATGTTTTACAAGGACCAGTGTGGTTTCCATGAGGAAAACAGACTGTAGGGGCAGAGGCAGAAGCAGGGAGCCCTGGTAGGAGACTGCTGTGGCCCGTGTAAGAGATGGTGCTGACTGACGGGGCAGGGAGAAAGCCTGGAGCTTTGTGTTTGTTTGGACGATCAATATCCCACCTCCTCTATGTTAAAGTAGACCTAATAGGCCTTCATATGAATATCAAGAGGTTTAAATAATCTCACGTGGGTAAAGCATATAGAAGAGTGTTGGGCACACACTGATACTCAAAATGTATTCTCGGCTGGGCACAGTGGCTCACACCTGTGATCCCAGCACTTTGGGAGGCTGAGGCAAGCGGATCACTTGAGGTCAAGAGTTCAAGACTAGCCTGGCCAACAGGGTGAAACCTCATCTCTACTAAAAATACAAAAATTAGCCAGGTGTGGTGGTGGGTGCCTGTTATCCCAGCTACTCGGGAGGCTGAGGCATGAGAATCGCTTGAACCCAGGAGGTGGAGGTTGCAGTGAGGCGAGATCACACCACTGTACTCTAGCCTGGTGACAGAGCAAAACTCTGTCTCAAAAAAAAAAAGAAATATTCTCATTCATCATCATTCACCATATAGAAAGGTGTGCACAGAACAGGCTCTCAAGGTACCCTGCCTTGCTGGCTGGCTGGCTGTGCCCAGGCCCAGGCACACAGAGGCATCATTTTACCCCTTCTTTGGGCATGACACTGATCATGATATTGCAGGCACAGTGGCTGTGAGATACATTTGATGGTCACCTATATTAATTTGTTCTCACACTTGTAATAAAGATATACCCGAGACTGAGTAATTTATAAAGGAAACAGGTTTAACAGACTCACAGTTCCACGTGGCTGGGGAGGCCTCACAGTTATGGCGGAAGGCAAATGAGGAGCAAAGTCACATCTTAAATGGCAGCAGGCAAGAGAGAGCATGTGCAGGGGAACTCCTCTTTATAAAACCATCAGATCTCATGAGACTTACCCACTGTCACAAGAACAGCATGGGAAAGACCCACCCCAGTGACTCAGTTACCTCCCACTGGGCCAGTCCCATGACATGGGGATTATGGGAGCTACAATTCAAGATGAGATTTAGGTGGGGACACAGCTAAACCATATCATAACCTAATGGTTCTCAGGGCTACAGAGAAAAGTGCATTTTTCTGAATCCCCCCTGTCTCTCGGCCTCTAAACAGTCCATTTTCAGTTCACTTGGGATGGATGCTGTGCGATCGCGTGAGCTCTGTGGCTCGGCACCTCACAAACAGGTTGCTGCACCAAAGCCAGTGTCATCCCAATAACAGCGGGGCTCTGGGTGGAGTTTGCTGTCATCCCATTCCAGGGGCCACACAGCCCACCTGTTCATTTGGATGTCTGTCTGACTGTCCCCCCATAGCTGTTTCTCTTGAAAGGCTCTGGGAGAAGGTGGTAAAATCACAGCCCTGTCATGCGGGGACTTCTCAGCTTCAGGCTGTCCCAGGAAGTTAGGGCTGAGAAAAAGAGAAAACACTGGACTCTGTCCTTGAAGAACACAGGCATGATAACAGGTGCTTATGAAGTGTCTGAGAGTAGTTCCCAAACCACCTTCACTTCTTCTGATGTCAGATGCAAGTTTGGTGGTCCTGAAGATCCCCCTCAGGCTCTTTAACTCACCAGAAGGACTCCCAGCACTCCCTGACAGCTGCTGTGCTCAGGGCCAGGCTGATGATAATGGAAGGCTACAGACTAAAGTCAGCCAAGGGAGAGGCATAGGGCTCGAGGGGGGCTCTCTGCACAGAGCTTCTGGGTGTCCTCTCCTGGTGGAGCTGAGGGCAGCACTTACTCCCCCTGGCCACAATATGTGACAAGGCACACAGAGTGTCACCAAGCAGGGAAGCTTGCCCAGGCTTCAGTGTCCAGAGTTTTTATTGGGCTCAGCTACACTGGTATGGCTGACCCTCCGCCCCCACAGCTGCCCTGAGCCTCCAGCCCTTCAGAGGTCAAGCTGAGACCACATGCCCTAAGGCCTCCCTGCCGTAAATCACAGTGTTAGCATAGACTATCAAGGCCGCCAGGTCAGCAAAGACACTCCAGTCAGACCAAACATTCCAGGGGCTGAGAGGTGACATACCAGGGGCCAAGGACAGGCCAGACCCCTCTTTGGTCAAGATTAAGTGCTGCATGGCACTGGAAGTCTAAAGTGTCTGTTCAAGGTCACTCAGCTGGGGCCTAGGAGTCAGGCCCAAGCCTCGTAACATTCTAGTGGGAAGTAGTGATTCGGAGAACACAAGAAGGGAGAAGGAATGTGCCCTCCTTGATGGAAGGGTTGAGGCTTGCTCATTTCTCCACCCCTGGGGTTGTGTCCAGGGCATAACCCACTCTAGACAATCAGTCAATATTGATGAATACACAAATCAGTCAATCAGTTAATGTATTAATGAATTGGCTGGGAGTGTTGGCTAACACCTGTAATCCCAGCACTTTGGGAGGCCGAGGTGGGCAGATACACCTGAAGTCCAGAGCTCAAGACCAGCCCGGCCAACATGGCAAAACCCCATCTCTACTAAAAATAACACAAATTAGCCAGGTGTCGTGGGGTGTGCCTGTAATCCCAGCTACTTGGGAGGCTGAGGCAGGAGAATTGTTGAACCCGGGAGGCAGAGGTTGCAGTGAGACGAGATCGCACCATTGCACTCCAGCCTGGGTGACAGAGCGAGACTTCATTTCAAAAAAAAAAAGAAAAGAAAATACATCAATGCATCAGCTAAACAATTGTCATTCTGAAGATGTCATATTAGGTATTAGTTTTCTATAGCCACTATAACTAATGACCACAAACTCAGTGGCTTAAAGCAACACAAAGTTATGTTACATTTCTGGAGGTCAGAAGTCTGATGTGGATCTCTCTGGGTTAAAATGAAGGTGTCAGCAGGGCTGACTCCTCCTGGAGGCTCCAGGGGAGAAACAGTTTTCTTGACTTTTCCAGTTTCTAAAGGCCACCCACATTCCTTGGCTCAGGGCCCTTTCTTCCATCTTCAGGGCCGGCTACTCCTGCCTCTGCTTCCACCATTACATCTTCTCTGACTGTGACCCTCCTGCCTCCCTCATTCACTTATAAGAACCCTGTGATGACATTGGAGCCAACAGTGTCATCCAGGATCTTCTTTCCATCTCAGGATCCTTAACTCAGTCCCACCTGCGAAGTCTCTTTACCATGTAAAGTTCCGTGCTCAAAGGTTCCAGGGATTGGGACGTGGACATCTTTAGGGAGACATTCTGTGTACCACGGAGAAAAACAGTACATTTCCAAAGAGAGAAATAAATTTGTTTATTGAAGGCCATGAAAACCCTGATTTTCTGGGCAGTAACCTATTGGAAGCAGATCTTGAGAGAAAATGACAGAAGCCTGGGCACCACAGACCTCCCCGTCGCCGGGAAGCAGGTGTCCATGGGCGCTGCAGAGTGCAAGGCAGTTTCCATGGTCCTTTATTAGGCTTAAAGGGTTATACACCATGACCAAGGATGCAGGGACTGAGAAAAATAGGCTGGGTGATTCATATCTCCCTTTACAGTAACCAGCTAACGGAATGTGGCTTTTTATTTTATTTTATTTTATTATTATTATTATTATTTTGAGACGTCTCACTCTGTCGCCCAGGCTGGAGTGCAGTGACATGATCTCGGCTCACTGCAAGCTCCATCTCCCAGGTTCACGCCATTCTCCTGTCTCAGCCTCCCGGGTAGCTGGGACTACAGGCACCGCCACCACGCCCAGCTAATTTTTTGTATTTTTAGTAGAGACAAGGTTTCACCGTGTTAGCCAGGATGGTCTCAATCTCCTGACTTCGCGATCCGCCCGCCTCGGCATCCCACAGTGCTGGGATTACAGGCGTGAGCCACCGTGCCTGGCTGTGGCTTTTTATTTTAATTTAGTAAAACTACTGGGGTAAATGTGTTTTCTTTGCAGAAGTACAACTCACAGTGCCCTTGTATCACATGCTACCCCTCTTTCCTTTTGGTAATTTTCACAACCATCTTACCTCCCTGCAAAGAGGTACGGGGGAGAGAAGAGTCGTTCAAGAAGCAAACAGACCAGGTTATGGGCCCATTTCAGCTGCATACCTGCTGTGTGGCCTAGTCCATATCACTTAACCTCTCTGATCCAGGAATTCTTGGCTACCTTCCTTTTAAGTTCTTAACCATATGAAAGAGCCACTTAACACCCCAGAATGCCTCCTGTTGTTCTCAAGAAGAAGTCCAACATCCTTAATCTGGCCCATCATGACCACTTAGCTTGGTCCACGAGGCCCATCCAGCCTGTCCACAAGATGCCCCCAACCTGACCCACAAGGTCTTCCTGGCCTGACCTATGACGCTTCCACCCAAGCTGGCCCACAGGATCCACCTGTCCAGCCTGGCCCATGAGGTCCACACAACCTGGCCCACTCATCACCCTTCCTAAAGTTCTGTCCCTTGCTCCCTGACTTCCAGCTGACCTCAGATGTCTCTCAGTTCCCCCAAGGGTGCACTTGTCCCTCCCACCCCAGTGCCTGAAACTGTCTTCCTCCCTTCCCTGGGCTTTGCCTAGCCAGCTCATTCTTGCTCTTTGAGTCTCAGCTGAAATGTCACTTCTTTAGGGGAGCCCTCCTCTGACCTCTCCCCAGACCTGTCTAACTTAGGACTTCCATCCTCCTGGTCATCACATGTGCCACAGCCTGGGGGGAGCATGTGTGCACTGTCCCCTGTTGGGCTGTGAACTCCCTCGGGTCTGGGTCCACACCTGCCTCGGTCACCGCAGTGTCCCTGGCACAGGGCCTTGCCTGCGGTAGGTGCCAGGAGACATTTGCAAAATGAACGTATGCATGCTGTGAGGATGACACACATATTTATCCCAGAGCGTTCACTTTTAGGACCCCCTCCATCTCCTGCTGTCCAGGTAACTATGATCACAGTCATGCTGTGTAACAAGACACCGGGAAACCCAGGGGCTGAAAACAACAGTGATTTGCTCTCATGGGCTGCAGCTTGGCCAGCAGTTAGCTGATCTAGGCTGGGCTTGATTAACTTGACTCAGCCTTGCTCCATGTCCCTCCCATCTTCCCCCTAAGACCTGTGGACTAGCCTGGGCATGTTCTTCTCATAGCAATAGCTGAGGTCTAGCCTCCAAAGCAGCACACCTCACTTCCACCTCATTCTGTCGCCCAAAGCAAGTTACGTGCCTGAACTCAGTGTAGCAGAGGCAGGGAAGTGCTCTCCACTCACCTTGAGAAGTCCCTGCAAAGTTATGTGGCAAGGGGTGTGGGTGCCGGGAGAGAGACTGGGAGGCGGTGCGCTGAGCTGCCGGGGTGTTTTGTGGGATCCCCCATAGTCCCTGCAGGTTTGTATGCAGGTATCCTCCCTTCCTTTTTTAAGGGAGTTGGCCCATGGTCATGCTTCTGGTGGATGGCCCAGTACTGCAGGTGCCAGAGCTCCTGCCCCTTGTTCAACCCACTTCCCATTTTTAAGAGACTCAAGCTCACCTGTGCTCTCCAGGACCCACTTGTCAGGGGAACTGGAGCACACTTTACTCTGAAGTCATTAAATGTGCATCTTCAGAACAATCAGGCTGGGGTCCCTGGGGAACATTCTTGGGTCCTGTGATGAGGAACAAAAGTCTCCCAGGGGCCAGACCATGTCCAGGGAATCCCAGAAAGATCCATTCCGTGGACTCTGAACCTTCATTGGTGCATCTTCAGCCCTGGCCACATCCTTGCCTTTCTTGAACCCCACCATGGTCCAGTTTGCCAGATCACTTGGCAGTGTGTATTTGGGTCCTTCGTATGGTGTTGGCCCCCTCACTAGTCCTGTGCCTCTGCAACACTCTATACTTCAGTCCTACTGGGCCACCTGCCCATTTCTGGCTTTGTACCTCTCCTTCCTTCCCTCCCTCCCATCTCTCCCCTCCTCCTGCTTGCCTTGCAAACAACTGAAACAAAAACTGCCTCTGCTCAGAGGGAATTATTCTCACCTCTTTTCCCCCAAATGCTTTGTTCCTAGAATGACAATAGCAGTGGATAACACTTCTTGAGAACCACACACTAACTTCTCCAACTTTTATCTAATGATACTAGCTAGCATTTATTAAGTGCTTGCTGTGTGCTGTGAGCCAGCCAATCCCCATAAATCCTTTCTAATCCTCATAATCAGCCCTCAAAGCAGGTATTATCAGCCCCCTTTGACAGATAAGACTGAGCCTTGAGTAGGTTAAGGAAGCTTTGTAAAGCTCTAGACTATGGGTATCTTCCTTGCCCCAAGTACCTGCTGTGTGAGAAACCTGGGGAGGGCAGGTGGTGGTTTGAATGCGGCTGCAGAGGAGACAGCTGAGTGAAGGAGCAAGTACAAAGTGAGCAGTTTGTATTTGCCTGGGCTGTGTGTGCTTCTGTTTGAGGGGGAGGGGATAGCCTCCTAAGCTTGGGGGATGAGGCTCAGGGCCAGCTTCTATTCCCCACCAGAGTTCCACTGTGTCCTGACCCCTTTACACACACTGGGAAAGCAATAATGCAAATTAATTCTGGTTCTATTTCAGGCACAGAATAAATCAGTATCTCCCAAGTGACATATGCCAGCATTAGTGGGAAGTGATGTGTTTTATGGCCTGTCAGACCATGTGACAAAGAACGCAGACTTGAGTCTTTCCAAGGAGCAGACAGGATCCAGCACATTTCTTATTAGAAGGAGCCTAAGCTAATGGACCCTGTTGTTTTTACAAAGCTAACCCTTCTCTAATTTACAAATCCCGCATATTTTTGTGATTTGACCATTGTGAACAATAAAGAAAAAGGTTTGTCCCAACCACTGCTGTAGAATAGGAGAGTCCAAGAATGACAGTCAACTTAAAAATCTGTCTCCTGGCAGAAAATTGGGATTCTCAGAGGCTAGAAAATAATGTCCATCATCCCCACTCATTGAAAGTGTTTTTACTGTGAAATATAAGACATATGAATAAATAAAGCATAATCTTACAAATTAACAAATGATTATTGTAAAACATTTATGAAACCATATAGAGCAAGAAAGAGAATGTAGCTGGGACCCCAGAACACCCCCAATGCCTCCTCCCCATCCTAACACCCTCCCTGCTCCCAGGAGCCATCATCCAGCTGATACAGAAATCAGATCCCTAGTTTGATTTACAGTTGTAAATCTCAGAGCACATCCTGGACATTGTTGTGCAGCTTTGGCAGTTTTTGAACTTTATATAAATGGAATCATACAGCATGTGCTTTGTCCCATTGGCCTTTCACTCAACTTGATATTTGAGAGATCCATCCGTGTGGTTGTATGTTGTAGTTCATTCTTCCTCATTGCTGTGGAGTGTTCTGTTGTATAAATACACTGCCATACATTTACCCATCCTACTAGTGATGGGCTTTGGAGTCTTCTTGTGTTAGCCTATTACACACTGGCTGACGTGAACTTTCTTGTAGAAGCTGTGTGTACATATTTTTCTTGGATATACCAAAGAGTGGAAGTATTGGATTAAAGAATATGTGTAGCTTCAATTTATATCTCATATAGTTGTTGATTAAGATTTGGAATTTATAGGTCAATTTGAGGAGAATTAATGTGTTTACAATATCAAGTCTTCCAATCAAGAAACATGGTATATTGCTACAATTATTTAGGTCGTATTTAATTTAGTTTTTCTTAATATTGCTTTGTGGTTTCTACCATTAGCTATAATATGTAATATAGCTGTTGTTTTTTTTTAATCAAGTTAAGGAAGTTTCTTTCCATTCCTAATTTGCTAAGTGTGTTTCTCATGCATAGAAATTAAATTTTGTAAAATGCTTTTATCTTCCTCTACTGAGGTAATCAGTGTAATATTTTTCTCCTTTATTCTGTTAATTTGGCAAATTTCATTGATTTGGTAATGTTATTAACTACATACAAATTTATAACTTTTTCATTTTTCCAGTGAATTAAACCTTTTAGCATTAGGAAATGACCCCTTTGTGTCTAGTCATGTTTTGTTTTCTTTTTCTTAAAGACTATTTTATCTGCTATTCATGTAGCAAAAAGTGACCCTGTGTTTACTAGGTGCTGGCCGTTCATTTATTCATTCATTCACTCATTCATTCTTTAAAAAATATTTACCTGAGTAGCATCAAGGTCATGGGCACTGGAACCCAACTGTCAGAGCTGTGTGTAAACTTGTGCAACTGATTTAACTTCTCTTTTACATGTAAAGAGGAAGCCTCAGTTTCCTCATCTGTAAATTTCTTCCATCAGTTTGGGAAATTTCATTATCTCTTCAAATACTGCTTCTACCCAGACTTGCCCTCCGATCCTTCAGAGACTCCAATTTAACATGTTGGACCTTCCCATTGTATGTGCTCTGTCATTATCTTTTCCTCCATATTTTCCATCCTTTAGTCTCTCCTTGCTTTGTTCTGCTAGTTTCTTCTGATCTATTTTCCAGTGTGCTAATTCTCTCTTCAGCTGCACCTAAACTGCTATTAAACCTGTACACTGAGTTTAATATTTTTCAATTCTAGACAATATTTTCAATTCTAGAACTGCTAGTTGGCTCTTTTTAAACTAAGTAGTGTTACTTTTTATAATTTCCAGCTCCTTGCTTAAAGGTTTAAGAGTGGCTTTTAGCTTCATGAGCATAGTAAGCATTGATATTTTAAAGACCATGTCTTGTAATTACATGCTGACTTGTAATTACTCTCTGAAGTACCTGTGGGTTTGTTTCTGATGCCCATTGTTTGTGTAGGTCTTTGATCATGTTACCTTATCTCCTCATGTGTCTGTTTATATTTTGTGTACTATATTTCAAATTTGCACACTTATTTGTAGAAATATTTTCAGGTATACAATGATACTGTCCTTCTCCAAAGAGGATTTTCGTTTGCTTTTGTCAGATATCAGCACCTCTAGTGATCCAGGGTCACCTTAATTCAAAGTCAGGGCTTAAAATATCCTGGGCAATCTAAATAACTTGACTCCAGGTTACAGTTTGTATAACGAGTCTGGACTGGTTCCCTTCCATTTTACTAATATTTCTCCAGTATGGCTTTTTGGGTACCAACTGTAAGTGTGGAATGGTTTACCAGGCCCCCACCCGTAATGAACAATGAACTTGAACTTCGGTCCTCTGACAGCGTCAGGCTGTCAAAGGACCTGCTCAGCTGTTCAGCCATCCCCTCTGAATCAACCAACACTCCCTAGGTAAAAGCCGCCCAAAGACTGGGCATGCCCCTCCAGATGTGTCTTCTTAGACCTTGGCCCATGTACTCATCACAATCTTGTTAGATCTTTGCAACTTTTATGAAGATTTAATAATTATTTTGTCCACTTATCTTTTTCATTCACCCCTAGTGAAAAGATTGGTCCAAGTTATCTGGTTAGCCATATCAGAAATATAATCTCTAAATCTTTTAAAAGAATGTGGGTTCCATATGCCCTTGTCATGGTCACTTTATTCTGACCAAAGTCAGGGTTGGCGATGAGCTTAAGAGTGTGGCATTCATTAGGTTGAATTAACATTGATTTGAATGAAATTTTTTGTTGTTGTTGTTATTATACTTTAAGTTTTAGGGTACATGTGCACAATGTGCAGGTTAGTTACGTATGGATACATGTGACATGCTGGTGCGCTGCACCCACTAACTCGTCATCTAGCATTAGGTATATCTCCCAGTGCTATCCCTCCCCCCTCCCCCTACCCCACAACAGTCCCCAGAGTGTGATGTTCCCCTTCCTGTGTCCATGTGTTCTCATTGTTCATTTCCCACCTATGAGTGAGAATATGCGGTGTTTGGTTTTTTGTTCTTGCGATAGTTTACTGAGAATGATGATTTCCAATTTCATCCATGTCCCTACAAAGGACATGAACTCATCATTTTTTATGGCTGCATAGTATTCCATGGTGTATATGTGACACATTTTCTTAATCCAGTCTATCATTGTTGGACATTTGGGTTGGTTCCAAGTCTTTGCTATTGTGAATAGTGCCGCAGTAAACATACGTGTGCATATGTCTTTATAGCAGCATGATTTATAGTCCTTTGGGTATATACCCAGTAATGGGATGGCCGGGTCAAATGGTATTTCTAGTTCTAGATCCCTGAGGAATCGCCACACTGACTTCCACAATGGTTGAACTAGTTTACAGTCCCACCAACAGTGTAAAAGTGTTCCTATTTCTCCACATCCTCTCCAGCACCTGTTGTTTCCTGACTTTTTAATGATTGCCATTCTAACTGGTGTGAGATGATAACTCATTGTGGTTTTGATTTGCATTTCTCTGATGGCCATTGATGGTGAGCATTTTTTCATGTGTTTTTTTGGCTGCATCAATGTCTTCTTTTGAGAAGTGTCTGTTCATGTCCTTCGCCCACTTTTTGATGGGGTTGTTTGTTTTTTTCTTGTAAATGTGTTTGAGTTCATTGTAGATTCTGGATATTAGCCCTTTGTCAGATGAGTAGGTTGGGAAAATGTTCTCCCATTTTGTGGGTTGCCTGTTCACTCTGATGGTAGTTTCTTTTGCTGTGCAGAAGCTCTTTAGTTTAATTAGATCCCATTTGTGAATTTTGGCTTTTGTTGCCATTGCTTTTGGTGTTTTAGACATGAAGTCCTTGCACATGCCTATGTCCTGAATGGTAATGCCTAGGTTTTCTTCTAGGGTTTTTATGGTTTTAGGTCTAATGTTTAAGTCTTTAATCCATCTTGAATTGATTTTTGTATAAGGTGTAAGGAAGGGATCCAGTTTCAGCTTTCTCCATATGGCTAGCCAGTTTTCCCAGCACCATTTATTAAGTAGGGAATCCTTTCCCCATTGCTTGTTTTTCTCAGGTTTGTCAAAGATCAGATAGTTGTAGATATGCGGCATTATTTCTGAGGGCTCTGTTCTGTTCCATTGATCTATATCTCTGTTTTGGTACCAGTACCATGCTGTTTTGGTTACTGTAGCCTTGTAATATAGTTTGAAGTCAGGTAGCGTGATGCCTCCAGCTTTGTTCTTTTGGCTTAGGATTGACTTGGCGATGCGGGCTCCTTTTTGGTTCCATATGAACTTTAAAGTAGTTTTTTCCAATTCTGTGAAGAAAGTCATTGGTAGCTTGATGGGGATGGCATTGAATCTATAAATTACCTTGGGCAGTATGGCCATTTTCACGATATTGATTCTTCCTACCCATGAGCATGGAATGTTATTCCATTTGTTTGTATCCTCTTTTATTTCATTGAGCAGTAGTTTGTAGTTCTCCTTGAAGAGGTCCTTCACATCCCTTGTAAGTTGGATTCCTAGGTATTTTATTCTCTTTGAAGCAGTTGTGAATGGGAGTTCACTCATGATTTGGCTCTCTGTTTGTCTGTTGTTGGTGTATAAGAATGCTTGTGATTTTTGTACATTGATTTTGTATCCTGAGACTTTGCTGAAGTTGCTTATCAGCTTAAGGAGATTTTGGGCTGAGACAATGGGGTTTTCTAGATATACAATCATGTCGTCTGCAAACAGGGACAATTTGACTTCCTCTTTTCCTAATTGAATACCCTTTATTTCCTTCTCCTGCCTAATTGCCCTGGCCAGAACTTCCAACACTATGTTGAATAGGAGTGGTGAGAGAGGGCATCCCTGTCTTGTGCCAGTTTTCAAAGGGAATGCTTCCAGTTTTTGCCCATTCAGTGTGATATTGGCTGTGGGTTTGTCATAGATAGCTCTTATTATTTTGAGATACGTCCCATCAATACCTAATTGATTAAGAGTTTTTAGCATGAAGGGTTGTTGAATTTTGTCAAAGGTCTTTTCTGCATCTATTGAGATAATCATGTGGTTTTTGTCTTTGGTTCTGTTTATATGCTGGATTACATTTATTGATTTGCGTATATTGAACCAGCCTTGCATCCCAGGCATGAAGCAAACCGAATCCAGCAGCACATCAAAAAGCTTATCCACCATGATTTGAATGAAATTTAACTTATATCCATTGAGCACAGCAAGTATGAGCTAGGTACATTCACCATACTAAGTGTATGTGTGAGAATATGTTTATTTTCCTTTTAAAAAAACAATTATCCATGTAGCACACTGGCTAAGGGTATGAGTCCAAGAGTCCAATGGCCAGGACCTTCCATCTGTAAACTGTGTTCCAGTTGCTCATCTTCTCTGTGCCTCAGTTTCCTCATTTGTAAAATGATAATAATTATAATAGAATGCCTTGATTGAACTGTTATATAGATTGAGTGATATTATGCAAAAACAGTGTTCTTGACTCAAATTAGTAATTCTTAACAATTATATTTATTATCACCTGTCATTTTCTGGGGACTCTGCCAGGCCCTGCAAATGCAAAGGTGGTAAGAAGAAACTCTGTGGTCTTGTCCATGAGAAGGACAATCATACAACCAGTGCCTGGAAAGGTTGGTGGGTGCTGGAAGGGCAGCAGCAAAGGAGGGGCACCTCTTCTGGGGTCCGTAAGATGACCAGGTTCAGTGGTTCACTAAGACAGCTCATGGACTCAGCCTATAGTTGTACCCATGGCTAAGAGTTACTGCAGTGAAAGGATTCAAAGCAAAATCAGCAAAGGGAAAAGCTACAAGGCGTAAAATCCAGAGGAAACCAGGCACAAGTTTCCAGAATCCTCTCCCCATGGAGTCACACAGGATGCACTTAATTCACATGAGTTGTGGCAGCATGTGTGAAATGTTGTCTACCAGGAAGCTATCTTGAGCTTAGAGTCCAGGGATTCTGTTGGGATCAGTCATACGGGCACATCTCCTTCCTGTCACGTACCAAGAGTCCAGACTCCAGGAAGGAAAGCAGATGTTCAGCTAAGCCACATTGCACCTAATGAGACCCTGTGTTCAGAGTGCCTTGCCAGAAAAGGAGACCTCGAATTGATTTTTGGAACATGTGAGGAGAGTTCCTGGGCAGAGGGGAATGTGGGTGCTCTAGTTGTGTTGGGGCATGGCTTATTCAGGGACTGCCAGCACGTGCTTGGTTGGGGAGGATATGAGATGTGGGTGCAGACCCTAGCGCGACAAAGCCGCTATCTCAGGGAGCTGTGGTCTAGGGGAATGACAGATAAACTGTGGCTTAGATACCCTGGTAGGCTAACCAAACAGCTGGTGGGAGCTCGGGGTCAGAAATGCCCATGTTAGTGGCCCAGGGGAGGCTCCAGAGAAGGGATTATTTTGGAGGGATTTTTCAGGGCGAGGAGTCCATTCTGGGTGTAAAAGTGATTGGAGATGGGGCAAAAGGAGTGGCTTTAAAAAGCTTCTGGGCTGGGCGCGGTGGCCCACACCTGTAATCCCAGCACTTTGGGAGGTCAAGGCAGGCAGATCATTTGAGCTCAGGAGTTCGAGAGCAGCTTGAGCAACACAGCAAAACCTCATCTCCACAAAAAAATATAAAAAATTAGCCAGGCATAGTGGCATACACTCTATAGTCCCAGCTATTTGGGAGGCTGAGGTGAGAGGGTCACCTGAGTCCAGGAAGTCGAGGGTGTGATCACGCCCCTGAACTCCAGCCTGGGCGACAGAGGGAGATCCTGTCTCAAAACAAAACAAAAAGCATCTGCACAATGAAACATGCAATGAGATGCCATTTATGGGTGAATGAACACAAACACCAAAAGCCACCTTTATGAACATGATATGCAGGGAAAGTAGAGACCTGTAAACTGGAGAGAGGGTCACTGCATTCATGGGGATGGCTGTCTGAGGCTGAGAGGGAGGGAAAAGGATTGCAGGGAGCCATAAAGAATTCCAACTTGACCTGTAAAGTTCCATGTTTTTTGTTTTTGTTTGTTTTTATATTTTTTGAGATGGAGTCTCTCTCTGTCACCCAAGTTGGAGTGCAGTGACACAATCTCAGCCCACTGCAACCTGGACCAGCTTCAAGTGATTCTCCTGCCTCAGCCTCCCAAGTAGCTGGGATTACAGACGTGCGCCACCACGCCCGGCTAATTTTTATATTTTTTAGTAGAGACAGGGTTTCACCGTGTTGGCCAGGCTGGTCTCCAACTCCCAACCTCAGGTGATCTACCCACCTCAGCCTCCCAAAGTGCTGGGATTACAAGCGTGAGCCACCATGCGCAGCTATCTGTAAGGTTCCATTTTTTTTTTTTTTTTTTTTTTTTGAGACGGAGTCTCTCTGTCGCCCAGGCTGGAGTGCAGTGGCGCAATCTCGGCTCACAGCAAGCTCCACCTCCCAGGTTCACGCCATTCTCCTGCCTCAGCCTCCCGCTTCCATGTTTTAAATGAAAAAAAAAAAAAAAAAAAAAAAAAAAAAAAGATGTGAGCGGTGGATTCACAGGTGTTTAATATTATTATTATGGTGTGGGTTTGTTTTTCATGATTTTTAGAAAGATATTGGGGTGGGGGAGCGGGGATGAAGGCAACAGAATGATAAGACAAGAGGCAGGACAGCCGGAGCCATCTCTGAGCTGCCTGGAAGCCCTGCTGGGTGATCTTGAGTGTGAGGGGAACAGAGGTCTTCCACGTTATTTGAGGAGGACTCATGATAAGACGTGAAGTTTATGAAAATAACTCACTTAAGCATGGAGGGTGGAAGGGAAGACAAAGAGACCAGTGGGGATTGTGAAAATAATCTAGATGGTGACCCAGGGGAGGCCCTAATGATGGTTTTGAGGAGATGCCAGAGTTAGAGAGCTCACTGTGGGAGGAGAGCAGGTGTGAAGCTTGGCAAGGAGAGCAGATGTGAAGGTTGGCGAGGAGAGCAGGTGTGAAGCTTGGCTGAGTGGGGTTGAGAGGGCTCTAAGGTGACGGGTGCATCCCAAGGCTGTGCGTGTGTGCGTGTGTGTGTGTGTAGGAGTGTGTCTATGTGTGCAAGTATGTATGAGTCTATGTGTGATTCATGTGTGTATGTGTGCACTTGTCTATGCATGGATGTATGTAGGAGTGTGTGCATGGATCAAATGTGAACGAAAGTGTGCATGTGTTCCTGTGTGTGTGCATGTGTGTATATGTGCCTGTGTCTGCATGCATATGTGTATGAGTACATGTGCATGTGTCTGTGTGTACAAGTGTGTGTGCATGTGGGGGAGTTACTTGTCTGTGTGTACAAGTGTGTGTGCATGTGGGGGAGTTACTTGTATGTGTGTCTATGCATGCTTGCATACGTGTGACTTGAGAGTTCCTGTCTGTGGATCTCCTTGTGTCTTGTGGGAGGCTTGTGGAGGAGAGGCAGAGAGCAGCTCAGGCCCCACACAGGGTCCTGCCGTGACCTGTAACCCCATCTGTGGTTCTCCGCTCCAGGAGCTGTACTTCAGCACCGTGGACACTTTCCAGAAGTTCGTGGATGCCCTGTTCCTTCAGACGCTCCCTGGCATGACTGGCCTCCCCCCGGAAGAGTGTGACTACTTGAGGCAGGAAGTCCAGGAGAACGCTGCCTGGCAGCTGGGGAAGTCAAATCGCTTCCGGAGGCAGCAGTGGAAACTCTTCCAGGAGCTCCTAGAGCAAGACCAGCAGGTGCGGGCATTTGGGAACCCAGGGGCTGGGGTCTGCATTTTAGAAACACACGAAGAAGCGTGAGAGATCTCACGTCCTGAACACCCACTAGTGCCTATTGTAGGTGCTCTACGGAGATGACTGTTGCCTCCCTTTCACAATGGCCCACCACAGGGGTGGGATGAGAGAGCAGAGCCCTTATCTCCCTCAACAGGAAGTCGGAGATCATACCTTAAGTTGATCGATTAAGAAGAGCAGCAAAGCTTGTTCTTTAGAACGAGAGAAATAAGTAGCCAACCAAATGGCAGGAAGGAAAGGGGTTCACAGGGAGTGGGCTCAGTGGGGGTGGGAGAAGCGGCACACAGGACTCCTGTTTTTCAGTGAGTCTGATTATTAAGACCATGGATTTATGCTGAGACAGAATCGTGACCCCTCAAAGATATCTATGCTGTGTTCCCTTACAGGGCAAAAGGCAGGTGCGGTTGAGTGAAGGACTTTGAGGTAGGGATGTTTGTGGGTTATCCTGGTGAGCCCAGCGTAATTGCAAGGGTTCTTACAGGAGACAGGCAGAAGGGTGGGAGTCAGAGAAGGAGGGTTGATGTTCTAAGCAGAGGTCGGAATGGTGTGGCTGTGAGTCTAGGAACTCTGGCTGGTTCTAGAAGCTGGAAAGGTCAAGGAGCACATTCTCCCCTATAGCCTCTAGAAAAGAGCACAGCCCTGCTGACACCTTGATTTTAACCCATTAAGACCCATTTCAGCCTTCTGGCCTCAAAACTGTAAGATAGCAGATTTGTGTTGTTTTCAGCTACAGCTTGTAGCAATGTGGAACAGCAGCAATAGGAAACTAATACAATACACATTGATTTTTTTTTTTTTTTTTTTTTTGGAATGGAATCTTGCTCTGTCCAGGCTGGAGTGCAATGGTGCGATCTTGGCTCACTGCAACCTCCGCCTCCCAGGTTCAAGCGATTCTCCTGCCTCAGCCTCCCAAGTAGCTGGGATTACAGGCACGTGCCACCACGCCTGGCTAATTTTTGTATTTTTAGTAGAGAAGGGGTTTCATCATGGTGGCCAAGCTGATCTCAAACTCCTGAACTCAAGTGATCTGCCCGCCTTAGCCTCCCGAAGTGCTGGGATTACAGGCATGAGCCACTGTGCCCAGCCCAGATTGATTTTATCTTTAAAAAATTAAAAACTGTTAAATTAAAGAAGGCATTTCCAAATTCAACATCCACCAAGACAGCCCACCAGTCCTTTCTCCCCTGCCTTCGGCCCTCTAGAGGCTGTGAAACTAACATCCTCAATATCCATATCCCTTGCAACTAGCCATGGCTGAGTGACACTGCTCTGGCCTTTGAAACAAAGCAAAGGGCTTCTGTTTCCTGATACCAGAGCCGGTTTTGCTTGGAGCAGCCCCCTTCTTCAGTGTCCCATTCTTCCTTCTTAGAACGCATGGGAGGCCTGGAGGTGCATCAGCCTTTCTCTGCCCTAGAGGCAGCCTGCGTGAGCCTGGTGGGCTCCAGATGGTGGAGCAGTCTCAGACAGCCCTGAGCCCCTGGCAGTGCTGTTAAGCCATTACCGCAGCCCTGAACCGCCTGCCCCTACATGCTTATTGTCAGAAACAAGCCCTGTTTCTTTAAGTTGGGTTTGCGATTAGTTACAAAAGACCAGTGTGACTGATGCATCCATCTGAAAGAGGTTTCCTAAAACAATTCCTTGGGGCAATAGAAAGTACAAAGTAGATAGAGGAGAGCGTTATGCAAACACATGACCACTCACAGCTGTGGGGACAGGCACAGGGCCTAGTTGCCTGCCCGAATGAATTCTTAGACCTCCTTCTAGTTCATTCAGTCCTCTGTCAGTGGCATCCGGTTGCCCTGTCGTAGGTGACTTGTCTGTCTCCTGCATTTGGCTATGAGTTCCTTGAGGACGGCAACCCTGATTTTCATCTTGACACCACCTATTCAAAGCCCAGTGGCTGCAATATGGTAAATGTTCAGGAAAACTTGTAGCATTTCCAGCAACAATAATGCAGCTTTGGAAATGATTACAGTGTTGCCTTTGCCCTGTATTCTTCGAAGGGATCTAAATGAAGCTGAATTCTTCCTATTCATTCCAAATCCTAGGCCGCAGACCAATTCATTTACAGTCTTTGGGGAGGGAGGAGGACCTGGGCCTCAGTGTCTCAGAAACCAGGTGAGCCTAATGGGCCTCTGAAGTGGACCCACTAAATGAGTGTAGGGGCCTTTTAGAGACCATTGTGGTTTTGCAGCCAGGCCCCTAACCTCAGAAGCCTAAGATATGGGTTTGAGCCAGAGCAGACACATTAATGGGCTGTGTGACTTTAGCCAGTGAGCTGACCTCTTGCAACTCTGTGATTTTACACAACTTGCTAAAAATGCCTCAGAACTACACCTTCTATGTGAAAACTAAGGGTCACAATATCCAAATGATTCCATTCAGATAATGCAAGTTAAGACCTTTTGCACAATATCTGTTGAATCATTTAATGGTATTGATAGTGAAGGAATCCAGAATTTCATTTCTGACAAAACACCTGTGATTCATCTAAAACTCTCTGGTTAGGAGTCTTAAGTTATTTTAGGCAAATAGACTATGCTCAGCTCTGTTTTGAATGTTTTATTTGTTTACTTTGTGAGCATACGATTGTGAATTTTTCTTGGCATGTGGGGAAGGTTTCTGGTTGAGTTTTGCATGCAGGAAGCAAGCAGGAGAGTTAATGACCTCATCAGCTGATTACATAAGTATGACCCAAGACTGTTTTCTCAAGGTGTCTATGTCACAGTTAATTTACTGATTACTTAACTGCCTTAAATTAACACATGATAGCCGGGTGCGGTGGCTCACGCCTATAATCCCAGCACTTTGGGAGGCCAAGACGGGCGGATCATGAGGTCAGGAGATCGAGACCATCCTGGCTAACATGGTGAAACCCCGTCTCTACTAAAAATACAAAAATTAGCCAAGTGTGATGACAGGTGCCTGTAGTCCCAGCTACTCGGGAGGCTGAGGCAGGAGAATGGCGTGAACCCGGGAGGCAGAGCTTGCAGTGAGCCGAGATCACGCCACTGAACTCCAGCCTGGGTGACAGAGCGAGACTCCGTCTCAAAAAAAAAAAAAAAAAAATTAACACACGATAGTTAGAGATCCACCTGCCATATTTCCTCATTGATGAAAAAAAGAGAAATGAGCTCTCTGTCATTCAGATGAATATTAGTCATGAGAAGAAAAGCACCAGCGAAGCTATTCATGGAAAATCAAAAACACATCGACTACAAATTGCCTTTCCCACATTGTTTTCTATCCAAAAAGACAGTGGGTCGTTTCATATCCCATTGCTCAGGGAAGTTATTAAAAATTAATGGAATTTGTGAATTACCCCGTTAGAACAGGTTGTAGAATGGTGTTTCTCAAAATTTAATCTGCTCTAATGCAGATTTCTGCTCTCAGTCCCCTTGCGGTAGGCAGCTATAATGGCCCCCCAGAGAGGCCCACATCCTAATCCCTAAAACCCGTGAATATGTCTGGTTACAAGGCAAAAAGGACTTTGCAAATCTTTGCGAATGTGATTAAGCAAAGGATCGTGAGATGGGGATATTCTCCCGATGATCTGGCTTGGCCCCATGTTATCACAAGGGTCCTTATAAGTGAAAAAGGAGCAGCAGTGCCAGAGTGAGGAGTGAGGAAGACTCTGCAGCCATTGCTGGACTTGAAGACGGAGGAAGGGGCTGTGAGCCCGGGAATGCAAGTGCCCTCTAGGAACTGGAAAGGGCAAGAAAATGGATTCTGCCCCAGACCCTCGGGGAGGAGTGCAGACCTGCCAACCCTCATTTCAGGCTTCCGATCTCCAGAAGCGTAAGGTAATAAGTGTTGTTTTAAGCCAACAAATTTGTAATAAAGTGTTATAGCAGCCACAGGAAACTAACACACCAGTGAGTAGGAGTGGGGCAGGGAATGTGGCAGTTGGTGCACTCCTTAGCATAACAGTAAAGAACACCAGTGCTAGAGGCAGTCTGTCTGAGTTTGAATCCTGGCTCCCCACCTCACTCTCCTCTCCCTCTGGCTCTGCACCCCACTCCGGGTGGTTTTCATCATTTCATCACCAAGTCTGCTCTCCTCTGTGCCGAGCTTTCAGGCCTCCTCTTACTGGACAAGGTGGTGTTTGGCCAAGTTGGTCTCTTTCCTCCTCCTTGAAACACCCGCTTGACTCTCTTGCTTCTCCTCCCAGCTCACTTCTTTCTCCTTCTCAGTCTCCTTTGCTGGCCCCTTCCCAGCTCCTTAATTTCTGAACACTGGAGAGCCCTGGGGTGCAGTCTCCAGTCCTCTTCTTTATCTACATGCACTGTCTCAGTGATCCCATCCAGTCACACACCACCTGTATTAGTTTTCTAATGCTGTGTAACAAGTAACCCCCAAACTAGAAGCTTAAAACAACATGCACTTATTGTCTCACAATTTCTGTGGGTCAGGGGTCCAGGCACAGTTTAACTGGGCCCTTTGTTCAGGGCCTCTCACAAGGCCACATCCAATCCCTGGGCTGGGGCTGGAGTCTCATCAGAAGGCTTCACTGGAGAAGAGTCACTTCTGTGCTCACTCACATGGCTCCCCCTCTCAGGTTTCAGTTCCTCAAGGGTCGTTGGACTGAGAGCCAACAGCTTCCAAATTTACATGCTCAGCTCAGGATCATTCCTGAACTCAGATCTACATGAAGTCTCCATTTAGATGATTGATAGACATGAGAAATGGGTGTGTCAAAAACAGCCGTTGCTCTTCCTGCCAACCTGCCTTACCCACAGCCTTCCTCCATTTTTCTACTAAATTAGGGCAAAAACCTTGGGGTCATCCTCGACTCCTCTTTCTTTCACACCCTACATCGGTGGACAAGAAATCCCATTGATTTTGCCTTCCGTCTAATCCTGAATGTAACCACTATTCAGCACCTCCCCTCTTAGCACCCTGGTCAAAACCACTCTTGTCTGGGTTACTGCAACAGCTGACCAACTGCTTTACCTCCATTCTCAACCCCCACCCAGAGTGATACGTTTAAGACACGCTTGTCCAACCCACAGGCTGCATGCAGCCCAACACAAATTCATAAACTTTCTTAAAACATCATGAGATTTTTTCACGTTTGTTTTAGCTCCTGAGCTGTCATTCGTGTTAGTGCATTCTGTGTGTGGCCCAAGTCAGTTCTTCCAGTGTGGCCCGGGGAAGTCAAAAGATTGGACGTCCCTGTTTTAAGACATCCTGTATGCCACTAATTTTTAGGATACATATTTAAAAATATTTTAACATCCCTGAAATCAAGATACACTTTAATTGGCAGTGACTTTTCTCTGTTAGTGATACTGGAAATAATTGGGCATCTTACAGTCGTCAGCACAATAGATTTGATAGGGAACACTAAGTCACATCGTGTTGCTTCTCTGCAGAACCCCCAATGGCTTCTCATTTCACACAGCATGAAAGTCAGAGTCCTCGCCACACTCTGCAAAGCCCACCATGTCAGGCCCTGGCTGCCCTCTGACCGCAACTGCATGCTGCCCCCAGCCCCAGTGGTTCCTTGCACTCCTCTGGCTTTCTGGGCACGTTCCTGCCTTACTCTGTCCTGCTCCTGGTCTTTGCTCCATGTCACCTTCACAGCAAGGCCTACTCTGACCATGCTGTTTAAAACTGCAATGCCCCCCTCACCCCCAGCACTCCAGTGTTTGCCTCGGGAGTTGATTGTAGAGTCCACCCCACCTAAAAACCCTCCCTGTTTCTAGGAGGACACTAACAAACTTTCAGCACATGCTAGGCATCAATCAATAGATCTTTCCCTTTCTCCCCATAATACATGAGAGTTTGAAACAAAGAGTAAAACTTACTTGAGGCCACAAAATGACCTGGTAGCAATGACCAGCACTCTAGCCCGAGGAAGCACCTCTTCTGAATGTAAGCATTTACAAGCCTGCATTTGATAATGCTGAAGAGGTTTATGTAACAGCTGCAGGCACCATCTGGTCCAGAGATCTTGACCTTATCGATCATCATCGAATCCTGTTGCTAGTTTAAGCTGCATTCTCAAAACACGCAGCAAAGACCCCTATATACTTTAGTGGCAATGCAGACTCACCTTTCAAAGAATCAAGACTGGCCAAGCATGGTGGATCACGCCTGTAATCCCAGCACCTTGGGAGGCCAAGGCAGGTAGATCACCTGAGATCAAGAGTTCGAGACCAGCCTGGCCTACATAGCGAAACCCCATCTCTACTAAAAATACAAAAATGAGTCGGGCATGGTGACATGCACCAGTAATCCCAGCTACTTGGGAGACTGAGGCAGGAGAATCCCTTGAACTCGGGAAGCGGAGGTTGCAGCGAGCTGAGATCATAGCACCTCACTCCAGCCTGGGTGACAGAGTGAGACTCCATCTCAAAAAAAAAAAAAAAGACAACGATGACTGTGCAGAATTTTCTAGAATATTCTGGTTTCCCTAGCACTCCAATAGATTATTGTAAACTCCTTACAAGAGGAATCAGAGATGGGAGTTAATGAAATGTTCCAGATAGCACAGTGTAGTTTTGTGAGAGTTAAGTGCAAGTGTTATGAATCACAGCATCCACCAGAACTGAAGTCTAGGCTGCAAGTGCTTCTGTCCAGGCCTCTGTGTTTAATCTGCATTCCAAATGCAGCGTGCGCCATCTCCAGGATGCCAGAGGTACAGCCTTTTACAAAGCCATGGAAAAGGGACTGACTCTCACCTTAAGGATGGAGTCCTTGGTTGTAGCATGGTCTTGCTGACTTAGGTGCATCTGGTGATGTGAGATCGTCAGGGAGGAGCATGGTGGATTTAGAAAATATTGGAGCTTTGGAGACAGAAAGATGCAGATTTCAGTTCCTGCCCCACTGTTTATTAGCTGTGTGACCTTGGACCTCATTAGAATGGGCTTTGTAATGTGTGTTCTTTTAAAAACAGAGGAGATTAATAGCCCTAAAAACAAGACACTGTGAAACAAAACAAGACACTGAAAAAATATACTTTATGAATGAAAATTATAGTAATGAGGCTGGGAGTGGTAGCTCATGCCTGTAATCTCAGCACTTTGGGAGGCCGAGGCAGATGGATCACTTGAGGTCAGGAGTTCAAGACCAGCCTGTCCAACATGGTGAAACCCTGTCTCTACTAAAAATACAAAACATTAACTGGGCGTGGTGGCGGGTGCCTGTAATCCCAGCTACTCCAGAGGCTGAGGCAGGAGAATCGCTTGAACCCGGGAGGTGAAGCTTGCAGTGAGCCGAGATCTCACAGGAGATCACTTAGCCTGGGCAACAGAGCAAGACTCCATCTCAAAAAGAAAAAAAGAAAATTATAGTAATGAAAACAGAAATCTAATTGGATTAGTTAATGGAATAGCAGATTAAATTGTGGCTAAAGAAACAATGTGCGAACTAGAAGATAAATGTGAGAAGGTGGTCCTGGAACACAGCTCAGAGATCTAAAGAGATGGAAAATATAGAAGAAGAGACATGGAGAATAGGATGACAAAATCCTATAGGAGTAGAAGGTATCTAATTCTGAAGAAATAAAATAGACAATTTTCAAAACAGTAAGTGAGAACAGAGGGAGTGAGAGGGAAATAAGAAATAATATTGGGCAAAGGAACATTGATGATTCAAACAATGAACTGAAGAGTTTAGAAAGGAGCGCTTTAGATGAAGAGTTTAGAAAACAGCGCAGAACCAAAATAATGAAGAGCAGTATCCAGGAAGGCAGAGAGAACACTGGAATCTTATTTCTCCTTCTAGTCTGGAGGAGGGCAGAAGTATGAACTTTATATTTACAAATTAAATATACAACTTAAAAACTGAAGAGTAATCACCTGGGAGAGAAAAGAATAGCCCCTCCCATCCAGGAGCCAGCTTGTTACTCACAGCTGGGCCTGGGTGTTCTCCTATTGAACAACCAACCACCGAGCATCCACATGATGAGGCCCCTCTGTTACATGAAAGATGGAGCCAAAAATGAGACCACCCTGCCACCATACCTGAACACAGACCCAACGTGAACACTGTCCAACTCCCCACCCCTGAAATGCCCAGACACCCCGCCCTGGCTGAGCCAAGCCTGGCTTCATTAAGCCCTCCCCAGCCCACACCTGGGCCTTTCTAACCCCTCTACACATTCTCCCTTGCTGCATCAAGTGATAACCCAATCTGTTCAGCCTTAGGGGAGCTCTGATGGCCTGTGCAGTGCATTGACAGAGTAAAATAACTAAGCAGAATATGTGACTTCCAAGGTAGAGAAAAAAGTATTCCAAAATGCAGGTTAGACACCTAAAAAATGATGAATCCAATAAAAGAGAAAAACATTGGGAAGAATGCACATTTCATAATATCTAGAAAAGACAAGATTAGATGGTGGGAAATAAGTCCAAGCATCCCATTAGTCACAATAAATACTAGCAGATCCATTCAGATTGCTAAAAAACACATTTCCTAATCTAGCTATGTGGCATTACAGGAGACACAGCTAGATCATCAAAAGTTAGAAAGTCAAGTTAAGGAAAACAATATCCCAGGCAAATATCCACCAAAAGAGAGTGCATGATACTAAGATCTGATGAATTATACTTTAGGCAGAAAACTTTTTTTAGGGATAAAGAGAGTCATTGCATAGTGTAAGAGGAACATACAACAATTTAGCCACAAAACACATGAAGCAAAATTGGACAGACTTGAAAGACAAACAAATTGAAACCATGATGGAAGACTTTAATACCCCACCTCACAGAAAATAACAGACCGATCAGACCGTAAGTCAGGCCGTGAAAAGATCTGTTCTGAACAACACAGTCAGTTAGGATGAGCAGACGCTCCTACATCGAATTTTATGCACCATATTTATGGATAATATGAATGTCTCTATTGAAAAGCCAAAAGGATCTACAAACTGTCACAACTATGAAGATTGCTCTGAAATGTCACCATATACGAAATCAGTATCCCAAACCAGTAGATTTCCTCCATACCAGCAACACCCAGTGACAAAGAAAGATCATCTTCAGAATAAAAGCCACAAGGTACCTAAAAATAAGTTGACCAATGTGTATAAGGGCTTAAGGGAGACGTTTATAGAATGTCATTGAAGGCATGAAGAAAAATGAGAGAAATGGCATGTTTTGGGGTGGAAAACTCAGTTTTCCAAAGATGGCGATTCTCTCCAAATTGATCTGTAAAATCAACCCAATTATGAGAAAATTCCAAAGAGTCTTTTTTCCCCTAAACTTGACCAGCTGATCCTAAAAGTCATATGAAAGGAAAAGCAACCAAGAATAGCTCAGGCAGCTTTGAACAAGAGGATAAGGCAGGACCTACCCTCGCTGCATTGATATTTAATTGCTACATTAGTAAGCATGGTATTGGTGCGGAAATAAACACACCAATAGAACAAAGTACAGAAGCTGGGACAAGATGTGTGTGTATATGTTAATTATACAAGACAAAGTGGCGTTAGAGGAAAGCCAGAAAAAAAATAAATTATTTAATAAACACTGTTGGGACAATTAGTTATCCATTTATCCAGAGAAAATTAGATCCCTTCCTTACTCCACAGAAAATAAATTTTAGATACTTCAATTTAGAATATTTAAAATTTTCGTATTTGCATTTTTCCTAAATGCAAATAGGAAAGATTTTAAGGTTTTAGAAGAAAATACAAGAGAAAATGTTAATGAAATCGGGGCAGAAAGGGATTTAAAAAAGAAACGCACACAAACAAGAAACAAAATGCACAATCCTAGCAAGCAGGATTGTTGAAGTGAGTAACCACATGCCTGCTCTGTCCCTCTGTCCCGAGTTCAGGTGTGGATGGAGGAGTGTGCGCTGTCCAGCGTGCTGCAGACACACCTGCGGGAGGACCACGAGGGCACCATCCGCGGCGTCTTGGGCCGACTGGGCGGCCTCACTGAAGAGTGAGTACAGCTCCCTGAAGGCCCAGGGCTTTGTGTCCTGCATGATGCTCCCTCCAGCCTCAGTGTCCTCATCTGTACAGTGGGCACGCTGACTGCCCCTCAGCTTCCTTTGAATGTAAATGACTTAACGTTTCTTAGCCTCGATTTCCTCATCTATAAAATGGGATAATGCTATCTATTTGATAGAGTTGTCTGTCATAGGAACTTTTTTAAACAGCTTTTTTCAGGTATAGTTTACATACATTTATTTTACGAGTACAATTCAGTGATTGTTAGTAAATTTTACAGAGTTCTACCCCATCACCACAATCCAAATTTAGAACATTTCTATCACCCCAAAAATTGCTACAACGCAATTGTAAAAGATTTCTTGTGCCCAATTGCAGCCACTCCCCAATTTATTATCAGTTTTTATATTCATTTTTCACATTTTTGCTATAACAATTAGTGCAATATGGTCTTTCCAATTTGCTGGAAAGTATTTTTTTCCTTCTTTCATTATGAGAAAAATATATATATATTTATATATATATTTATATGTATTTATATATTTATATATATTTATATATATTTTTATATATTTATATTTTTATATATTTATATATATTTATATATATTTATATACTTATATATATATTTATGTATTTATATTTATATACATATATATATATTTTTTATATATATATATATTTTTTTTCTTTTTTCTCGAGACAGACTCTCGCTCTGTCGCCCAGGCTAGTGTCCAGTGGTGCAATCTTGGCTCACTGCAACTTCCCTCTGCCTCCCGGGTTCAAGTGATTCTCCAGCTTCAGCCTCCCGAGTAGCTGGGATTACAGGTGCCCACCATCATGCCTGGCTAATTTTTGTATTTTTTGTAGAGATGGGGTTTCACCATGTTGGCCAGGCTGGTCTCAAACTCCTAACCTCAAATGATCTACCCACCTCAGCCTTCCAAAGTGCTAGGATTACAGGCGTGAGCCACCATGCCCAGTCGAGAAAAAAATTTTTGATATAGCTATTTTTTAGTTTTATTTTTCAACTTTTATTTTAGATTCAGAGGGCACATGTGCAGGTTTGTTACAAAGGTATATTGCGTGATGCTGAGGATTGGGGTACAGCTCCCATCACCCAGGTAGTGGACGCAGCACCCCATAGGTAGTTTTTTAACACTTGGCCCCCTCTTGTAGACCCCAGGGTCTATTGTTCCCATCCTTATATCTATAGGTGCCCAATGTTTAGCTCCCACCTATAAGTGAGAACATGCAGTATTTGGTTTTCTGTGTCTACATTAATTTCCTTACGATAATGGCTTCCAGCTGCATCCATGTTACTGCAAATAACATGATTTCATTATTTTTTATGACTGCATAGTATTCCATGGTGTATATATACCATTTCTTTATCCAATCCACCATTGATGAACACCTAGGTTGATTCAGTGTCTTTGCTATCATGAATAGCACTGCAATGAACATATAAGTACATGTGTCTTTTTGGTAGAATTTATTTTCAATTTATTTTCTTTCAGGTATCAATATAACTATTTTTTAGTTGCCCAGCCCTTTGCAGAAAACAAATTGTGCATACCATCAAGAAGCAGGTGTCTAGCTATGGAATTGGATAATACAAGGGAAACATCAGAAGAGGATGGAGGCTGGGTGTGGTGGCTTACATCTGTAATCCCAGCACTTTGGGAGGCTGAGGTGGGCAGATCGCCTGAGCTCAGGAGTTCAAGACCACCCTAGGCAGCATGGTGAAACCCTGTCTCTACTAAAATACAAAAAATTAGCTGGGCGTGGTGGCAGGTGCCTGTAATCCCAGCTACTTGGGAGACTGAGGCACAAGAATTGCTTGAGCCCCAGAGGCGGAGGTTGCAGTGAGCTGAGATCGCACCATTGCACTCCAGCCTGGGCTACAGAGTGAGACTCCATCTCAAAAACAAATAAACAAACAAAGAAGAGGATGGAAACATAAGTAGGCTCGGACCAGGGACACCTGGTGAGCCATACTGAGGACAACAGAGAGCGATTGGGGAATTTGTCTCGCCTGAAAACCTGTGTCTTTTAATTGCATTAATGTTTAGTCCATTTATGTTTAATGTAAATCCTCATGCTGATATATATTTGGGTTTTCATATCAGTTTATGAAAATTCTCAGATGTTTTCCCTTTAGATCTTCCCCTGCCTATTCTCTCCCTCCTCTCTTTCTGGGACTCCAGTGACAGGATTTCTGAGGCTTTTCCACTTTATCCCATATGTCTCTTACATGCTCCTCTGTATTTTTCATTCTTTTCTTCTCCGTGGTTCAGCATGGATATTTTCCTTTGAGGTATCTTCCAGCCACTCTCTCTTCAGCCATATTTTATCAGGTGCTAAACCCATCTCCTGAGTTGTTCATGTCAGTTATTGTGTTTTCAGTTCTAGGATGTCCATTTGATTCCTTGTATAGTTTCCAGTTATCTGCTGAAATTCTTCGTCTTATCATTTAATTTCTGGAACATATTAATCATAATTAGTGTAAAGGTTGTGTCTGACGATTCTGTTTTCTGATATCTCGTGGGCATGTTTCTATTGTCTGTTTTTCTCTTTATTTTTAGTTAATTCTCGTCTGGGTATTTTTATTGGATGATGACCACTAAGCATGAGAAATTGTAGATAATTTAAGACTTCAAATGATATGATCTTCTTCCAGAGAGGATTTATGTTACTTCTAGAAGGAATTTCGGATGGTGGGAGATTCACTCCACCCATGTTGGAATTTAGCTGATTCTGAATTAGGTCTTAGTGGGGAATGACTTTTATTCCTAGGATGAAGGCACCCACCAAAAAGCCTGGAGCGTTTGCCAGCCTCTTCTTGGCAGCTGACTGTCAGACCTCTGTTCACCTCTCAGCCTCTCAGCAGACACCTCAAGTTATACAACCAAATGTTGAACCTCTCTGGCAGGCTGAGTTTTTTTACATGAATCACTGAAATAGGAACTCAAAAATGGCTCAAGATTTCAGCTTTGGATGTGCTGATTTAGAGTCATGCCATTAATTCTAGTGGCTGCATACCATAGGCTGCTGTACACATGCATTGGACAGCCAGGCAGGATGTGATGAGGTTAAAAAGATTAATAGACAAGCAGATGGCGGCGTGGTGCCCAGGGAGCACCCATGCCTAAGAGGATGGCAGCAGAGGGCGGTGATTCCAACCTGCTTCCTTTTGGAGGGGCCTCTTGTGGGCTGTGGCTGTTTGGGGAGCTTGTCACTGGCTTCGTGAAGCCAAGAGCATTGACCCCACCCCTCACCTGCTTTCCTCAAAGGTCCACGCGGTGTGTCCTGCAGGGGCATGACCTGCTGTTGCGCTCAGCCCTCCGGAGGCTGGCACTCCGCGGCAACGCCCTGGCCACCCTGACGCAGATGCGGCTATCGGGGAAGAAGCACCTCCTGCAGGAGCTGCGGGAACAGCGTGCACTGGAGCAGGGGTCCTCCCAGTGCCTGGACGAGCATCAGTGGCAGCTGCTCAGGGCCCTGGTAAGACCAGCATGGTGGCCCCACCCATTCCAGACAGGCGGTGCCCCTGCAGCAGGCCCCAGCTTCCAGCAGGTTTGCCAGAACCCGAATCCTATCACCCTTGGTGCTGCAGGGTGCGGTATTCATTCGCCGGGGCTGCCATAGCAAGGTCCCACAGACCGGGCAGCTTACACTGCACACATTTCCCTGCTCACCATCCTGGAGGCCAGAATTCGGAGATCAGGGTGTGGGCAGGGCCGCTTTGATTCTGAGACCGCACTCCCTGGCTTGTAGATGACTGTCTTCAACCTGTGTCCTCCAGGTCCTTCCTCTGTGGGTGTCCCATCTCTTATAAGGACACCAGGCATATTGGATCAAGGCCCACGTTAATGACCTCACTTGACCTTAATCACCTCCTCAAAGGCACTATCCACTTACTGACCTCCCATTTTGAAGTACTTGGGGTCAGGGCTTCAACATACAAATTTTGAGAGGACACAATTTAACCATAACAAGTGGAGACAGTGGAGCCCCCGTAGGGGCCACCCATGTACCAAAAGTTTTTAGTATCACTGATATAATGAGAAATATATACTGGAAAAACCATACGGAATCAGAGGGGGACAGGTGCAGTTGTCATTGGGGGTATGGTAGAGAAGGCCTCTGTGGTCTCTTTGAAGTGTGATAACAGATCGAAAGAAATAATTAGTAAGTTGTAGAGCTGGGAGTTACACCCAGGTAGGCTGGCTCCAGGCCTCCTGCATGTAGCCACCAAGCTCTGGGAGCAGCTGCTGCTCTTTGACCCATGAATGAGGCACAAGCCCACAGTCTCTTAAGCTCTATCCAGGAGAGCTCCGAGGAGCAGGCAGGACTCACGGACCTCGCTACAGCCCCGCTCACTTCTTTCTCTCTTATTTCTACAAATAAAGGCAGTCCTCAGAGCCCTGTGTGCCCTGCCTCAGCTTCTGTGATATCCTGAGACTCACATCTGGCTTCAAACCTGGCTCTGCTGTGTGACTTTAGAAAGTTACTTAACTTCTCTGAGCCTTCGTGTCCTCCTCAGTGCTAGTGTTCAGGTCTCATGATGTTCTAGAAGGATGAGCAAGGCCCCCCATCTTGTGAGGGGCCATAGATGGTACTGGGCACGCAGTTGATGCTCAATAAATGCCCTTTTTCTGGGGACACAGACACCTAACAGACACCTAACCTCATCCATTGATTTTTGCAAGCCCAGAGGCCACCTCTTTCTGCCCTTTCTCCATCCCTTTTCCAACCCCTGGGCCCTGGATAGGACCAGCCCCACATCCCAGTCCTGGCCAGAGCTTCTCTGTGAGAGGAGCACTTGGCCCCTGCTCCCAGTCCTTTCCCTCCCAGGAGGCGCGTGTGCTGGAGGAGGCCAGCCGGCTAGAGGAGGAAGCACAGCAGACACGGCTGCAGCTCCAGCAGCGGCTCCTGGCCGAGGCCCAGGAGGTGGGGCAGCTTCTGCAGCAGCACATGGAGTGCGCCATTGGGCAGGCGCTGCTGGTGCATGCACGGAATGCAGCCACCAAGAGCCGGGCCAAGGACAGGGATGACTTCAAGGTATGCACTGACCTCTGTCCCTGGGGACACCGAGGGCAAGAATGTTCAGGGTAGGGTCCATGCCTGGGTCTGCTCCTTGCCACACCGTTCATGGAGCTTGTGGCCTAGTAGACTTTGCCTGACTTCTCCATGACTTGATTTTCTCATCTGTAAGGTGGGATCTTCTCCCTCGCAGAATGGGGAGGGGCAGTCGCAGCAGATCACCGGTTCTCCCCCTGCTGTTAGGCCCTGCGCTGCATCATCCTGAGCACTGGCTCTGTCTTCCCAGCAGCACTGAGTGAGACATGGTGTCACCCAGAGCCACACAGCTGGTCAGTGGCAGAACCGGGATCGGAACCCAAATCCCTCTCTCAGAAAGAGAGACGTGTGCTTTCCCTGCCCCTGGCCGCCTCTGCTGAGACATTAGAGCTTTCTGGAGTTCATCCTGACGGCTGAGCAATGCCGCTAAAAATCAGTTCAGCTTGAGTAGACAGTGGTTTAACTCCTTATACTGACAATAATCATAAATAATAGTGATAAAAATGATAACAGTGAGAAGTCACATTAGCGTTGCACTTAAGTCTAACTAAGTGCTTCTTCCTACCTCGTCTTGTTGGATTTTCCCCACAGTCCTTGCATGGTCAGGATCATTTTTCTTCCCGTTGGGAAAAAGAGGCCTACGATTGGGCAAATGATACATTTCCAGCCTCCAACCTAGTGAGTGGCAGCGCCGGGGCTGCAGGAGAATGACCAGCATACACGCTGCGCCTGCCTGGTGCCTCCCTTACAAGCTGTAAGGAGAGGTAGGGCACCCCTTACAGCACCTCGCTCGCTTCAGGCCACTGTAGGCAGGATGTCTGTGGCTGGGAGACAGCAGCAGGTTACAGCCCTGTGCCCAGCAGGCAGCCCTGGCATCGGGAAGTGCAGGAGCCCTTCCAGGAGCCCTCCAAGGGGTTCCTTTCATCTCAGTAAAACGAGTCACTTTGCGTGTCTGTGCAGCAAAGAGGCTGGACCCACATTTCTGCAACACCCTGTCTTATTCTAAATATCTCACATCTGCCTCAGATTATCCAAACAATTAGGGCTGTGCCTGGCTGGTGATATTGGGAATGTCACCCTGTCCCTAGAACTGTCCACATGTTACCTAACAGTAAATGCTCGCTGCATGAAAATGGAGTAAGATAGAAGGGTGTCGTATTTTGTCCTCAGCTTTCCAGAGGGATTTTGAGTCAAGATTGGAAAATGAGTACCACCACAACTTCACAATTACAAAAAAGTAAAAGTAAAGTGAGGCCGAGCGCAGTGGCTCACGCCTGTAATCCCAGCACTTTGGGAGGCCAAGGCGGGTGGATCACTTGAGGTCAGGAGTTTGAGACCAGCCTGGCCAACACAGTGAAACCCCGTCTCTACTAAAAATACAAAAATTAGCTAGGTGTAGTGGTGTGCGCCTGTAATCCCAGCTACTCGGGAGGCTGAGGCAGCAGACTCACTTGAATCTGGGAGGCGGAGGTTGCAGTGAGCCAAGATCACACCACTGCACTCCAGCCTGGGTGACATAGCTAGACTCTGTCTAAAAAACAAACAAACAAACAAAAAACAGAAAAGCATTGAGTTTAGTTTCTAGAAGAATGGTCATTTATTCAACCTGTATTCAGGGGCTTCCTGGAACACTAGTGCAAATGTGTGTGCCAGTGGGTACGGGGAGACTGGCCAGAAAAAAACTGAGGAGGAGGAGAGAAGGGGTGGCCAAGGATGGAGGGCCTGGTGAAGGGAGGAGAGGTGGGTGCAGAGTGGGGTGTCCGCCACTTTACTGTGGCAGGAAGGCAGGTGCACATAGGATGTGAAGATGTGGGTGGGCTTGCTGACCTTCGGGGAAAGAGGATGGGAGCTCCCGACAGGAAGTGTAAGGCTGGAGCCCAGGTCCTTGGAGGGGTGGAGTGGGAGCCCCCTTTGCAGATGGGGCAGAGGAGAAGGAAAGGACCATTGGCAGTAAGGGATGAGCAGGGGCTCGGGAGTTAGAAGACCAGCTCAGACCTGCACTGCCACTCCGGGCTGTACAGGCTAGTCACCTCCGCAGCCTCCGCGCCGCGCCACACCTGTGTGCTCAGGTACCTTTCTCAGATGCTGTGGTGAGAGTAAGTGGGTATTTTTTCTTACCCAAAGCCTAGCACCATCCAATAAATATTTGCCGAAATGGGGATGAGCTTTTCTGGCTTTTGCCCATCCTCTTATGAGGAAAAGAATGATAACTTTGTCAGTGCACAACCAGCACATCCCCAATGATGGGATGTCTCAGGGTCTCCTGTCTTTTCTACTTTGGTCTGAAGATGCATCATGTAGAAACGCATGTAGCTGCAAGTAACATGGCTCAAAGAAATAGAAGTTACCCCATACCACAAGAAATGGGGAGGTGCGTGACCCAGGCTGCCACATTGGCTTTGTGATGTGACCGAGGACGAGGGTCTTTGTTTCTGACCCTGCATTCTTGCTGTTAATTTGTTGCTTCATAGTCTTAAAATGGCCACTGTCACTCCAGATGTCAGGCCTGCATTCCAGGTAGGAGGAGGGAACAGCAGTCTTTCACCTGCTGGTCCTCCACCTTAATGTTTAGAAACGGAAGGCCTCGGCCGGGCGTGGTGGCTCATGCCTGTACTCCAAGTACTTTGGGAGGCCGAGGTGGGCAGATCACCTGAGGTCAGGAGTTTGAGACCAGCCTGGCCAACATGGCAAAACCCCATCTCTACTAAAAATACAAAAAATTAGCCAGGCCTGGTGGTGCTTGCCTATAATCCCAGATACTTGGGAGACTGAGGCAGGAAAATCACTTGAACCTGGGAGATGGAGGTTGCAGTGGGCCGAGATTGTGCTCCAGCCTAGGCAACAGAGTGAGTCTCCATCTCAAAAAAAAAAAAAAAAAAAAAGATGCGGGGAAGGCCTCTTAGCCGACTTTCCCTAACATCGCATTTCATTGGCTCTAGACATCCCTGACCTAAGAAGATAGGATTCCCATGACTAGTTTAAACCAGCCATGCACTCTCTGCCTGCTTCCTGACCAATCCAGGTTGGTGAGTAGGTGGAAGATCTGAACCAGGGCATGGGGAGGCAGGGACTGGATGGGCCGTGGGTGGCTCCCACGTGTGACTTCTCTGCTGTCCCTGTCCTTCCTTTCTTCCCTCAGAGGACACTGATGGAGGCGGCAGTGGAGAGCGTCTACGTGACCAGCGCTGGTGTCAGCCGCCTGGTGCAGGCGTATTACCAGCAAATCGGAAGGATCATGGAGGACCACGAGGAGAGAAAACTGCAGCACCTGAAGACCCTGCAGGGTACGGGACCCCCCCTCAGGGAAGCCCCAGAAGAGACTGGCAATGTGTGCTTTTAGTTTGGGGCAGAATAGGATGTCAGATACTGTGAATTTTATTTTTGGGAATATAATTATTTCAGTGTTTTAATGTATTTATCCCGTGCTTTGTCTCAAAAAGCCTTTTTCAAAAGGCACTTAAAGAAACATATGCATAAGCACACATCCAGTGCAGTGGGAGTGTTTTAAGTCGGTCACTCAGGACAAGGATAGGATACTGAGATGGAGTCAGGGCCAGGGCTTATCTAGGGCAGCAGTCCCCAGCCTTTTCAGCACCAGGGACTGGTTTCATGGAAGACTATTTTTCCACAGACCAGGGTGAGAGGGAAATGGTTTCAGACGATTCAAGTGCATTATATCTATTGTGCATTTCATTTCTATTATTATTACATTGGAATATACAGTGAAATAATTATACAACTCACCATAATGTAGAATCAGTGGGAGCCCTGAGCTTGTTTACCTGCAGCTAGACAATCACATCTGGGGGTTATGGGAGAGCGGCACATCATCAGGCATTAGATAAGGAATGCACAACCTAGATCCCTCGCATGTGCAGTTTGAAATAGGGTTCACGCTCCTATGAGACTCTGATGCCACTGCTGATGTGACAGGAGGTGGAGCTCGGGCGGTAATGTGAGCGATGGGGAGCGGCTGTAAATACAGATGAAGCTTCGCTCACTCATCTGCCGCTCACGTCTTGCTGTGTGGCTGGGTTTCTAACAGGCCAGGGACCAGTACTAGTCTGTGGCCCAGGGGTTGGGGATCCCTGATCTAGGATATCTGCCTGCAAATCCTAATTAGACGTTCAATGATTTCGTCTGTGAGCTTCCTGGTGGTGAAAGAGACAGACACCTACTTAGTTAAAGCCACCGCAGTGACCATGAGTCCAGTGGTCCAGGGGGTGTTTGAGACCCCAAGAATTTTCCCGCATGGGCTCTTGTAAAAGGCCACCCTGGGGTGATAGAAAGGACAGTATCCCCAGTTCCAGTAACATACAGATAAGGATGGTTGGAAGCCAATTTCTTAAATGCCACTTCTTACAACACCCTCCCCTGAATCCAGAACTTCTGAGTAGGTGGGATTCCACTTCTCTGATGGGCTTTGCCTGGCATGTCCAAGGACTGGAATTGGAATCTATCCCAGGAGAGTCTTCCCTGAGTGTTTCTCCTCTCAGCTGAGCCCAGAGGCCACCTCTGTCTTCCCCTTCTCCTGAAGAACTTGAGGCCTAGATTCAAATAAAATCGGGGCACATGCCCAGAGATCTGCCAGGTTTTCCAAAGGAAGAGTTGGGCTCATTTAGCAGGAGACAGACATGATTGCTTGCTACTGCAGAACATTCCAGAACTGGGGCATGTCTCTTTCCCTTGGTAGGCCTTGGTTTCCCCATCTGTGGGACTAGGGTTGGAGACTGCCCCACCCCAGCCCCCATCCATCCTCTCAGCTCTTATTTCCTGCTTCCTGATACCCCAGCTCTCATGCAGGGATTTCACAGTAAACACATTGAAATGATATAGCTTAAGCCACATCAACTCCTTTTTCCTTATTTAGTAATCTGTTTTATTTAAGAGTTGTACATGCTATGTCCCCAGAGGCTATCCAGGTTCAGTCTCCCTGTAAGTGCCAGCAAGCTCTCCCAGCTAATTAAGTGTGATGGGCCTCCTGCCGTGGCCACTGATCCTTGAGTGGGTTTTCAGCTGAGAGGTACCTTGAAGAGGTAATCCTATAGTTAGCTGTCCAAACCAGGGGCACTATTAATAATTATACTGGGATGACAGGTCTAAACCATGCCTGTCTCAGGCAGCCTCATCACCTTTTTTTTTTTTTTTGAGACTGAGTCTCACTCAATCGCCCAGACTGGAGTGCAGTGGCATGATTTCGGCTCACTGCAACCTCTGCTTCCTGTGTTCCAGCAATTCTCCCTCAGCCTCCCAAGTAGCTGGGATTACAGACACATGTCACTGCGCCTGGCTCATTTTTGTACTTTTAGTAGAGACAGGGTTTCACCATGTTGGCCAGGCTGGTCTCGAACTCCTGACTTCAGGTGATCCACCCATCTCGGCCTCCCAAAGTGCTGGGATTACAAGCGTGAGCCACCTCGCCCGGCCTCACTTTACTTTTAAAGCTTTTAAAAGCCAAGAGTTTTCTGAGCAGCTTAACCTGCAAACAAGAAGGAGCTCCAAGAAATGGGGCATAACTTCAGAGCCCAGACTTCCTAGCTCCTTGGAGAGCACCCACTTCGGCACTGTGCCCTCACTCTGCCTGGCCAATCACTTTTCCTTTACAGTGTGGCTTTTAAGCTCTTTGTGGTGCCTTCTCAGTGTTGACTTTTTCTTAGTCGGCACCCATTTCTCCTGATACAAGAAAGCTACAGGTGGAGCAGGTGGACAGGGCGCATCATAGTTTCGCTCTGCAGTGCCTGGTCCATGATGGAAGCTGTGTTGTTTGTGCACACAATGCCCTGTCCCTGTGCTGGTGGAAGGATACACTCTTGGAGAGCTGGTGTGTCTCACTCACCCTGCACCCCAGCACCTGCCCCAGACCTGGCACAGTGGATCCTCCAAACAGACCCCTTGATTGTCCTGTGTTAAATGGTCTAGGTGAGAGGATGGAAAATTACAAACTGCGGAAAAAGCAAGAACTCAGCAACCCTTCGTCGGGCAGCAGGACGGCAGGTGGCGCTCATGAGACCTCCCAGGCGGTCCACCAGAGGTGAGGTCCCAACTGAGGTCCCACGTAGGGCTGTTCTCTACCCCATTCACATGGCATATCTCTCTGTGGTGCCGTCAGCAGGTGCCGTCGCGTGCATTGCCCGTGGACTTGGGGGCCATCGGCCTTCCTCACCCGCTGCCTCTGTCCTGGTCTCTGCCCTCCATGCAGCACCTGGAGTGGCACCTGGCACAAATGAGTGAGCAGGTCATGGTGTGGTGGCAGCTTCATTCCCAGGTTTAAGTGGCATTCACAGCCCGGACACAGGTCTAAGCCATGTTTAGACACGCGCCTACCCTCTCATACTTTGGGCATTCTCAGAAGCAGACCTTGACGAGGATTTGGGGGCAGGTTGTTTACCTGGGAGGTGACCCGCAGAGGCACAGTGAGAGGGCAGGGAAGTGAGGAAGAGGTGGCTGCTTCCTGTAACTGTGACCATCACAATGAGTGCAAATGTAACAGCCCAAGCCATGTAGACTGCCTGTCCCACAGTGCTGGAGGTCAGAAGGCAGGCTTGGCTCTCCTGGCTTCTCTGTGCCTCACAAGGCCTGAGCGAAGGGGCCCGCCGACCGGGCTGTTCTTAGGAAGCTGCTCAGTAACAGGTGTCAGGAAACGCCCTGCTGCAGGGTTTGCACAGACCGAACTTGCCCTAACTTTCCAGGCTCCCAGCAAACTACAGTCTGGCAAGTCCTCAGATGTGGGGCGCAGAAGCATCACTCGGCTTTCCTGCGAAACTTGCAGGTTCTGGGCCCACACCTGGAGACTCAGGCTCAGAAAGTGTGAGGAGAGCCCAAGAATCTGAATTTTAGCCGCACCTCTCCGCACCAAGGGATACTGATAGATGTGGTCCAAGGGCTTCACTTTGACCCAGGTGATCCAAGAGAAGGAGCCTCAGCAGCCAGCTGGGCCAACCTGCTTTATGGAAGAGGAAAAGGAAGCCCAGTGTTGGGAAAGGGGGTGCATGAGCCCATCTGTGACTCACAGCTTATATGTGGCTGTTGATGCCCTTCCCTCCCTGTCACACCTCCTTGAATTCAGAGGCAGTTTCTTTTCTTTTTTTTTTTTTTTTTTGAAGGAGTGACAGTACAATTTTGTGACATAGCTATATTGAATAGTGGTGAAGTCTGAGCCTTTATTGTAACCATCACCCAAATAGTGTACGTTTTACCCATTAATTTCTCATCATCCACTCCCCTCCCATCGTCCCGCCGCCCTTCTGTGTCTCTGTTGTCCATCCTTCCACTCTCTTTTTTTTTTTTGAGACAGAGTCTTGCTCTGTTGCCCAGGCTGGAATGCAGTGGTGCAATCTCAGCTCACTGCAACCTCCGCCTCCCGGGTTCAAGCGATTCTCTTGCCTCAGTCTCCCGAGTAGCTGGGATTACAGGCGCGCACCACCATGCCCAGCTAATTTTTTTGTATTTTTAGTAGAGATGGGGTTTTACCATGTTGGCCAGGCCGGTCTCAAACTCCTGACCTCAGGTGATTCACCCGCCTTGGCCTCTCGGTGCTGGGATTACAGGTGTGAGCCACTGCGCCCAGCCTGTCATTCTACTCGCTGTGTCCATGTGCACACATTATTGAGCTCCCACTCATAACTGAAAATATGAGATATTTCTGTTTCTGAGTTGTTTCACTTAAGAAAATGGCCTCCAGTTCCATCCACGTTGCTGTAAAAGACATGATTTCATTCTTTTTTATGGCTGAGTAGTATTCCATTGTGTATATGGACCACATTTTCCTTATCCAGTCCTCCATTGATGGACACTTAGGTTGATTCCATATCTTTGCTATTGTGAATAATGCAATGAACACACGAGAGCAGGTATCTTTCTGATATACTGATTTATTTTCCTTTGGGTAGATACCCAGTAGTGGGATTGCTGGATCAAATGGTCATTCTATTTTTAGTTCTTTGAGAAATCATGCTGTTTTCCATACAGGCTGCACTAATATACATTCCCACCAATGGTGCATAAGTGTTCCCTTTTCTCCACATCCTCACCAAGTGTTATAGTTTGTCTTTTTAGTGATAGCCATTCTAACTGGGGTAAGATGATATCTCCTTGTGGCTTTAACTTGCATTCCTCTGATGATGGGTGATGCTCAGAGTTTTTTCACATGCTTCTTGGCCATTTGTGTGTCTTTTTTTTAAGAACGTCTATTCATGTCCATAGGCACGGTTTCTAGTGGAACTCGGCCTCCTTTAAGGTGTGAGAGAGGCTGGAGTCTGGAGTGCTGGCCTCAGCTGTGCCAAATGAGTGATTTGTTTACTGTCCACCCTCCTTCCTGCCACTCAAACTAGAGCTCCTTGAGGACGGGGACTGTGGGTCTCTGTTCACACCTTTGTCTCAGAACCCAGCACAGCACCTGGCAGGCCAGAGATACTTTAATGAAGGAATGAGTGGATGGATGGAGGGAGGGAGGAATGGAGTGAGAGGTGGAGGGATGGATGACAGCGTCTTGTAGGGTGCACAGGAATTTGCTGGGCAAAAACAGAGAGGAAAGGTGTTACTGGCGGACAGAAGAGTGTGAGGTAGGAGCAGGGTGGCATTTTCACACCTCGGAGCACTCCACACGCACAGCTGCCTATCCATGCTAAAGGTGGCCCTGACTTCAGGTCTAGAAATTCGACCCCTTTCAGAAAATCTGCCCTAAAAGATGGGAAGGAGGCAGGCAGGGAGCAATAATGGAAACAGGGTGGCTGGATTTGGATGTTCCTGACTGCTTAGGAACGGAGGGCATCCAGAGAGGGAGGTGGGCCCTGGGGCTCAGGTACCCGGCCTCTGCTCCAGCTCTGTCCCCCTCTCTGAGAGTAACAGGCTGCCTGCCGTATTCGGGATTTCCCAGAGGCTGCATCCCAAGAAGCTTCTCATTTTACGAGGGAGGGGCCGGGGCAGTTCTGAGATTTAAACTCAGGGATGGGTAGCCGGTAGGCCTCTGGTCCTTTCAGGAGAATGCTCCTCCCTGGGGAAAAGATTGTTTTCTCATGAGAAGATGCCACCTTCTGCTCCGCCACTTCACAGACGTGTGTCCTGAGGGAGGCCCCCACCTCTCTGGGTTTCTTCCCCCCAGCTTTTCTACTCTGTCCTGCTGGTGTCATGAAGCTCCTCCGAAGATCACATGCAAAGTGTGTGGGCAGGACTCTCTAAACTCCCGTGTTGTAAAGGGCGTCCACTTTGATGGAGAGGCAGCCTGCCTGTGGGGACTGGAGCTGGGGCTGCTGTGAATGGTGCCCCCGATGGCCAGGCCCCTCTTGGGGCTCCCAGGGATCAGCAGCCTCCCTGCCTTCCTTCTCCCTCCCTCCCTCCCTCCCTCCCTCCCTTCCTTCCTCCCTGCCAGCCTGCCTGCCTTCCTCCCCCCAGGATGCTGTCCCAGCAGAAGAGGTTCCTGGCCCAGTTCCCAGTGCACCAGCAGATGCGTCTGCACGCCCAGCAGCAGCAGGCAGGAGTCATGGACCTTCTGGAAGCCCAGCTGGAGACCCAGCTACAGGTACAAGTTACAGAACTGGACCTTCCAAAAGCAGTGGTTTAAAGAGGAGCAGAAATAGCTGAAGCCAGCCTGTGACCACACGTCAGCCATGGGGACTGCACTTCCCTGCCTGTGGCATCGTTGACCCGCTGAGTCTCACCTGCTGAGGGTGTGTCGGCCTCGCCTTAGGACCCTGAGCCCCTGGAGGGCAAGTGTGGCCTGTGTGGATCCCTACAGCAGCTGCAGCATGCTAAGCAGGGCCAGGCCCTGAGCAGCTGGTCAGGCCTCATCTATGGAGCTGACAGAGAATTGAGCATTCCCCTGTGTGCGCATGGCCACCAGGAGGCTTCCGGTGTAATGGTGACCTCTGTGTCACTCAGGCAGTGTTGGCGATAGCTAAAGTTTACACTTTATTTACAGCAAACAGGAAGCTCAGCTCTCATGATATAAAGTGCATATTTCATTACAGAAAATCCCATTTGTGTGAGGTTATACAGTGAGATGTAAGGTGAGAGTATAAAGTGTGGCTAAGCAAAGTGGCTGCCTTTAAAAAAATCAAATCTTCCAGAATGGAAGCATTTAGCAGAGTGTTGGCCCTTTCAGAGTGTTCTCCACTGGCGATGGCAGTCGCAGAGTGACAGTGGTAAGAATACAGCAGTGGTGGCCGATAGGTACTTATTGAGGGTCTATGATAGATAGTCATGAGCTGAGAGCTTTGCACACACTTTCCAACAAAAGAGGTTACTGCTACTGTCCCCATTACAGATGGACAAACTGAGGCATGCACAGGTTACGTTGCTATCCAGGGTCACACAGTTAATGCATCATGGAATTCTGGTGTGTTTGTTTACACCACAGTGTTGGAAGTTTAGAGCCCAGCCTGTGGAGTCGGGCAGAAGTGAGTCCCATCCTATTCTGCTGCACCTGCTCCGGGCAGGTCACTGAGGCCCTCTGACCTCAGTGTACTCTGTCAACTGAAGACCGACGGCCAGTGTGAGTGAGGACCCACAGTTATGCAGCAGGAGCTGGTAGATGCCAGTGTGTCCTCCTGCTCCTCTCCTCTCTGGGATGTATGTTGGAAAATTCTCCTCCACACGGGAGACGTGGTCTTCAGTGGCCAGCCTCAAGTGTCAGAATTCACTCACGTGGAGAGGGATTTAGAGAAGTCAGAGGGAGGCCCAGCTGAATGCTCCTCTCTGCTTGCATTTCAGGAAGCTGAACAGAACTTCATCTCCGAGCTGGCAGCCTTGGCCCGAGTGCCCCTTGCTGAAAGCAAACTGTTGCCTGCTAAGCGTGGGCTGCTAGGTGAGTCACAGATGCTTGAGTTGCAGCGGGAAGCACTCTGGGCTGAGAGATACGGATTCTAGTTCCACACTGGCCACTAACTAGCTGTGTGACCTTAGGCATCGTGCCTAGGCTCTCTGGGCTTTTGTGACCTTGTCTGTAAATGAGCAGGCTTGGCTAGGCCACCCCTCAGGCCCACTTGCTCTCTAGCATTTGATAATTCCAGTTCTTGGGTCTGGTGTTCACTGGCTGTGTCTCCTAACTGACTCCATTTTTCCATCTGTAAAGTGGGGATAAGCCCTCCTCCCACCCTTGCCAGCGACAACTTCAGTGACATCACAGGATTTTTTAACCTGGTAATGAGAGAGTGACTCAGAAGGTGGTGTGAGAACACAGAGATCTACTGAAACAAAAGCTGTCACACTGGTGCTGGGTTTTCAGTTGCTTGCTGCTTCATTAAGTCTTCCAGTCAGCTGGGTAGAGTGGATACCCAGCGGGAGCCTAGCAGACTGGAGCTCAAGCCACAGCTCTGCCACTTCCTGGCTTGTGCAGGCTTGGGAGAGTACGTCACCTTCCCAGGCCTCAGTTTCCTCATTAGTTGAGTGGCTGCAATAGCATAAGATACCAAGCATACACTTGGCCCACACAACATGCTCAAAAATGTCAGGCTGGGTTGGTGTGAGGCTGCAAGAAGTTGTCACTTGTCTAAAGTCACAGAGCCATGCCTGGGTTCATCTGTCCTCTACAGAGAAGCCCCTAAGGACTAAAAGGAAGAAGCCCCTGCCCCAGGAAAGAGGGGACCTGGGGGTGCCCAACAATGAGGACCTTGCCTCCGGGGACCAGACCTCAGGCTCACTCAGGTATGACTGGGCCCCGGACCTGTTGCCTGTGGCTGGGTTTGGTAAATGCACTCAGCTGCTGTGTGCCAAAAGTCAGGGCAGGAAAATCATCAGTCCCCTCAGAGGCATTAAATGTGAAGGTTCAAGAAATGACAGATATGAACGTAATTTGTGGGCAGTAAGCCATGATGATACCAGGGGTGCCACATGGCTGTTACCCTTCCTGTTTGTGTCTCATTTGGCCAGATGAGCCTTGACCTACCTCCACACCCCATTGGCATCCAGCCTGAAGTGTTGGGCAGTCCCTTCTTTGACCAGGGATGGCTGTGGTCATGGCACTTGGATGACCTCCTACCCAAGGAGGGAAACGGGTTTTATTGGTTTCTTAACAACCCATGTCAAAGTAAAAATTGTTTTGATCACCTTTGGCTGCATTTTCATTTAATCCGATTGGGTAAGTTATGGCATCATGATGGGCATGGAGTCAGCGTTCTAACTGGCTGCCTTTCTTCTCTGTTTTAAGCAGCAAAAGGCTGAGTCAGCAAGAAAGTGAAGCTGGGGACAGTGGGAACTCAAAGAAGATGCTAAAGAGAAGAAGCAACTTGTAGTTTAAGACCAGTCGGTGGGACAAGACCTGAAGCCCTGGGTCTGGGTGTGAATTCCACCTTCCCTCCTGCAGTGCTGAGAGGCAGCGAGGACGGAGAGGACAGCGGCATCTCTAGGCTCTTCTGAGAGGGACAGAGAAAGAATAGAAATGTGCCCTAAAAGCATAAATGAGTATCACCTGAGAAAATTAGGCATTCCCGTCTTGGAAACACGTCTCTGTGAGTTTGCATTTCATTTGGCTTGGAGCCCTGGCTCGATGCCTCATGGATCTTTCTCCCCAAGGAGGGACGTCTTGAGGGGTCCGAGCCTCAGGCCAAGGACCCCTGATGCAGACTCTGGAATCCCTGGCCCAAAGGCCTGTCTGGGCCCATCTGGGGCTGAGGACACACAGATACATAATGACACCTGCAGAAATGTATTCTCTGAGGACACTTAGAATATGAGGAAGAGGGTGTGGCCCAACCCTCACTTCACCTGGGGAGGGGCTTCTTCCGGACAGTAGACACCCTGCCCGTGCAGAGAGATGTCATGGGGGCACCTGCTCTCCCTGATAGATGCTGAGAGCATCCAGAAACTTCCAGACCAGCCCTCTCACCACACCCAGAAGAGGCCTTTCCCATCTGGAGAGAAGCTTCCAGACCAGCCCTTCACACACCACAGCCAGGAGGGGCCTTTCCCACCTGGAGAGAAACTTCCAGACCAGCCCCTCATACCACAGCCAAGAGGGGCCTTTCTCACCTGGAGAGAAATTTCCAGACCATCCCCTCTCACCACAGCCAGGAGAGGCCTTTCCCACCGGTAGAGAAACTTCCAGACCAGCCCCTCACACCACAGCCAAGAGAAGCCTTTCCAGCCTGGAGAGAAACTTCCAGACCAGCCCTCTCACTACAGCCAGGAGAGGCCTTTCCCGCCTGGAAACTTCCGGACAAGCCTCTCACACACCACAGCCAGGAGAGGCCTTTCCCACCTGGACAGAAACTTCCAGACCAGCCCCTCTCACCACAGCCAGGAGAGGCCTTTACCACCTGGAGAGAAGCTTCCAGACCAGCCCCTCACACCACAGCCAGGAGAGGCCTTTCCCACCTGGAGAGAAACTTCCAGACCAGCCCCTCATACCACAGCCAAGAGGGGCCTTTCTCACCTGGAGAGAAACTTCCAGACCAGCCCCTCACACCACCGCCAGGAGAGGCCTTTCCCACCGGGAGAGAAACTTCCAGACCAGCCCCTCACACCACAGCCAGGAGAGGCCTTTCCCACCGGGAGAGAAACTTCCAGACCAGCCCTCTCACTACAGCCAGAAGAGGCCTTTCCCACCGGGAGAGGAACTTCCAGACCAGCCCCTCACACCACAGCCAGGAGAGGCCTTTCCCGCCTGGAGAGAAGCTTCAGGCCAGCTCCTCACACCACAGCCAGGAGAGACCTTTTCTGCCTGGAGAGAAACTTTCAGACCAGCCCCACACACCACAGCCAGGAGAGGCCGTTCCTGCCTGGAGAGAAGCTTCCAGACCAGCCCTTCACACCACAGCCAGGAGAGGCCTTTCCCACCTGGAGAGAAACTTCCAGACCAGCCCCTCTCACCACAGCCAGGAGAGGCCGTTCCCACCTGGAGGGAAAATTGCTCCTTTGATGGAGGTTAGGGACTGTCACCCTCAGCACTGTGAACATACCGGGCGAGATCATTCTTCAGGGGAAGGAGCTGCCCAGAGCATCACAGGATGTTCCAGTGTCCCTGGTCTCTGCCCACCAGATGCCAGCACTCCCACCATTCGTGGCAACCAAGGATGTCTCCAGACACTGCCCCGTGTCCATGGGGTTATCACCCACTGTGCTGAGTCAAAGGGTGCCTTGCCCTGGTCTAATCCAGGACATAGCCGTGGATACGTCCAAAAATCCCCAGAACCTAGTGAGCCCTCTGGCTCTGGGAGCCCCTATCTCAGGAATTTTCAGGGTCATTTGTGACTTTTCATTTCTTAAAACCTGAAATAGACTCTCTTAGAAACAAGTGACTCCTTCCCAGTGGCCAAAACTTAATCATCAGAGCGCTTCCTTCAGTTCCTCACCCATCAGCCAGTGGGCTCTCCAAAGTTAACCAACAGCTCCCTCTTGTGGTTCACTAAAAAACTTGGTTATTCCATGGAGTTGTGCAAAGCTATGGCTTCCTTGGTGCAATATTCTTAAAACCTGCTTTGCATAGAAATCACTTTTGCCCAGGCTGGAGTGCAGTGGCGTGATCTCGGCTCATGGCAATCTCCATCTCCCGGGTTCAAGCGATTTTCCTGCCTCAGCCTCCCCAGTAGCTGGGACTACAGACGTGTGCCACCACGCCTGGCTAAATCTTTTTTGTATTTTATTTTAGTAGAGACGGGGTTTCACCATACTGGCCAGGCTGCTCTCGAACTCCTGACCTCATCGTCCACCTGCCTCGGCCTCCCCAAAGTGCTGAGATTAGGCGTTAGCCACCGCGCCCGGCCAGAAATCACTTTTATATTGTCACATGGGCCCTCTGCACAGAGTCCGATGGCTCCTCCCGGGGAAGCCTGATTTTGTGACGTGTGTATAGTAAATGCAGGCCCTCTGGCAGCACCATAATTGGTCGGTTACCCTGAGCCCAGAGCTCTGAAAGCATCTGTGGAATGATCACGGGACCCTTCTCCTCTGAGAAGGCTCCCGGCTGCCTCCCCGCCACCGAGCTTGTAGCCTGAATGCCTGGCTGTCGCATGGAGCATTTTGCTTCTGGGGTGTCTTCCTTAGCCAAAGGGAACGTGTCATTTGCTCGACCCTGGCCCACCCTTGCCGCCCAGCTGTTGTGCTGGGCACAGTCTGGGGCACAGGCCTCCATGATGAAGACGCGTGGGCTGTCGGTGCTTTCATCCGTCACAAACTGGCACCTGTACCTGCCAGCAGGAGCATGATGGGGACTTCCATGCTGGAATTGCTCCCTGATTAAAATGAGATATGGCTATTTGGAAGACACTGCATTTTAGCCAGTGTACCTGGGCACAGACTCGGGGCTGCCCTGAAGCTGATGAAGGCTTGAAGGACGGAAGGGCTGAGCCACATGAAGGCAGCACTCAGGGCCAGGGGAGAGAGAAGAGGATCAGCAGTGCAGCCCCAGGATGCCTCGCAGGTACCCTGCCTCCATTTTGGTTACCATCCCCACTTATTATGGGCTGTGGGCTGTTATGGTGATGGATGGATGTGGATTTGGAAGGGGACCATGAGAGATGATGTATTATGATGAACTCATGATTTAATTCTTTGGTGAAAATAGCACCCTCTGACCTGTACTTGAGACCGCAGGATGAAGCCAGCACGGTTTTTTGTACTCCCCCAGGGTGAGTGCACTCTCCCAGGACCCTCCTGGCCAACCAGGGGTCACGTTCTGCACCACATTCCTTCTGAGGCCCTGGCCAGGGCGGTGCTGATCTTGCTGTTGCCACAGAAGCCTCTCCTGCCCCTGCCATCCGCCCATCACATGTTCTCCAACGCAAATCTGCCTGGCCTTATGGGCGGCGTTCCCTGGCTCTTAGGAGAAAAAGCCAGATCTTTACCATGGACCATGAGGCTCAGAGAGGTCTAGGCTGAGCCCACCCCTGCGGCCTAGCAGATGCCCTTCCCCTTCACTCTGCACCTGGTCCCTGTCTTCTCTCATGGCCTCACATGGGCCACACCCCTGCCCCCCACTGGGCCTTTGCTCATGATGTGCATTCTTTCTGGAAGACCCCTGCCCCCCTCCCCAGCCCTCTGCCCAGTGGCTCCTAGCCACTCCTCACATGGAGTCAGGACTCACATCTCCAGAGATCCCCCTCTGCCCCCAACCCTGAACAACATCAGGGCCCCCCTTAGATTCTAGGTCCTGTGTTCTTTGCTGCTGGGACTGGGGTGAGGTCGGTGGGGGAGCATATAAATAACCTTCCTTTATTTCTTGTCCAAGTTCATCACTATACACAGAGGTGTACAGTGAGACCCACATAAACAATCCCACTAAACCCAACTCAACTGGCCCTTACCCAGATCCTCCAAATGTCCCAGGCCTCCCTAGTGTCACCTGATATGCAGTGGCATCAGCAGGAAAGGGAACAGTGGTCTTAAGGATTGCAGCTAAAAGATCTGACTGTGGCATTGTAAACTGTAAGGAATGTGTCAGTGAACCCGTGGCTAAGCCCACTCCCGGGTCTCGGTGGGGTCTGTGCACAGGTGGCAGAAGTGTGAGCTCCATGAGCTTTACAGTGAATCAGCTGTGGGGCACAGAGGGCAAGCTTTTCCTCCACCCTACGAAGGCTCCTTGAGAAACAATTGACCAAAGGCAGACCAATAGGAAAAAGAAAAGCATTCCAACGTAACGTGCATGGCATGGGGAATTGCAGGAGAGTGATGACCCCACAAACCAGTGAGGTCCAGGTGCTTCCACACCCTCATAGGGAGACGGGAAATGGGGGAAATGTGGCCGTTTAGAGGGTAAAGCGTGATTTATAGGGGGAACGAATCGATCCAGAGGCAGGCACTGTCTTGGGAGTGATCCTTCCCAGACTGGCCAATCAGGTATTTCTCCTCCTCCCCAGAGAAGAATAAAAGAGAGAGGGAGAGGGGCCAGGGAAGTCCCTTGTGCTGTCCCCCAGAGAGTGGAAGCCCCTCCCTCTATGGAAACCAGAGGAGTGGGAGATGGGATTATTCTCCCCTAAATGTTTCCTCTATAGCCCTTAACAGAGTGTGCAGTTCGGTGCTTTGAGTAATCATTTGATTCGCACCTGACGTCCCCCCTGGAATGTACACCATTGACCGGCCACATGCCACCTGGCATATAACAGGCATTCATGGTCACCTGGTGGAAGGAAGGGAGGGAGGCCTGGGAATATTCCTTTCCTCCTGTGGCAACTGGTTTGGAAGGAAGGGAGGGAGGAACGCTGAGTATATACTTTCCTCCTGTGGTGTATGGATTGGAAAGGAAGGAGGGAGGGAGGGAGGCCAGGAATACTATTTTCCCCCCATGGCTTATAGATTTGGCTGTGTGTCAGCATTACCCAGGGGCTCATTAAAAACAACATTCTTAGCCCCATCCCAGAGATTCTGAGTCAGCAGATTGGACAGGAGGCCTGGGGATCTGTTTTTTCCCCACTGGGCTCCCGCTGATGGACTTGGTCCACTTCCTGATGCACCTCCTGCCCACCGACATAGCCTGCAGTCCAGCCGCTGGACTTAGTCTGAGGTGAGCTCTTCATCCGCCTTGTTCTGGCTGTGGTGGCCATGAACATGTACCTCTTGGGTCCCCAACGGCAAGGAGCAAAAACGACCAACATCCTTGGGATTTCCTGCCGTGCTCAGAAATCCTTCCCTGCGTGAGCATGGAGGCCACACTTCCTGCAGGGTGCTCCCAGTGCCTGCAAGAGGCAGGGATGTGGAGGCCTCCTTAGCCCACATGACAGGGCTCCTCCAGAGGACAGCCTGGGCCCCAGGACTTCTTGCTCTACCTGCTGAGATGTAGAACTGTGCAGCACCAGAGTCTTGCCTCCCTCCCTCCTTTCTACCCTCTCTTCACTCCCTTCCTCCCCTCCCTCCCTTCTTTCCTTACCCCCTCTGTCCTTCTTTTCTCCCTCCCTCCTTCCCCTCTCTCCCTTCCCTCCCTCCTTCCCCTCTCTCCCTTCCCTCCCTCCCTTCCCTTCTCCCCTCTCTCCCCTCCCTCTCTCCCTCCATCATGGGGCTGTCAGCTGCATCGCAAATCTGTGGGCTCTGCCTCCTCTGGCTCTCTCCTCATTTTGCCTCACAGATATGTCCCCCAGTACACATCTTGCCCACATCTAATCCTGGCTCAGTGTCTGCGTCTCAGAGGACGTGGACCAAGGCACTTGCCGTCTCAGGCTTAGTTGACCCTTCAACCTCCTGAGAACTCTGGGCCCAGGCAACCCTAGAGAACTGACTCCTGTCCATGTTCTCCTTTCTCTGGAAACCACTTAGCTGCCTCCGTCATGCTCTGGGCAAAGGCAGGGCAGGTTGGGAGAAGGAATCAGTGAGGCTGAGGCCCCAGCCTAAAGGTCACAGGGCCGCCTGGCCCAGGAGAAATCCCCTGCACCAGGCATTTGCCCACATGGCTACAAGTGAACGTTGGGATACGGAGTGTTCTTTTTTGCTATGAAACTGGAGTCATGGAGGTCCTGGTCGACATTCTTCCTTCCAAATACAGTGGCCTGGATGGGGGAGGGCAGTGGCTATAGAGGCTTCCTGCACCGTGTCGGGGCTCTTGTCCATTGCAAGCTGGGACCCCAAGCTACCCACGTGGTGTTTGGCTCCCGTCTGATAGGGAAAGACTTTGAAGTCCACATCCAGGCATAATGGATAGCCAGGCTGCCTAAGTGGTTTGATAGATCTCCCAGAAAATTCCCAGATGGACTCTGGACGCACAGCCATGCCACAGCTTTCCTCCTCTTGGGAACAGACTACCAGTGAGAGGCTTTACTCTGAAGCCAGGTGCACCAGGGCCCCTGTGTCTTTTCCTCTAAAATCTCTGCAGGTCTGCACTAAGAGAAAAATAGAAAGTTCAACTTGCTAAGAGCCCCTTTTGCTTAGGAAACTTCTTTTCATGGTTTTTCACTTCATAAATGGACTTGATTGGAATGAACCTTTAGGCAAATGACACTGTCAATGGGCATCACGGCCACACTCTGCCTTGGAAAGAGTAACACAGAGGAGGGTTACGCACTTACGTCAGAAGAGTAGCTCTGTTGAGTCTATAGAGATTTGGCCCCAGGATAAGGGTAGCACCTTCTCTTGTCCACTGTCTATGATCAAGGTGGCCAGACCAACCCTGGGGGCTAGAACATGGTAGACCCTACTGGTGACATCTGAAAATGGTTTGGCTTTACGTAGATGAAGGAAAAGTATGTGCAAAGACCTTGCCCATTCTGTCTCACTTTTTAAGAGTCAATATGCAATCTGGAGGCAAAGATAGACAAACCAACTGATGTGGTTTGGCTGTGTCCCCACCCAAATCTCATCTTGAATTGTAGCTCCCATAATTCCGTGATGTGGGAGGGACCTGGTGGGAGATAATTGAATCATGGGGGCAGTTTCCCCCCATACTGTTCTTGTGGTAGTGAATAAGTCTCAAGAGGTCTGATGGTTTAGAAGGGGAAACCATTTTCACTTGGTTCTCATTCTCTCTCTTGCCTGCCATCATGAAGACGTGCCTTCTGCCATGATTGTGAAGTTCTAGCCACGTGGAACTGTGAGTCCATTAAACCTCTTTTTCTTTATAAATTACCCAGTCTTGGGTATGTCTTTATCAGCAGAGTGAGAACAGACTAATACACCAACAAATGCAGAGGGGCCAGAACCACCCCTTCCTGGGACATCAGAGCCAACAGTTAAGTGGTCTGGATTCCAAACTCATTTACTTAATGTCGATAGGTTGAAATTGGCCATGGCAAGAGACTTATGTTGAAACTTAATACCCAATGTGGCAGTACTGAAAGGTGGGGCCTGTTAGAGGTGATTGGGTCATGAGGGCTCTCCCTTCATGAATGGATTAATTCATTCATAGATTAATGTATCAGTGAGTCAGTGGATTAATGGGTTATCATGGGAGCGGGACCAGCAGCTTTATAAGCAGAGGAAGCGAGACCTGAGCCAATACACTCAGCCCCCTCACCATGTGATGCCCTGCACTGCCTTAGGACTCTGCAGAGTCCCCACCAGCAAGAAGGCTCTCACCAAATGCACCAGCACCACCCCAACCTTGGACTTCTCAGTCTCAAAGTCTGTAAGAAATGAATTCCTTTTCTTTATAAATTACCCCATCTCAGGTATTCAGTTACAGTGATGCCAAATGGACTAAGACAGAAAATCGGTAACAGAAGTGGGGTCCACAGAACTAGCAAACACTACAAACAAGGGCTTTCTACCCCACCCACCTTCACCCATTGTTCAACATTGATTTGGCAGCACACTTCTGGACCACTGAATCAGAAGGGTCAATCACCTGACTTACAACAAAGGCCCCACTGCATCTTAATGGGGGAAAGAATAGTCTTTGCAATAAATGGTGTTGGGTCAATGGGAGATCATATGGGAAATGGAGAACCTTCAGTCCTACCTTATATTGTACATAAAGATTATTGAGAGATGGCTCAGAGACCTAAATGTGAAAGATAAAACTTCTAGAAAAAACCCAGAAGACTACTGTGGTAGGCAGAATAACGCTCCCCGTCCCTGCCAACAAGATGACCACATCCTAATCCCTGGGCCTGTGAGTATGTTATGTCACATGGCTGGGAGAATTGGGTTGCAGATGAATGAATGAGAATAGCCTTCCCCTAAAACTTTCTGAGAAACTCTCTCTCCCTCCTCCCAAAATCTCAAGAGGTAAAAGGAAGTCACATGCCTTAAAAGGAGTGTTGCAGCTCAGTCTCCAAGAACTAAGGATTATCTGAGCTACCAGGTCTCCTGTCCCCTGTAACTGTGCCTCTTGGAGGCGCTGGGGAACCCAAAGTTCGACATGGGCTCTAGATTATGCTGGTTGGACAGTGGCTCCCATGACCTGGGAGTCAGGCAAGCACCCCGTCAGAGTCTGTCTTAGAGAAGGTGCTAGGGCTGCTTCTGCTTCCACTTCCACCCTGACAGGACTGAGGAGGCCAGGCCCAGAGAACAGGCTGGATAACTTCATCCTGCCAACTTTACTTTTCTGGAAGTTTCCCTTTAATAGTCCAAATGGGCCAAAGCCGAACATCAAAAATCCTTACCATCCGTTCTTGGTCTTTCCATCCAAAAATCCTTACCATCCATTCTTGGTCTTTCTCAGTAGTTAGTTAACCTTGTTTCAAGGAAGTCTATAACTGACCCTGAGCCAACACTTCTTTCAACCTTGACAAAGGTATCCACACGAAGCCGAGGAGCGGGGGAGGAGAAGGGTACATGAAAAGCCCTGCGTTGATGTGGGACCAGAGCATCCAAAGCCATCTGCCTCAAATGCCCTTGGAGCTCAGTAATTAGGAGCAAGGAGCTTTGGACTAGGGCCCAAAGTGCCTGGGTCCTGGATTCAAATCCTGGTTCCATCACTTCCTAAGTGTGTGATCCTAAACAAGTTATTGATCTCACTCTGAGTCAGTTTCCTCATCTGTACAATGGGGATAATAATCCCTACCTCATAGAGCACCTGGCATATAGCAACTGCTATACAGCTATCAGCCCATGTATTTGTTGTCATTACCAGCAACTTCATCACTATCACCAACACCACCATCATCATCACCACTATCGTCACCATCATCACCATCACCACCATCATTACTGTCACCACCATCATTGTCATCACTATTACTAACAACAGCTAATGGAAGCAAGCAACTTTGCCTGCTGTTTTTATCCGTCCTTTAGTGTATCTCTAGCTCATGGAAATGGAAGGAAGAAATGTGAAGTTTAGGAGATTGGAGCTTCCAGTCTGAGGCTGATCCATACAATACAAGAAGAAAGAGAGCCAGGAAAGGCCCAACAGGAGGGAATCAATGCAAGATTTGAGCCTATTTTGTGGAAGCCCGCCCATCAGCCGTCTTCCCTCTCTTCGCCTCCTTGGGTCTCAGGAACTCAGCCTTCAGAAGTCATGAACTGAATCTCTCCTCCCACCCCCACATCCACCAGTCTCTACCAAGAGTGAGTCCTCAGGAAGCAGCCACCACCATTCGTTATCACGCGGGGGGACTGCCAAGCATTCGTACCCAATCCAGACACCACCACTGAAATGAAAGTGCCCTAGTCAGGTCAGTGGGCAGTTCATTTTCTTTATTTTTTCACAAGCTTTGAATTCAGAAATAAGAGCCACAACAAGTTGGTTGTTAAGTAAAAATGGGAGTGATTACAAAGGAAAACTTTGTACAAAACTTTAAAAATCTGACTGCCCCGTCAACTGCCTCAGAGGGACCAGGACTCAGGCCACGCAGGGGCAGCCATCAGCCCCCCATCGTCAGCCCCGAATGGGGATGGGGAGACCTCTTTCTGAGTGTGAACCTGGCTCGGCCTGAAGCCTAGAGCTGGCTTGAAGAACACACACAGACCAGAAGACAGCACGGTGAGTTACAAGTGCCACGGAGACCAGGGTTTCTGACACAGGATGTGGAGGATGCTTCTCTGCAACCTAGTGCAAGGCTTCCCCTGCCATTCCGAGAATTCACGGATCTCACAGGTGGAGGTGGGGCGAGCTTCTTTCTAGTGTGGACCAGAGGTGGGGGCAATGAGTAAACATCTTCACTGTAAGGGTTTTGGGACTGCCCCTCAGGGCTTGAGGTCTCGGCATCGTGTCTCAGTCAGTCCTTGGCGATGTCCCCTCAGACGCACTCACAGACTTGCATACGTAATTTAGTAACATGCATCAACTATCCTAGAACATCTACAGGGTGCAAAGGAACCACCACTCAGAGAATCATGGAGCCAGTGGAGTTAGAAGTGGAAGGGACAGAACAAGACAATGCTAAAACCTGTGGTTCACTAGGAAGGGGGAATGAAAACACCATGCTCCGAGGTGGATTCAGCATGAACACAACTGTGGGGCAAGGAATTTCCAAGCAAACACACCACACTAGTACCACTTCTTCCTAAACAGAAAAGGGAAAGAGCATCCTTCGACTTCCCCCTCCCTCCATCAGCACCAACTAAAACTGTGGGTTTCAAAAACACTGACAGGAAAAGGGATGGACATGATTCCCAGAATCCTTCAGGCTAGCTCCTCCGCGCATCCACGTTCAACCGAGGCTGGTGATGTTGGAGCGGCCACCAGGGGGCGCCACGATGCGGTGGCCGGTGCGCCTGGGATTGTTGTCATCTATCTGGGCACCTGAAAGAGAGCGCCAATCGCTGCTGGATGGGATCTGTTAGCATCAGTTCCACGCTGCTCCTGGAGGCCATGTACTCTGCCATGCACTCCACTGGACCCACCTTCATTCAGGGCTCAGTCCAGGACCAGCCATGGGAAGCCTCCCTGGCCTCCACAGAGTCCACTGCTCCCTCTTCTGTGCCCCTCAGTCCCTGGGCTCCCCCCACCTTCAGCCCTGACCACCTTGTGGTGTTCTTGTCAAAATCCCCAGTAAAATCCGACATTCCTGAGACAGGTGATCAAACACTTACTGAGTGCCTACTGTGTGCAGGCGCACATTTGGTGCTTTAACATGTTACTGCATTTAGGGCACACAATCATACTATGAAGGGGGTGTTTGTACTCCCAACTTACGGGTGAGCAATTTGAGGTTCAGGCCACGTGTCTTGCGGGACACAGGTGTTGGGTGGGGAAGCCAGGATTGAAGCCCAAACTGGTTGGTTTTCAAAGCCCATGATCTTAGGCACACTGTCCCACACTCCAAAGGTATTTTACATATTGTGTGTGTACACATTTGTATATGCATGTGCATATGTGTGTGCATGTGCATGTGAACTCCGCAAGCTGGATTTACTTCCCTCATTGGCGATAGGTGGATCTGAAGGGGGGGGGGGTGGTGTGCAGAGGTTCTTAATTTTAATCTTTCAAAACCAACCATCCATTCTACTTTTACCTATTCTCTTGCATAAAGATGTAAAATTCTAGCAGCAAACCCAGTGCCTGGAGCTCAACAAATATTTATTAAATGAGTAAATCATGAAGGGTGGATAATGCTGAAAGGTGGGAAGGATAGAGTCCTTATCAGGGAGGGGAAGTTGAGCCGGCGGAACTGAGGAAAATCAAAAAGAGAAAGCAAATAAGCTGTAAGTCTGCCTTTCTTCATGGTCTACAACACAGCCTTCCTGTACTCAACTTATCACCAGATCCTCAGCTAACAGAAAAACGTAAGTAAGTTAGCTCACTGCAACCACAGCATTATCAGTACTGCACAAAGCCCTCTTCGGCACACAGCACAAGCACCATCCTATAAAATCTCCAGCAAGCCTTTGTTTCCTTGCAGTCGGCTCCTTTCTTGCTGACCTACCCACTGTACCCTTTCATACTTTTTCTAATACATCTGACTTTCTTTACCGACAACTGTCTTGGTGAATTTTTTTTACTAGCTGCAGAACACTGGCCCCAGGTAGTTGTCACCTGCAACAGGAAGGAGACTCAAGTTTCAGTGCTAATCATGCCTTGAATTTGGGCAATTTGGAGTAAGACACCACCCCACTCCCTTGGCCTCATTTCCTTTTCTGCACAATAAGAACAGTAGACTAGATGAGCCCCTTCCAACTCCAACATTACATGATTTGTCTATGTAAGCCACTAAGAATTTGGTTCACAGTAGTGACTTTTCTTTTCTCCCATTGTTTCACTGGTAGACAATATGTCTTCTTGCAATACAAGTCTCCCCTAAAGGCCTGGAATCAGGCCTAGCACTTAGTAACTTTTTCCTTACAACCATCTGTACCTTGCTGGTTGCATGTCTGTACTTTGAAAATACCTGCTGGAAAAAAGGACACTAATATGGTTTGGACTTTTGTCCCCCAAAACTTCGTGTTGAAATTTGATCCCAAAGTTGGAGGTGGGGCCTAATGGGAGGGGTTTGGGTCATGAAGGACAGACCACTCATGAATGGCTTGGTGTCAGCCTTACAGTAATGAGTAAATTCTTGCTCTATTAGCTCTCGGAAGAACTGGTTGTTAAAGAGCACCTCTGCCTTCTTCCTCTGTTGCCATGTGATCTCTGCACACGCTAGCTCTCCTTCGCCTTCTGCCATGCTGGAAGTAGCCTGAGGCCCTCACCAGAAGCAGACGCTGGCACCGTGCTGCTTGTACAGCCTGCAGAGCCGTGAGCCAAGTAAACCTCTTTAATTACCCAGCCTCAGGTAATCCTTTATAGCAATGTAAATGGACGAAAACAGACACTAACTCATGGTACAGCTCTATAACGTAACATACGCAGATATTAAAAAGGGCATCTGTGAGGTTGTTATGATGTTGGAAAGCATCTGTGTTGTTGGTACCAAATGAAGTCACCTATCAACCTGCCAAGAGGCTGGCTGACAGCAGTGGTGCTGTGGGCCTCAGGAGGACTAAGAGTGAAACTGAGAGAACAAGGGTGAGGAGGGGCCCTTCCAGGTGGCTTTTAACTTCATTGTTATTCTTGTTCTAAGAACAACGGGGAGGAGGATTTTCTGTCCATGTTTAATTGCAATTGTGCAGTGTTTAATTGCATAACTCCAGAACAGTGGTCCAGTTTGCAAACTCCTTGAGAGCTTGTGTCTTGTTGCACCCAGATAGCTTTTTCCCAGGATGAAGCCAATCCCTGGTTTGCTGATTGAGCATCACATGACTTTTAGCATTCTATTTAGGGTCCATTTTGTGCAAAAATATGAAACACTGGAAGCTCTTCCATCAAAGTCTTATGGAGAGTGAGATGAATGGGGAGGCCTCCTTGATTCATGCCTCCTCGGCATAATCACTGAATCAGACACTTCCTGAATGGATAAGAGGTTCTGCCACCACACAATCTGAATTCACACGTCATCCTCTCTCTCTCTCTCTCTTTGCCCCTTCCACTCTCTCTTTTGCTAAGCATATCGCCTTTCCTGACCAGGAATTAGCAAACGGGTCCATTGACCAAATCCGGCCCACCGCCTGTTTCTGTACGATCCATGACCTGAGAATAGTTTGTACATTTTCAAATGGCTATTGAATATAACATCCTAGATGTTGACATCCTAGATGTTGCCTCTTAGCTTACAAAGCCTAAAGTATTTACTATCCGGCCTTCTAAGAAAAAAAATCACCATACTCTTAGTACCCAGCACGGTGTGCAACCCATGCAACGCCTCAAAGAGTTTGCAGGACAAAATTCCAGTTCAACTTTCTCAACGTGTGCGTGCCTGCCCTCATGTGGCCATCTCACCAAATCACAGATACACTGCCCTGAGACCTTAAGAAAGTCAGGAGGGATCAGGTCAACATCTAATTTTGTTCCCACACATTTGTTGAGCACCAAGTCCTGGTATTTTGACACTGGATTTCTTGGGGCTTCCGTTTCCTCTTTAAATAAATAGGGTATAATGTTACTTTATGGAGTAGTGAGGATAAAATAAAATCATGGGTTATGAAAGTGCTTAGTACACTGCAGTGGGTGAACAGGCTAAAGACTTACACAGAGCACATGCCCTGCAAATGGCAGCTACTCCCATCTCTTGTTCATCCCCACCACTCCATGTTTACTTTCATGAGGAAGAGTGTGAAAGTGTCCCCAAATGTGTGTAAGGATGAGCACTGGGACAATTTTGGTACCTCTCTTTGTAAACCCACATCAGGTACCACCATGTTGCCCCCCTAACATGGACCCCCCTCTGCTTGGTGACCATGCCAGCCCACTCTGCCCCACCAGTGAGAGCAGGCTCGGGTGGGGCACACTCCCTTCCCTGCTTCTTCATCTAGTGTCCAAGGCCACGTGTCCATTTCCTCAGAAGCAGCAGGAAGGACTCGGCCTGAACTGCTGCAATTGTGGGGAGCCTGGGCCACCACTCTTTCCTACCTGATAAGCTGAAGTTGGACTGGTGGAGGTTTCTGATGGGTGGGGGCTGGTGTTTAGAAGGCGAAGATTTGGCTGAAGGAGCGGGAGTTGCATATTTGGGTGTAGCTGGTACCTCGTACACAGGACCGTCATACATGCCCCTGGAAACCCCTTGCAATCCAAAAACCTAAACAGAGGAAGGGAGAGTGTGATTGATCGACACTGTGCATGTGTGCCCTTCTGGGCAGATAAAGCAGAGCCCTGCGGGCGAGAGAGAAACCTGAGGTCACTTCAAATGTGCATGCACACACACACACAACACGCACACACGACAGGTGCACTTCACACACATGCAGCCGCACACAGGCATTCATACACACAAGCATGCATACACACACATCTACATACCCACATGCATACACATACAGACGCACACACCACGCACACGCACTCACATACATGCAGTCATGCACACATATATGCATGCACATGCAGTAACAAAACAGGCCTACACAGTAGCATACACGCGTGAACACGCACACACACTTAAATCACATACAGATCTTCACAAAGGCATACTCACATATGTATACACATGCATACATGCCCACACACACACTCATACAGGTATACACACCCATATATACACTTACACACACGCATACTCATACACACAAAGCTTCATGCAGGAGGACCCCAAATCCCTTCCAAAGAGAAGTCACTTTGCCTGACACTACCACCTACCCACCCCCGGAAAGGACCCCTGAGTCCCAGACAAGGCAGCAGCAACGGGCCCATCTTCATGTATGTTCTTGTAGAAGTCAACAGCGAGGCAAAGATTCGGGGGGCAGATAGTTTGTTGGGAGATGGTTCCAGAAAGGGGGAAGGAGTGGGGAGCTGAGACAGGGAGGGAGAAAACTCAGTACAGAGGGACAAGGAGTGGGCCAGGTCTATGGGGGGCAGGGCTGGGGATGCTGTGGGGAGGACACCTCCACACCAGCCTGCAGGAGGACGAGGAAGGAGGGCAATGGAGCCACAGCCCTAGCCCCACTGGGAAAGGGTTGTGGGGGCAGAGACCCTGAAAGCAGCAGGGCTTCCAGGCAGGAGGCTGTCAGCCTGCTGGGAACTGCTGACAGCAGCCCAGGTGACCTCAGGGATGGCCAAGGTTGGGAGGGCACCTGCTCCAGGCACTGGAGAACAGCATGTGTTCAGGGACCTGTACAGGGTCCCAGCATGAGTCAGTGGCAGTGCCCTAACCCAACACGGGGCTTCATCCTCCATATCAGGTGACAGTGCCCTGACCCCAGGCCTGGCTCCCTCCTTCTCTGCAGGTGATAGCACCCTGACCCCCAGCTCTGGGCTCCTGTCTCTCCATAGGAGGAAGCCTTAATTTTAGCACCAAGTTTAAAGACCCAGCACCTGCACATCATGTCAACGGCCCTCCCCTCTGTCCCTGGAGCCCTGCTCCCCGACTCCCTGGGCCTCACTGTATCCTGTGCATTCTCTGTGGCTGTGGCATTGCTTCCTGGGTGAGGCCGTTCATCACTCCCTGAAGCTCAGGTGGCCAGAGGCAGGCTCTGATGCAGGTCTCTCCTTCACCTGGTCTAGCTCCTGCAGGCATGAAGGAATCCCTGTGCAATGGGACCCCCCGATCCTATTGCTCCTGCAAATTGCTGTCTTGGCATTTGGGGTCAGATATCTGCCCTCACGGAAGCTGACTGTTAACCGCAGGCCTCAGCTTCAGACCAAGAAGGAAATGAAGCCAGCCAAGGGGTGTGTCTGCCTCTTCAGTGGGTGTCCCAGCCAGGGATTTCCATGAGTCCCCTTGTCCTCATATGGCCTGCTGCCTGTGCCTGGCCTTGTCTCGGATCTGACTTGTTTCCACCCCATCCCTTGTTTCCCCATCCAGTGCAAAGCATCTGTGCGACTTGGTGTCTTTGACCTGGTGCTACACCTTATGGAAGCTGGGGAGAGACCAAAACCAGATGCAGAGCCTCCCAGTCCGGGCTGGAGCCTGGGAATGCAGGAAGGTCTCTGGACTTCTCCATCTCAATTGGTCACTTAGGAAGCATACAAAGAACAGGACCACACAGGTACACACATGGCCACACACACAGAGCTCACCACATGCTCGCATACACACACGCGCACACACACACACTCCAACACACGCACACACATCCCCATATGCACACATACACACGTGCATGCATGTACACATGCACACATGACACGCATAGACATACACACATGTGCGCGTGCACACACACACACACACACACGAAGCTGGCCTTTCTGGCAAACATCAGCTGTCTCATGGGGAAAGCAGCTGCCATGGGGATGGGAGGGCCTGGCTGGGGAAGATGTTGGCCACGGGCGGGAGTCTCTCTCAGCTGTGAGAAAGTTCCCTCCTCTGAGTTGCTCTAAAGTTAGGAATAGAGCCTGCTCCTTCCCTTTGACAGATGTCCTGAGGTCAGTGCTAAGGTTGTTCAAGGAAAATAAGGAACGACAGGGCAGAAACGTCAAGGGAGGAAGGAAAGGAAGAAAGGGCGGATCTGAAGGAAGCCCTGCCTGCAAGATGCCAGGGGTAACACCTTGCTCCACAGGGCCAGACCCGAGGGTTTCTGAGCCGTGACTCTGGCTAAGCCCTTCACTGCTCTGGGCTGCAAAAGGAGGATCACAGCACCTCCCGTGGGTGGGCAGGATTACTTAAGATGACGCAGGACAGCGCCCAGAGCAGCTTGGTAAGCGTCCCTCCCATGATCCACCCACCCTCACGGGTGCACACCCCTCTACAGTTTGCAAAGCCCTGGAACTTGCATGTCCTCATTTGATGCTCACTCCTGTCCTCAGACAGGAGCCCAGGCCAGCGTCTCAACCCATTTAACAGATAAGGAAACGGAGGTTCCCAGGGCGATGACATTATTAACTCTGCACACGTCAGATCTCGATTCCCCAAGAGACGCTGTCGGCTCTGGTCCCACGGGTGGGCCCGCTCCCCTGCAGACACACTCACCTTATTCCTGATTTTGACGCGCTGGTACAGGTGCTCCGGGAACGCCTTCCGCGGAATGAAGCGGCCCATGCCCTTGTTGACGTTGATGTTTCCGTCTTCAAAGACGATCTTGCCCTGGCTGATGACCACTAGTGGGGAGCCGTGGCACTCCATACCCTCGAAGATGTTGTACTCCACCGCCTGCACCAACAGCCTCAGTGTTACTTCCCAGGATTTGCTCTGCCCCAAACGAGCTGTTCATAACAGCGATTTTGCCTAACATTATATCATAAGCGTGTTCCAATGTTTTTTTTTCTCTCTAAAAATACCTTTTATTGACTGTAATATTCCACTGTATGGTCCACAGTGTATATAACCAACAACTCACCGTTGCGCATGTAGGCTGCCGGTGGCTTTCTATAATCAAATCAATATTGTTCTGGGGCATCACAAAGAGGAAGGGGGTCCCCCGGGGTTATGCAATGTGGCTGCTTTGACTGTACTGGACATAAAAATAAGTAAAATGTTCTTCATTTTACTTAAAATGTGTCTTTAAATAAAATTTTTTTCTCTAGGTTTCTAAAATCAAATTACTGGGTGAAAGAATAGAGCTGTTTTAAAGCACGTGTGCCATATGGCCAAATTATTTTCCCAAGGGTTCAGATCAATTGACACGATATCGGCACTTACCCCCTCCAGCATTGGGTAATGCCATTTTTTTCTTTCTCTGCTAATTTGAAAGACAAAATAACATTTCCTTTAAAACACACATTCGGCCGGGCACGGTGGCTCATGCCTGTACCCCCAACTACTCGGGAGGCTGAGGTATGAGAACTGCTTGAATCTGGGAGGTGGAGGTTGCAGTGAGCCGAGATCGTGCCACTGCACTCCAGCCTGGGGGACAGAGCGAGACTCTGTCTCCAGAAAAAAACAAAACAAAAAACTCACCTTCTTTCCATTATTCTTCAAGTGAATACTTGACAGTTGTGTGTCAACTGTCACCAGCCAACTGCTTTTTATTATTTTAAAAGTAGGTCACATACATGGTTGAAAACAATCAACTGGTAAAAAAGATATTGGATAGAAAGGTAAGTCTGTGTTCTACTTGAGTCTGAGACATATGCCCTGAAGAGTTTCTTCTGTATCTCTAAGTATGTCCGAGGCATGAATAACTGTCTGACATATACACATCTCTACACAGACATTTCTCAGCTTAATTTTTCTTTACCTCAGCAATTGTTCCATATCAGCACACATACAAAATACTTTTACACTGCTACATTTCATCAGGAGGATGTACTACCATTTATATGCCCAGTTCCCAAGAATAAACAGTTGGGTCATTACCATGCCTTTGCTAAAAACTGCTGAAACAGACTTTGCATCCACAGTCTGCACACGTGAACATGTTTCTAGATGTGGAGTTGGGGGCCAAAGAGTAAATGGATTTTCATCTTTGACAGATTTGCCCTCCAAAAAAGACAACACTAGTTTCCATTCCCAACAAAACTCCGTGAGCTTACCTGACAGCCTTTGGTAAACAGTATCTATGTATATTAAACTCCTGATCTCAGTTGCTGGCACAGGTGAAAAATACTATCTCTAGGTGGTTATTTGCATCTGTGACTGAGACTGGGTCTCTTTTTAAATCAACACATGCCATTTCTATATTTATTTCTTACGGTGTCACTGTGTTTTGCACATTATTCTATTTCTCAGGGTCTTGGCATTCTTCTTACTGATTTCTAAAAGTACACACTCAATGTTAAAGAATTTATCCTTTGTTATGTGTGTTGCAAATATGTCCTCCCTCCCTGGTCCTCTGTCTCTGGAACTCAAATGAAGTAATTGTTTTTGCCACACAGATTATTTTGTATAATTTTTGTGTAGTCAGTGGTCAAACAGACCATTCTTTACCATTTCTAAGTTTTGTGTCTTGCTTAGCAAGATCCTTTCCCCTTCAAAATTATCATTCTTTCAAAAAATGTGTGTTGTATTCTAGTCCTTTCATAGCTTTATTTTATCTTAATCTTTGAACCATGGTTTGATTTGTTTGATAGTAAATAGTAGGGCAGAGGTTAAGCCTCTTGGGCCAGGTGTTCTAACACAATTGGATGAGTAACTATCGTTTCCTAATTCTAATTGTCTCCTTTATTGTAAACCAAATTCTCATATGCAGTCAGTCTATTCCTTGGCTCTCTTTTCTTGTACCCCTGCCAAACTGTTTGGTTTATTGCAGCTTTATGACACGTTTTAATAACTGGGATGACTGATACCCCCGGGCCCAGTCTTCCCTTTTTTCAGAACTATTTCAGCTACTCTCACATTTCTCATCTGGGAACTCTGCTTTCCTAGCTAAACAATTAAATTTTCTGATGGGATCACATCAAGTTTATAGATTAGATTAGAAAGAATTGATATGTTCACTATATTGGATCTTCTCAGTGTAAAAGTCCCTGAATTTATGTAAGTCTTTAGTTTTTTATTTTTGTTTGTTTGTTTGGTTGTTTTGAGACAGGGTCTCAGTCTGCAGTGCAGTGGCACGATCATGGCTCACTATAGCCTCCAAGTCCTGGGCTCAAGCAATCCTCCTGCCTCAGCCTCTCAAGTAGCTAGGACTACAGGCATGCACCACCATGCCTAGTTAATTTTTTTATTTTTTTGTAGAGGCAGGGTCTCACTATGTCACCCAGTTTGGTTTCAAACTCCTAGCCTCAAGTCCCCCTACCTGAGCCTCCCAAAGTGCTGGGTTTACAGGCATGAACCACCACGCCAGGCCAAGTCTTTAGTTTTTATTGCTATTACAGGATTTTGATTTCCATTCTATTTTCCAAAGTGATTTTTGATTCTTCCATAGAAAAACTATCAATTCTTTATATTGGTTTGTAATCTGATGGTGTTTGATGATTTTTAGGTGCATTCTTGGGGGTTCCAGGCAATCACGTCTCCTACACACAGCTGTTGACACTGTGCCAGCCTCGCAGGACCCAGGCAGACAGTGCGTTTCCAGTGTTAGCATTTGCTAACCTAATTCTCCCTCACCCTAAAGTGGCTCCACTATGGAGTGATTCATAACTGTGCCGAGGGACACATGGATTGTGAATGCGGAGGGGCGGTGCAAGGAACCAGTCACCCATCTCCCAGCTGAAACTGGCCAGCCCTTGGGGACCTGGGCTGCTGTCCCTACTCCTGGGTGAGGAACGTGCTGTGCTTTGGTGAGAATCTCAAGCTGCAGAGGTGTGAGGAGGCCCTGGTCATATCACAAATGCCACACCCTGCATTTCACAAGAACACTGAATTGTAAACATCAATTCCTTCATTTCTTAAAGGTAACATACAAACAATGTAAAAATTTAAACAACACAAAACACCATGATGAAAAAACCTCTTGCCATCCATGAGCCCCATTTCCCTGGTCCCCTCCAGGGAGAACTGGTTTCTTTTATACCCTTTAAAGAGCAGCCACTCAAGCTCATGTGTGCATAAACTAAACGTGGTCCATCCCTACAAGGGGGTATTATTCAGCCATCAAAGGAACATGGTACCCATCCATGATATAGCACGGATGATCCTCAAAAATATGATGCTAAGTAGAAGCCAGACATAAAAGGCCACATATTGGATGATTCCATTTATATGAAATGTCCAGAATAGGCAAATCCATAGAAACAGAAAGCAGATTAGTGGTTGCTAGGGAATGGGGGTGAGAGAGAGGGACTGATTGTTCATGGGTACAGGGTTTCTTTTCTGGAGGTGATGAAAACATTCTGGAATTATGATTGTACAACCTTCTCAATATACTAAAAGCCACTGAATTGTACACTTCAAAATGGCAACACTTATGGTATATGAATTATATCTCGATAAGAAACTTAAAAACATCCAGATAGTCTATGATATACAAACATGTATGCATACCCATGATGTGGCACTTTGATGTGAATGTTTTCCACAAAGATAGGAAAGAATAAAAGTTGTGTTTTATAGAAAAGTAGATTTAAAATCTAATCACTGGTCAATATATAAGGAATGATCTCTTTTCATTGTTAAAAGTAACATTTTTTTAAAACATATAAAAACAAAACGAACCTCTAAGCATTTCTCAATCCATGTTCTGAAAAAATTGCAATTATGTGGATGGCATTGCTTTGGACAGAGAAAATGAAACAGACAAAATCCTTTGGTCAAACCACCTCACGGAATCCTCAACTGTCCTCTTGCTGCTATGAAAAGAATTCAAATCTTGCCTCACACAGAGAGGGGATGCTTCCCCAAGTTTACCCTGAAGACAGTTACCTCCCAGATGGGTAACCTTGGGTATATTACATATTGTTATGGGTTGAATCGTGCTCCCAAAAAAGACGTGTTGAAATCCTAACCCCCATTACCTCAGAATGTGACCTTATTTGGAAACAGAGATTTTGCAGGTATAATTAGGTAAGATGAGGTCACATTGGGGTGTGGTAGGCGCAAAATCCAATGACTGGCATCCATAAAAGGAGAAGACACAGCAGAGAGGGCCACGCAATGACAGAGGCAGATGATGTAAGGGATGCCTTACCCGCCATGGAAGCAAGTACTGCTGGGGACGTCAGACGCTAGAAGAGTGGCCTGGAAGGGGTCTGCCCCCAGAGCCTTCAGAGAGAGCATGGCCTGGCCAACACCTTGGTTTCAACTTCTACCTTCCAGAACTTTTTTTTTTTTTTTTTTTTTTTTTGAGACGGAGTCTCGCTCTGTCGCCCAGGCTGGAGTGCAGTGGTGGGATCTCGGCTCACCGCAAGCTCCGCCTCCCGGGTTCACGCCATTCTCCTGCCTCAGCCTCCCGAGTAGCTGGGACTACAGGCGCCCGCCACTACGCCCGGCTAATTTTTTGTATTTTTAGTAGAGACAGGGTTTCACCGTTTTAGCCGGGATGGTCTCGATCTCCTGACCTCGTGATCCGCCCGCCTCGGCCTCCCAAAGTGCTGGGATTACAGGCGTGAGCCACCGCGCCCGGCCCCAGAACTTTTAAGAGATGAAATTTCTTTTGTTTAAACCACCCAACCTGTGGCACTTTATAACAGCGTCCAGAGGAAACTTACACATGTGTCCTCTCTCTCTCTCCATTTTCTCATTTATCAATAACAATATACCTAACTTAGAAGATCGTGAGGATTAAATGAGATGATGCATGGAGAATGCTAAGCACGAAGTAACTACAAAACAGTATTTGGCTGGATTGTGATGATAATCAGAGTGCCCACTCCTGAGCATGGAATCTGGTGTGGCCTCTGATCCCACACTGAAATAGTAAGAGGCTGGGTGCGGTGGCTCACACCTGTAATCCCAGCACTTTGGGAGGCCCACACGGGCGGATCACGAGGTCAGGAGATCGAGACCATCCTGGCTAACATGGTGAAACCTGTCTCTACTAAAAATACAAAACAAAATTAGCCGGGCGTGGTGGCAGGCACCTGTAGTCCCAGCTACTCGGGAGGCTGAGGCAGGAGAATGGCGTGAACCCGGGAGGCGGAGCTTGCAGTGAGCCGAGATTGCGCCACTGCACTCCAGCCTGGGCAACAGAGCAAGACTCCATCTCAACAACAACAAAAGGAATAGTAAGACAATCCCAGCTCAGTCTACTTCCTTCTGGGTCCTTGTCCGCCGACCTTTGACTGGCTGACACAGACATTCACGTTCCTTTCTAGATAAGGATCACCTTGTGAAGCAAGGGGCAGCTCCCACAGCCAGATGGCGGTAGGAGTGCACACCCTGTGCTATGGTTGGAATATCCCCTCAAAATTCAACTGGACATTGACTTGCCATTGCAATGGTATTAAGATGTGAGACCATTAAGAGCTGATTAGGTCATGAAGGCTCTGCCCTCATTAATGGTTAATGCTATTATCACAGGAATGAGTTAGTTATTGTGAGACTGGGCTTGTTATAAAAGCAAATTCAGCGTCCTCTTGATACTTCTTTCACACTTGTCCTGTCTTATCCTTCTGCCCTCTGCCATGGGATAACTCAGCAAGAAGGCCTTTGCCAGATGCCGGCATTTTAATACTGAAATTCCCAGCCTCCAGAACCGTGAGCCACATAAATTTATTTTCTTATAAATTACCCAGTCTGTGGTATCTATTACAGTAGCACAAAATGGACCAAGACACCCTCTCACTGGCAAGACCCTCTCAGACGCTCTCCCATTGCCTCTCCTATGTGCACAGACCCCAAGCAGTGTGTACACACGTGAAATAATTCATAATAAATAATAGAATTGCAAGCCCTGCTGGACTGTACATGTGCGTGGCATAAACCTTTCTCCATGGGAAGATGATCTCAGGCACCCCGTTCCCTGGAGATGGGGGCTGTGGGAAGCAAGTAGTGTTACCAGGGAGCATTGTGTATTATAAGAATGACCTGGATTGGTGAGCCGGACAAGGTCAGTGAGCAGCTACCGAGACCTCTGCTTCTGCAGGCCATGTCTGTGGCAGCCAATGGATACTCCAGGGCCATGGCCGTGAGCTGCTACAAGTGTTTCCTGTGGCTTTCTTATGAAACTTCCTTGTGCCTCATGTCCTGTCCCCACACCTGTGGTCTCCTTCTCCAGTATGTGAGCCCATACTCCTTCTCCAGTATGTGAGCCCATACTCCTTCTGCAGTATGTGAGCCCATAGCCCATGGGGCCATGGGAACACCCACTGCAGCTCCATCACGGTGTGCACATGCACTACTTCTGGCCTGTGTGCTTGCACAGACTCCAGTGAACCAGGGACCACTGTGGCCTCTTGGGTCTGTGCGTGTAGTTGTTAATCCAGACCCAAGGCCACTCTTGGCCATGCAGGAGGGTGTTAAAGCAAGCCCTTCAGGGAGGCACAGTTGTCTTCTGCCATCTCTGCATGCACCCTCTCTGTGCACGCATCTTTGGTAGGTTGCTGGATGAGTGGAGAAATCAAAGGCATATAAGATACAAAGCAGAGAAGGCCCATAACTATGGGCATGGAATGTGAAAAAGTGTGCACTTTAGGGCCAACCCTTTCCTGTCTATTAGCAGCCAGCCACAAAACCGAGTGGGAGGTTTCCGACATACCAAATCAAATCCTTTCCAGCTTGATAATTAAATTGAGAACCTTAGATCTAATACTTTCCCTCGCTGAGCCCTGAAGCTTACACATTATAAGCAGTGTCAGATGGCTGGGAACACATGCATCCATGGGCAGGAGCAAAGAGACAGAGAGAGAGGAGAGGAAGAGAGAGAGAGAAAGAGAAGGAGAAGCAGCTTAGTTGAGCCTGCTCAGATCCCTCCTCCCAATCTCTCCAACTGGAGGAGAAATGGGAATGACTGAGTCAGGCTAGATATCAGATCACATCCTAGTTGGAAAATTCATAAATCATTTTTAACCAGTCTTTAAAAATGATTACAACGAAGAATCACTTATCTCAGCAGCACAAATAGGCCAGGACTTACCGACTTGTGACTTTTGGCTGTTATGGTCTTCAACTTGTCGGGGTCCCAGATGACCACGTCGGCATCCGAGCCCACGGCAATCCGCCCTTTCCTTGGGTACAGGTTAAAGATCTTGGCTGCATTGGTGCTGGTGACAGCGACAAACTGGTTCTCATCCATTTTGCCAGTAGCCTACAGGCAAGACCCACAGATGAGAAGAGCATCTCATAATGGGGCCAGGAGGAGGGGCAGCTGGGCACAAATGGAAGACTGCCAGCTGAGGCCTTGCAAGGCTTGGAATTCTCTCCTCTCCCAGCTAAAAACGTGCCATCATCAAGAACCCCAGAAGGCCCAGCCTCATCAGAGAGGACATTTAATTAACCGCACAGAGGTATGTTGACGCAAGAGCCACTATGACATCTTGTCCATGTCACCAGGCCCCAGTTTAACAGAAGATTAAAAACCTTTGGTTTCAGGTCAGTGATCAGAGTGAGACCCAGCTCTTCCTCTGCAACAGGAATTCTCTCTCTACCCACTCAACATCCCAACTCCTAACACGTGTGCACATGCACACACACAGCGTTACAGAGCCATTTCCACAGGAACTAAGACGTGGTTGAGAAACAAAACAAAACATTTTTCAATCTTAAGATGTAAAGGACAAGGGTGACATCCACAAATGCAGAGGCCTCTCCCGGACTTGAGCTACTATCTCTCAAGTTATGCGTTCCCTCCTGCGCCCTCCTAGTATATCTGCTTCCGCCTCCATGTAAGAAGGGAACTTTTAAGAACCCAGCGTGCATAATGCATCGGCTTTCACAGGGCAGGTAGAGTGTTTCTAGAATGCTCCTGAGAAGAGATCCAGCCTTACCACCGCCTTGTCCCAGACGACCGTCATCCGCTCCTCTATCCCGTTGACACCCTCGGGGATCAGGGTAAAGTTGTCCTTGCCCACCGCCTTCTGGGCAGTGCTGTAGGGACAGTGGCCGCTGCCTGTGACCTGCAAGTCCCCACTGGCAAGGACAAAACAAGGTAGAGTTCAGACCCTAGTTCATTTTGAAGGCAAATCCTGACTTCAGACAGGTACATGCAGCACAGCCAGTGAATGAATGAATAGATAAGGAAGCCAGTGGGTAAGAGAGACTCTCTAGCGTGTGCCTGCACGTGTCACAAGTCAGGGATGCCCCATTTATGTCACTGGCCTCATGCTTTGCACGTTACAAAGTGAGTAATGTGTGCTGACATTTGTCTTCTTGACATAAGGCAGTTGGCTTAAGGGCTGGCCAGAGTGTTTGTGCTGTGCTTGCAGAACAAACACTATTCATTGGTTACAGCAAAGTGGCACAAGTTCACTGGGATTTACCCTTTTGTCCCCTGGTGTTTTAAAAACAAATACTCTTTGATATATCAGGTGCCCTGAGCTGAACACCTAAGACAATAAAATGAATGGACCAGGCTGAGTGTGGTGGCTCACACCTGTAATCCCAGCACTTTGGGAGGCTGTGGATCACCTGAAGTCAGGAGATCGGGACCAGCCTGACCAACATGGCAAAACCTTGTCTCTACTAAAAAAAAAAAAAAAAAATTAGCCAGGCGTGGTGGTGGGCGCTTGTAATCCCAGCTACTCAGGAGGCTAAGGCAGGAGAATTGCTTGAACCCAGGAGGTGGAGGTTGCAGTGAACCGAGATTGCACCATTGCACTCCAGCCTGGGCGACAAGAGCAAAACGCAGTCTCAAAAAATAAAATAAAATAAAATAATAAAATAAAATAAAATAAAATAAAATAAATAAAATAAAATAAAATAAAAAATGAATGGACCATTATTAGTGGTTCTAAATGCAAGGTGAGGAAGGTGAGGCTGTCCTCCAATCCAGAGGCCCAGGAAATGTTAGCAATTGCCTAGATGCAGAGGAGTATATTTAGAAGTTTTCTTCACTCATTTATTCAACAAAATTGTGTTGCATGCTTCCTATGTGCCCGGTACAATTTAAGGAATGGGGACTGCATCTAAGATCAGAAAGAGAGAGCTTCTGCATGTGTCAGCTATACTGAGGGATGGGGGAGACTGGCAATAAGCAGAGGCGAATGGGGCACATGGGCGCTGTTAGAGTGAGTGTCAGGGATTCAACCAAAGCAGGTGGGGATGAGGCGTGCTGGGGACAGGCTGGAGATGCCATTTCCAGGAGGATAATCAGAAAATTACGTCACTGAGGAGCCTTCTAGCAAAGATCTGAAGGAAGTCACAGAGCAAACCATGTGGCGTCTAAGAAAGAGGGAACTAGCCAGGGGTTCCCATGAGTGTAAAGGCCCCGAGGCAGGGTCCTGCCTGGGGTTCAGGGTCAGCATGAAGCTGGGACTGGACCGAGGGAGCCAAGGGCAGAGGAGGCCCAGGGAGGGAGGTTGGTCAGGGCGTGTGCACCGGATTGAGTTCTGCCTTGTTGGATGTTGCAGGGACTTGGGTTTCACTGGCAGAGGACTTACTGGTTCCAAGCAGAGGGGTGCTTGATCTAATCTAGGTTCTAAATGTCTGACAGCAGACTGTGATGGGTAGGGTGGGGTGGGCCCGTGTGGAAATAGAAAGTCTTGGTCGGAAGCCAGGGATGATGGTGGCCTGAGCCAGGATGGCCACAGCAGACAGGTGAGGCGTTGTCAGACTCTAGGGCCTCTGGTCCGTGTTCCTGACATTTTCTTAGATGGGCAAGACTGTGGGACTAGCAGCTTTATGGGGGAAGATCTGCAGTTCTTTGTAAACGTGAGCTGCCCACCAGACATTGGACTGCAGATGTTGAGTAAGCCCTTGGCTACGCTAGTCAAAGGTTTCTGTATCATCAGGGGGATGGTGATTTCCACGTGGGCGCACACCACTGCCCCCTCCTCCAAGGTTCCTTCTGCCAAGAAGCCCCATCTTATCCTCCCCTATTGGGCAAACTCCTACTCATCCCCAAGCTTTAGTCTTGATGCCCCCTCCTCCAGAAAGCCTTCTGCAAGCCTCCCGGTGGGTTCTGAGCATGCGTCTCTGCTTCCAGAGCGGCCTGGACACTTAGCCTCGCTGTGTGGCCCTGCTATTGCTAAGTGCTCTTCCCTCCTGGTGGCTAACAGAAGGGAAGGGGCTGAGGTGCTGGGCTCCACAGTGTGCGTGCACCACAGCAAGTGTGCTGCAGGCAGCAGCGGCCACTTCTGGAGCACTCGGTTCCAGGTCCTTTTCCTGCACTGTCCCATAGGCAGCTCTGCCACAGGTACTGTCTGCTTCCACTTTGAGTAAAACGAGGGAGACAGAGAGATGTCACGGGTGACGTGCCAGGTCCGGGGTGACACAGCCTTGTCTCCATCCCTGATCCTGAGTGCTTCCCGATACACCATGGTGCCTGCCACAGAGCAGGTGCTTAACAGTAGGTTGGCTCAACAGGAGGTGGTCAATTGATGTGAATGGAACAGTCACTGGATGCCACAGATCTTCAGGTCCGTGAGGGCCTGTTGTAAGCCATATGAGCGCAGTCCTTGCAGAGCACGGGGCAGAGCCTCCTCTACAATCATGAGTCCAAACCAGCCTGCGGATTCCCACCATTAACTCTCTGCCTCCAAAGGCCCCAGCTGCCTCCCCCAGCCCCACGTTCTCACAGGTCTCACCAGGCCAGTAGGGAGGTCAAGTAGTCGGGCGTGGTAGGGTCCGGGCTCAGGGGAGGGGAAGTCACGAACGCCGCAGCCTTGGCCCAGTTCTTGCTCCAGTAATGGGTGCCATCGGTCCCCAGGCTGGCGGCAATGGGCTCTCCAAAAACTAGGGGCCCTTAGGAGGGGAAAACATAAGCCTGGTTAAAAGCAAATACTCTCTTGAGGCAGATGTCAAAGGCACAAAATTGGAAGACTGTGGAGGGAGAACGGGGCTGGCTGAAGGCCAGAACACTGGCCACCGTTCTTGCAGGCATCACCGCCTGCACCGCAGGGACCTTGGGTGTCCGGGCCCAGCTCCACCACATTGTCGGCGCCCCGCCACGCGCTCCATGGGGCGTACGGCAGCTGACTCACCCAGCAACCTGTGGATATGGCTGTTGCTTTTACGATTTGGACATTATTATGTCCTTTTATAGATTTGTAAGCCAAGCCATGGAGACACGATTTACTCTCTCAGTTAGGGTTCTGCCAGAAGCAGATCTTAGGAATCTAGTTCAAGAGTCTTATTTGGGAGGTGATTCCAGGAAACACTGGCTGGGGATTGAGGAAGTGACATAAGGCAGGGAAAGCAGCCAATAAAGGGAGATTTCTCATCGAGGCACAGCTGAGGGCCCTGGCACTCAGTCCTGCTCGGGAACACGCCTCAGGGTCCTCCCACCCCAGGGGAAAGGGAGTTGGATGTGTTTCTGTCAGCCCAGTGCCGGAGGGCGGCTTCCCGAGCACTAACTTCCCAGAAGTTCCTGCTTGTCTTTCAAGGAGTCGGCCTGGCGGGCTTCTTCCAGAAAAGCCTGCAGGCAGAGGCTCGGGCTCCCCAGGAAAGATCTTTGCATTAGAGACCAAGGGCAAGAGATGTGGCCCGAGACCCCCTGCTGCCCTCGCCTGAGGCCACCTGCTGCCCAGTAGGAGAGGCAGCTGCAAGCTCTGCCCGGCTCTAGGGCAGCCCATCAAGCAGCGCTTTCTGCAGCGAGGGGGGTGCCCTGTATCACAGCTGCCCAACCAGCAACCACCGGCCACATGTGGCTGTTAAGCTGGTGTGGCTGGTGCCACTGAGAAACTAACTTGTTCATTTTACTTAACATTACTTAATTTAAATTTAGATAGCCACGTGTGGTTAGTGGCTACCTTATGGCTTCCTGTAGCTCCAGAACCTGCCTGCTTACCCGCTCCCGGCTGGTACCGCTTCCAGATTTCTGTAACCTCTCTGAGCCCCGGTTTCCTTATCTTCAAAATGGAGCTAGTTTCAGGCAAGCTGTGCTGTTCTAGCCTCTACTTGTCAGCTTGCCCTTAAAAACACTAAAACAACATATTTGGGGTCCACAGCTGCTCTGTCCAATAAGGCAGTCCTGAGCCGCATGTGGCCACCAATAACCTGAGGCTGTGGTTAGTCTGAACTGAGTTGTGTACATGTAAGATACTGAATTTTGAAGAGAGTACAGAAAACATCATGCAAAATATTAATGATTTTTACATTGATGACATGCTGAATTAATATGTGGATCCATTAGATTAAACATAATATATTATTAAAATTCTCTTTAAATGGAGCTGAGCTTATCGAGGTGAATATCCTAAGGTCATTGGGACCAAAGAATTCCAGCCACCATCCTTGTGTCAGGAGCATCCCCGCTCCACCCCTCCCTCCTCCGGCTGCCTGTCTGAGTTCGGGAGGGAGTGAACTTGAACCTGCAGGACACCCCCTTCCAGGCCCCAGCTGCCCCCAGAAGGCCCAGGGCCGGCTGCATACCTTTCTTCCTGGCCAGAGCGATGATGTCGGCTGCACTCTTGCTCATGACCTTGGTGATGTACACAGGGCAGTTGATCCGGCCCGCAATGGTGATGGCCCGGAACACCGCCTCGGCCTCCAGCTGAACACGGCACACACAGTGTCACAGGAGGGAAGGCTGGTGTAACAGCTACCACCCATCTCCATTTTCCTTAATTGAATGTGATCAGAAGGGAAATCTGCTCCATTGAATGAGAAGGACATACTGAGTCCAACAGCGCTTGACAGTGCCCCCTGCTCTCCGGGGTGGAGCATTGGTCTCACGCTGGGATACGGCAGCAACATCCAAGCGCTATACAAGTTTATAGCACTGCCTCCCAGTTCTGTCCTGACCTCACCATGGGCCAGGAACATACAGCTCGTGGCCATCCCTGGGCTGTGGAGCTCATGAAGAGCACTGGGTGGGATCTCAAGCCCCTCAGGACACGGAACCTGTCCACTCATGTGGACTCATGTCTGTGTCCCCTGTGTCCAGCAGACACCAGGCCCAGGGCATGGGCCCAGAAGACTCGGTAATGACCTGATGAGGACATCAGAAAATGTCCTCAACTTGGCCAGGCACGGTGGCTCACACCTGTAATCCCAGCACTTTGGGAGGCCAAGACGGATGGATCACTTGAGGTCGGAAGTTTCAGACCAGACTGGCCACCATGGTGAAACCCAGTCTCTATTCACGAGGTCAGGAGATCGAGACCATCCTGGCTAACACGGTGAAACCCTGTCTCTACTGAAAATACAAAAAATTAGCCAGTGTGGTGGCAGGTGCCTGTAGTCCCAGCTACTTGGGAGGCTGAGGCAGGAGAATGGTGTGAACCCGGGAGGCAGAGCTTGCAGTGAGCCAAGATGGCGCCACTTCACTCCAGCCTGGGCGACAGAGCGAGACTCTGTCTCAAAAACAAACAAAACAAACAAACAAAAAACACAAATTAGCCAGGCGTGGTGGCACAGGCCTGTGCCTAGTGCTCCTAGCTACTTGGGAGGCTGAGGCAGGAGAGTCACTTGAACCCAGGAAGCGGAGGCTGCAGTGAACCGAGATCATACCACTGCACTGTAGCCTGGGCAACAGAGAGAGACTCCATCTCAAAAAAAAAAAAAAAAAAAGAAAAGAAAGAAAGAAAGTAAAAAGAAGGTGTCCTCAACTCAAAGGATGGCTGCCAGGGTGCCCACTCTATTCCATGCCCGATCAGCTTGCCTTCCTCCTTCCACACTCCCTGCAGGTGCATGCACATGCACCCACACTCACACACTCTCTCACACACACACACACACACTCACTCACACACACACACACGCACTGTCTCTCTCACACACACACACTAACATACACACACTCACACACACACATACACACACAGCCAGTCCAGGGGAAGTCATCCTTTTTCAAGGCTTGGGAACAGGGCAGGCAGTGGGAGTTGTCTCCTGGGTGCTGGGCTTGGGCATGCGGCTCCACTTTCCTATTATCCACTATGCCATGTCCTCCATGAGAATCCGTATCCACTTGGGACACTGAAGCACCCACGGGGCCTTGGAGTGAAGTTCCAGGACCCTGGGAGAGGCAGCACCTCTTCCTGTCTTCTCCAGCCAGCAGTCCCCAGGGTTCCCGGGGAAAACAAGATGGTTTGGGATGGTCTGGGAGAGGACACGGGAAGAGGCCGGGTCCTGGCTGGGCTACTCCAGCTGGAACAGCATCAAGGTGAGTGCTCAGTGGTGAGTGTCAGAGTCATGCCCAAGTTGAGGAGTCCTTACCTCTTCAGGTCTGCTCAGGGCATGGCCCTCGGGACCCGTGATGCCCATCTCCAGGATCCGCTTTTGTTCCTACAAGACAAGAACAAGTGAGTTAACGATTAGAGGGTGTCAGAGCTGGGAGAAGTGACTCCTCCAACCCCCTGGTTAGACAGAGGGGGCAGCTGGGTCCCAAAGAGGCGAGTGGCTTGCACTAGGTTAACAGTGTGCGGGGTGGGGGCAGTGAACTGTGTCCCCTCCACTACACACCCATCCACCTTCCCCTTTGTAGCCCTGCATGGCTCCATCTGCACCTGCTTTATATTGAATCTCCCGGGATCAATGAGAGGAAGCAGGGTTATAAGACACGAGCTTCCAAGGCCACCCACCACTCTCTGAATCTCGGAGTCTCCCTGCAGGCCTCTCCTCTGGGAAGAAACGTGGTGTTTGGGTACAACATGGATATCTTCAACTAGGAATCCTACTCTAGTCTTTGATGTTGAAATCAAAGATCCCGAAACTGGGAGTCCAGATCCAGAACAGCCGTCTCTGTGACTTTGGGCAGGTTGGTCAAGCTCTCTTGACCTCAGTCTCCTCTTCTGTACACTGGGGATAACGGTGCTTGTACTGCAGAGTTACTACGCTGATCAGATGAGCGAGCATACGAAACATGCTCAGCACAAAACCTGGAGCTGAGCGAGCACACGCTCATTAATTGGCAGCCGGCTCTCATACCTACTTCAGCTGCCTCTTCCTGGCATCTGTCTTTATGGCGGGAAACCACTACCTGAAACTTATCATATAACCTTGAAATGGTTCCCTGGGCTGATGGCCTAGATTCAAATCCATCTGGTCCAAAGTTTCTTTGTCCCAGGAACACTTTAATTTCTAAAATAAAAAATAAAAAAAAAATTTGACATTGCCCAGATGCCAGCTGTACTGCTGCTAATTTTAACTTCCTCAGTGTCTGTGTCATTGTTCTTAGACATCACCCCGTCATGAACCCTGGGCCTCATCACCCATGAAAAGAAATCACAATCTCAACTGCGCGTCTATGGTTATTAAGCTCGAGGTTATTACAAGAATATAAATGGGAAACCATTTCAAAGTCTAACAGCTGGGTAGATTGAAGTAAACAATGGAATAATTTCAGCTACCGAAGACACTGTTTACAAAGCATTTTTAGAAAATGTTTACAAAAAGATTTTAGAATACCGAGAAATCCCTCTGTGAAATTGTTTACATGTCAGTTACTATTCTGGAAGGAAAGAGGAAGTAAGGAGGGGGAGGGCAGGGGAGGGAAGGGGAATGGAGGGAAGGGGAGGAAGGGAAGAAAGCCAGGAGGGAGGGAGAAGAGGCGAGGAAGGGAGGATGAAAGATGACATGATGAAGAAAAACAAAGACGAGAGTAGGATTTCTAGTCTAAAATAATGGACTACACACATGCATTTGTTTCACTGCCTTCCAAAACACACAGAAGTCACAAGAGAAAGAGACACACAGGAACCAAGAAACTACAGAGAAGACCAGAGGAACAAAATGTTGAAAGCTGGAAAGCAGATGTCCAAAAGGTGATGGATGTGCTGGAGCTGGAACAGCTAAATCTCTGCTGGCAGTGAGGAGAGCAAAGCCCCTTATGTGCCACTCAGGAGCTGGGGGCTGCAGGCTGGACCTCTCTCACACTGGTGCAGGGGTGCGTGCACGCTGGGAAACTGTGTAGCAGTAACCACTAACGCTGAATCTACACACACCCTAGGACCCAGCCATTCCTCTCTTAGGTATATACCAGCTAAAGATGTGAACCTATGGTTAATAAAAGGCTGAACAAGAGTGGAGCAAGAACAAGCACAGAAGCCTCACGCATCACGGTTCCAAATGTGAAACTATCCAAATATCCAACAACTGGAGAATACATTGTGCAGATTCGTGCGGTGGAATTCTACACACCGATGAAATAGAAAAAGCTAGTGCTATGCCTGGCCAAAGATGGATCTCACACGCCTCGGATTGAGCAAATGGAGCCGGACATAAGACAGTGTGTGCTGTATGCTTCCATTTTTAGAAAGTTTAAAATCAGCTAAGATTTGTGTGGCAGCAACTTCTAAGATGACTCCCAGTGATCCCGCCTCCTGCTTTTCAAGGCCCTGCAGGGTCCCCTCCCCTGGAGTGTGGGCTGGACCCAGCACCTTGCTTCTGATGAGCAGAACAAGACAAAAGGGTTGGGCTGTCACTCCCGAGGTCAGGTTACAGAGACTCTGGCTTCCGACCTGCTCACCTACTGCTTTTTGGTTAATCTGCTCTGAAGGAAGCCGCCTCGCTGGGGCTGCCCATGTGCAAGGAACCGAGGGAGGCCTCTGGCCAGCAGCCAGCAAAGAACAGACCATCACATTAGCCTGACAGCTAGCAAGGAGCTATATCCAGAAATACACCACCTACGAGAGGCTGGATGCAAATCCTGCACCAGTTGAGCCTTGAGATGCTCACCGCCCCCAACCTGCCACTCACTATGGCCTGTGAGACCCTCAGCCAGAAATAGCTGAGCTGCACCTGGAGTCCAGACCCACAGGACCATGAGATAATTTGCTTTAAGACGCTATGTTCTGAAGTAATTTGTTATGCAATCATGGATGACTAGTACAGGTTTTGTTACCAGAAGTAGGGTGTTACCATAAAAGATATCTAAATGTGTGGAAGAGGATCTGGAACCAGGCAGCAAATGAATTCCCAAACAGCAATTTAAATAGCCTTGAATGGACTCTTAGAAGAAATAGGGCCTCTGAGGACATTGAGTCCTCACAGGAGGCAAGAAGCAGCCATAAACAGTCTTGCGAAGAAACCAAGGATGTGAGTCTACAGCCCCTTGTTAAGAACTCAGAAAGATGAGGGGTGGTGCCTCCCAGTATTATCAGCCACAAGAAAGAGATCCTTTAAATAGGGACCTTTTAGGCTGGGCATGGTGGCTCACACCTGTAATCCCAGCACTGTGGGAGGCCGAGGCGGGCAGATCACTTGAGGTCGGGAGTTCAAGACCAGCCTGGCCAACATGGTAAAAACCCATCACTACTAAAAATACAAAAATTAGCTAGGCGTGGTGGCGCATGCCTATAGTCCCAGCTACTCAGGAGGCTGAGGCACAAGAATCACTTGAACCCAGGAGACGGGGGCTGCAATGAGCCAAGATTGCACCACTGTACTCCAGTGTGGATGACAGAATGAGATTAAGTCTCAAAAAAATTTAAAAAAAATTTTTTTGAAGAGACATTTCAAAGAGATGAAGGCTGTGCCTGTGGACCATCTCAGTCAAACTACAGGGCCTCTGGGAAGCTTGCAGTTGTGTCTCTCAGCTCTCTCATCAGGGTAGCGGAGGGATTATCTGGAAGAAGTGGGTGCCTTTTGTCTTATGGTGTGAACCCCAGCGAGATTCACAGGAGGTCCACAGATTTTTAGGAGAGTTGCCTTAGCAAAATACTGGAAGCTGAGACTGAACACAGGCATGTGATGTGAAAAGAAGCAGTTGGATCCCCAAAATTCTTTTTTTTTTTAAGACGGGGTCTCACTGTCACCCAGGCTGGAGTGTAGTGGCGTGATCTCATCTCACTGCAACCTCCACCTCCCACATTCAAGCAATTCTCCTGCCTCAACCTCCCAAGTAGCTAGGATTACAGGCACCCGCCACCATGCCCGGCTAATTTTTTTTTTTTTTTTTTTTTTTTTTTTTTTTTTTTTAGTAGAGGCAGTGTTTCGCCATGTTGGCCAGGCTGGTCTCAAACTTCTGACCTCAGGTGATCTGCCCGCCTTGGCCTCCCAAATTGCTGGGATTACAGGCATGAGCCACCGTGCCTGGCTGATCCCTGAAATTCTACTGAGCAAGAAGCAGGCTGAGAAAACCACTCAGCTGCAGACATGTACTACCTTTCACGAAAAAGGATGGATGACTCAGAGGATGGAAGCAGGAGCTCAGAAGGTAGAGCCAAGAGCTATGGAGACTTATTCTCAGGCTTTGAAACCCAGTCAAGGAACTGCCAACATTTCCCAGCCAGATTTCAGAACCGCCATGAACCAATAACTCCTTGGTGCCTTCTATTTTTCCCTTTTTGAATAGGAATGTCAGGTCCACCACTGCATGTTGTATATCAGGAGGGTCAGGGAGATATCTTCCTTCTTTAGCTTCATAGACCTACAGATTATGGGAAATACAGCCAAGGAGCCTCATCCACACCTGGACCTGGTTTGGATGATGAGATTCCAGACTGTGAACTAATGCTGTTATGAGATTTTGGAGAACCATGGGAAGGGGTGATTGTAATTTGCATGGGAGAGGAACATCAATCATGGGGGCCAGAAGACAGATTGGGAGGAAGTCTCAGATGTGGCCCTAATAATTCTCACTTCCTGACATTCCTGCCCTTGTATAATCCCTTCTTTTTGAGTGTGGGCTGGATGCAGTGACCTGTTAGCAATGAACAGAATACTCTTGCATGATGGAACTAAGGCACTGTTGGTTTTTTACATTGAATTTGAAAGAATTTCAATTGTGCAGGAAAACTACAAGGACTCAGATAAGAAGAAGTGAAGTCAATGAACCTTAATGGTGAAGCTTTAGATCTCCAGCACTGAACCATCATGTTGCTCTTCCACTGCGCTCTGGAACTAGAGGGAACTGGTTAACATCCTAACTCTACTGCCCCATGAGCAACAGTGAGCAACTTATTCATATCTGAGCTTCAGTTTCCCTATCTATAAAATGGGAATAATTATATCTACCTCACGGAGTAGTTGTGAGTATCAATATGTGAAGTCCTTTGCATCATGTCTGGCATTAACTACCTTTACTGGCTGCATCCAAACCTTCCCCTATAAGCCTGGCTTGATTTACAACATTATAACCAATCCATGCCTCTGCACCAGAGACCCAGGAGCCTGCCTGACTTCTTTCTCTTCTTCCTCCACCCAATCCGTCCATGGGTCCTGTAGATTGTGTTTCCCTCCTGTCATGCTCACCTCTTCCATCTCCTATCTCCTCTCTTCATTTCTTATGAGACTTGCTGAAATAGAACCTAGCTAGTCACCCTGACTTCATTTTTTTTTTTTTTTGAGACAGAGTCTCACTCTGTTGCCCAGGCTGGAGTGCAGTGGCGTGATCTCAGCTCACTGCAAGCTCCACCTTCCAGGTTCAAGCAATTCTCTGCCTCAGCCTCACACCTGATAATGGCTGTATTCTCACCTGTAATACCTGTATTCCCACCTGTAATAGCTGGGATTACAGGTGTGCTCCACCACACCCAGCTAATTTTTGTATTTTTTAGTAGAGATGGGGTTTTGCCATGTTGGCCAGGCTGGTCTCACACTCTTGGCCTCAAGTGATCAGCCCACCTCGGCCTCTCAAAGTGCTGGTATTACAGGCGTGAGCCACAACTCCCAGCTTTCATTCTTTTCCCAACAAATTCTCCACTCCACAGCTAGAATTATCAAAATATGTTCATGTCTCATTTTATCCAAAACTTTTGCATGGCTGCAGTCCATTATGTGTCAGATTCTGAACCTCACATACACGATGTCTTACTCTGTTTTCTGATGCTATTACAGAATACCATAGACTTGGTAATTTTACAGAAAATAAGTGTATTTCCCATGGTTCTGGAGGCTGGGAAATCTAATAACAAGGTGCCAGCATCTGGTGAGGGCCTTCTTGCTGCATCATAGCATGGCGGTGGGCATCACATGAGACAGCAGGTGCATGCCAGCTCAGGCCTCTCTTCTTCTCCTTATAAAGCCACTAATCCCGTCATAAGGCCCCCACCCTGATGATCTCATCTAATCCAAATTACCTCCCTAAGGCCTCACCTCCAAATACCATCAACATACTAGCTTGTGCATTAAGTTTTCAACATATGAACTTTTGAAGGACACATTCAAGCCATGGCACATAATATCATTTGATCCACACAATAACACTGCCAGGTGGTTGTTTCTGGAAGAAAAATAAGAGTGTTCATGGGAAAAAGTTCCTTGCCCAAGGTCACATGGCTAGGAGATGGAGGAGACTGGCATGGAACACCTCCTCCAAGCCTGGGCTTTTCCATGATGCCCACTCCCAATTCCTGAAGACAATGAGGAACACCAGCTTCCATGTGCATTGCCACTGGTATGACCTAGGTTTGCAAAGCATTTTCATTCATATCTGATGTGTCTGATATGACACCCAGTTCCTGGCTTGACCTTTCATTGTACAGCCTCCTCACTAACCAATGCTCTTTTATCAAACCTTTTGCAACAAGGAGAATCAGACTGAGGTAGAAGGAGTGGAAATTCTTGCCACTCACCTGAGCTATCAAATCTCCATTTTCTGCATGGACCAAGATCACAGCTCCCAGGCCCTTAAGGAAGGTAAAGGCTTCATAGAGCTATGGAGAGATAAACAGGGGTTGGTGTGAGATTTAAAAAAAAAAAAAAATCACAGCGTGTGCATTCATGAAGACCGTTCCGATCACACCCATTCGGTCATTCACCTGCCAGCCTCTGCAAACACATTCATGTGGATGGAATACGCTGCTACACAAGTCAGACTTGGAAGGATCATTCCTTGACCCTGACATCTTGCAGACCCAAAAGCAGGAAGCTGAGGATGGGGCACAACTGGTCCAAGTCACCCCAGGGCATGAAGACAGACTCAATCTCAGTGCCTATCTATGCCTTTTGCTGTCTTTTTGGGTTGGCTTTTTTGAAACACCTGTAGGTGTTAATGGCAGCAACTGGTCCTGAGAAGTCACTGTTAGTTTTACAGAAATTATCTAACTAAATCTGCTAAGCCTGTACCATAGCCACCTACATGCCACAGAATATGTGTGCATCCTTACAAAAATATGAACCCATGCCATTTTATGGACAATGGTGGGGTGGGGGAAACCAGCTCTCTAATAACTCCAATACTCAGAAAATATATAGCATGCCAACCATCCTCTCAATTAGACAAAACAGGCCCTCCCCACTGCCCAGTGTTCTCTTCCTACCTGAGGAGAATCTGCATTTGGGCATTGCCCCTGGTAAGGGCCAAAGCCACGAAGCTCCCTCTCCAGGGACACTTGAACCTCAACTTTGTTCTCCATGCATGCAAGACAACATCCCCTCGGATGTCTGCTTTCCGACAGACATCCCTATTTCAGCAAATAGGGAAGGCATGTGGAGGCATGAAGCACTTTTGAGAACCTGCACGCAGAGGCTGCTCGATTCCATCCATGCCCATGGCTCCAGTAGTTAGAATGAAACAGGTGAAAATCACAATTATGCCAGCACATCACATGCTATGTTTTCTATGTAACTGAACCAATTTTCAGCTCTTTGAGTGTCTTTTGTTGACTGTATCAAAGGCCTCCAGGACATCTTGGGATAAGTTATTTTCTGTAACCCCAAGTGTTTATCTGAAAGGAAGGACATAAAGTGCTTCTCCCGTTGCCCATCTATCTTCATGGTAATAACCAATTACCCTGCTAACTGATGCCTGTATGGCACCATTCTCTGCTAGGCACCATCCTAGCACTTTACTCTTCTTATGAAATCATTCAACTGCCTCTATAAGGTAGGGCTATCATGAGCCTAAAGCACAGAGAAGTTGGGAAAGCTGCCCCTGGCTGCAGAGCAAGCACCTGGCTTGGCTGTAGCCTCCATGATTTTCTCCACCACACTAACAAGCAGAGCAAGGGAAACTGACAATGAAACAAAACTAGGAGACCCAGTAGTATAAGAAGGCCAGGTGTCCTGTAAGTCGTAACCACTCCTCCTGAAGAACAACTTGCGGCTCCATATCCCTTGACTTGGTGCATGTACATAATAATTGTTTGCTGTTGGCAGGGCCAGAAATGTTCCATCTTACAAATGTGAGGAGATGACTTGCCCAGCATGTTGCAGTTGCTGTGAGGGAAGGCCAGGCAGTCTCTCTTCCTGTGTCAGAGCTCATAAATGGTCCCCATCCTTGCCTGAATACCAGGATCAAACGCAGAGCTTTCGGGAAGTACAGGCTCCTGAGTCCAACACCCAACATCTGGAACATGCACTAAGAATCTGTATTTCAAGTGAGCTCTCCAGATGATGCTGAGGATAAGCCAGATTTGGGAGCCACCAAACCAGGGAACCCCTTCTGCATGCCACTCACACAGTCAGAAAAGAACAGAAGCCCAGCTGGGGCAATGACTGACACCGTATCACACAGCCATTCCATGCCAGAACCAGGACTCGAATCCCACGGCTTCTCACAATCTCCCTTGCCCTGTGCTGCCTGGACTGGCAAAGCTGGCCCAGTCCTGCCCAGACAAGAGAGGAGAGAGTGAGTGTGAGGGACCTACCTGGCTGTCGGACATTTGGTAGACATCCTTATAGGCCATGTAGACTTGGAAGGAATTGACGCCTGTTTCAAGATAGAAAGGATAGAAAAATATGTTTAAGAAAAAACAGAAGCATGTCTTTCCAATAAATCAATGACCACAGAGCAGAGTGGTAGTCGCCAGGAGAGATGAGTGCCATTGGGATCCCCAGTGGGGCACCTATCCAGCCTGAGGATGTGGGCGAAGGTCAAAGGAAGCTTCCAGGGAAGGTCACACCTAAGCAGAATCTGAAGGTGATGGAGGAGAAAGGGAGGAGAAGGAGGAGGAAGGGGAGGAGAAGGAGAAAGAGGAGGAGGAGGAAGAGGAGAAGGAGGAGGATGAAGAGGAGGAGAAAGAGGACAAGGAGGAAGAGGAAGAGGAGGAAAAAGAAGAGGAGGAGAAAGAAGGAGAAGGGGAGGAGGAGGAGGAAGAGGAGCAGGAGGAGGAAGAGGAAGAGGAAGAGGAGGAGGAAGAAAAAGGAGAAAGAGAAGGAGAAGAGGAAGAGGAGGAAGAGGAGGAGAAAGGGAGAAGAAGGAGGAAGAGGAAGAGGAGGAGGAAGAGGAAGAGGAGGAGAAAGAGGACGAGGAGGAGGAGGAAAACTCCCCAGGCTGAGAGGGAGGGGTGTGGTAAGGATAAGGAAGGGTGTGATGAGCATCTGCAATACGGAAGATGAAAAGACATTAGTCATGCAGCTTCTAGAAAGTGTCCTAAAGCATGTGCTTTTTTATCCCATTTCTTTAAAGAATTGTGTTTGCAATTCCCATAAAGACATCAACAGTGACAGCTGCTCCGTCAGGGAGAGCTGAGTTCAGGCCTCAGTTGCTGTGTGGCACTTGAGACGTTACTGCACCTCTCTGGGTTTCACTTTCCCCATTTCTGCAAAGAGGACATTACACCAAACGTGTTGGTTTCCCATCCTGGAAATGCCCTGCACTGGACTGCACAGTACACTCATGACAAATAGCAAGATTTCTGGGCAAGCCCTTCTGACTTAGAGAAGGACGCACTAAAATGCTTCAGGACCAAGGAAACCAGGCGTGTTCCTCCTCCCTTTCTTCCCTCCCTCCCTGCTTCTCTCCTCTTTTCCTTTCCTAACTTATTTATTCATGTTACAAACACTTACTGAGAGCCTGCTGTATGCTGGGCATGTGCTAAGCACTTGAGATACAGAAGTTACTAAAGGCATCTTTCATGAAATCAATCAGCTGGTCCACTGATATTGGATGCAACTCTCTGTGCAGGTCCCAGCCATGCAACTGTGAGTAAGACGACAAGTCCCTGCCCGTAGGGGGCTCGCCATCTGGGCTGGGGTGTGGGAGTATCAGCAAGTCAATGGGCAAAGACAACTTAGTCTGATGATCCCTATGTGGGGGATGCATGGGGGGGTTGCATCTGTCAGGGGGCTTCAGGGAAGGCTTCCCAGGGGAGTACAGCTCAGCACGAACAGGAGAATCGCTAGGAAAAGGCAGGGAGACTGTTCCTGAAGGGGCCAGTACTCACTCACACAGCCCCAAGAGCCAGAGGCAGCCTCGAGCAGATGGGAAACGGAGGTGCAGGGGGCTGGGGCTCTGGGCCCCAGGAACTGGAACAAGCCAGTCTGGAGGAGCAGGCGCATCCTGATGAGCCAGGCAGACAGCTTGCAATTTATTCTGGGGATAATGTGGAATTGCTGAGAGCATTTAAGCTGATTAGAAAATAAAAACACAGGTGGGAGCAGTGGCTCACGCCTGTAATCCCAGCAATTTGGGAGGCCAAGGCAGGTGGATCACCTGAGGTCAAGAGTTCAGGACCAGCCTGGCCAATATGGTGATACCCCGTCTCTACTAAAAATACAAAAATTAGCCGGGTGTGGTGGCAGGTGCCTGTAATCCAAGCTACTTGGGAGGCTGAGGGGGAAGAATCACTTTAACCTGGGAGGCAGTGAGCTGAGATCTCGCCATTGCACTCCAGCCTGGGTGACAGAGTAAGACTCCATCAGAAGGAAAGAAAGAAAGAGCTGCATCTAAGAGATAGCAAGTGTTGATGAGGATGTGGAGAAAAGGCAATTCCTGAGCACCGTTTGTGGGAATGTAAATTAGCACAGCCACCTCTATGGGGAACAGTACGGAGGCTCCTCACAAAACTAAGAACTGAATTACCATATGCTTCAGCAGTCCCACTACCGGCTGAAAATCCAAAGGAATTGAAATCAGAATACCCAGGGGATATCCCCACTCCCGTGTTCATTGAGGCATTGTTTATAACAGCCAAGATTAGGAAGCAACCTGTGTCCATCAATGAATGAATGGATTTTATAAATGTGGTAAACATACACAATGGATGCCTTAGTAAAGAAGGACATCGTGTCATTTGCAGCAACAAAGTTGAAGCTGTGGAACCCTATGTTAAGGGAAATAAGTCAGGCACAGAAAGGCAAACACTGCAGCATCTCACTTATATGTGGAATCTAAAAAGTTGATTTCATAGAAGCATACAAAGTTGAAAGGTTGCTGCCAGGACCTGAGCACCATCGCCATTCGCCTGCTGGTGACCCAGCCCAGATGCGCACAGCACAGGGCTCCCTGGATGCCTGCAGGCAGCACAGACCCACTAGGCCTCACGGAGCCCAGTGTCTTTCCCTACAAACTCCACTGCCACTCCAGAGACCCTCCCATCTCAGTGAGGGGCGTCCTAAACGACCATTTGCTTAAGGCGGCAACCTGGGGAAAATTGCTCAGAACTTAACATTAGGTAAGGAAAGTAAGATACAAGACTGTCAATTTCCTTGGATTATGACTCTGTTATGTAGTTGCAGTGAATCACGCAGCAACTGCAATACAAGGATAATGCCTTTTTCTTTTAAAAGATAGGGTCTCACTCTATGAGCCAGGCTGGAGTGCAGTGCTCACTCCAGCCTCAACCTCCCAAACTCAAGCAATGCTCCTGCTCAGCCTCCCAAGTAGCTGGGAGGCGTACACCACCACTCCTGGCTATGTTTTTTTTTTTTTTTTTTTTTTTTTAATAGAGTCGTGGTCTCACTATGTTGCCCAGGCTGGTCTCAAACTCCAGGCCTCAAGCAATCCTCCCTCCTCAGCCTCCCGAAGTGCTAGGATTACAGGCATGAGCCACCATGGCCAATAATGCCTTCTTGATAGAAAGAGCTTAAACAGACATATGAAAATGCAAATTGAAGAGTGGGCAAATAATACAATCAGCTATTCACATAAGGAAAAATGTATGCAAAATGTTGAATGTAATCAGTAAAGAACTGCCATGAAAACCACAATGGTGGTGTCTTTCACCCATCGAATCGGCAAGGATTTCATAGAAGCAATAATGCCCAATGGTGCAAAGGTGCAGGGACTAGAGATTCTGGCATAGGATTTGCAGGGGTACAAGGGGATGCATCTTTCAGGAAACCAATTTGGCAATAAGTGTCATAATCTTGAAAAATGTTAAAACCTCTGACCTTCTAATTCCACTTCTGGAAATCTAAAGAAAAATTAGAAATGCAAACAAATGTTTATATACAAAGATGTTCACCGTAACAGGATTTATAATAAAACGAATAGAAAGCATAAATGCCCAATAAAAAGAAAATAGCTAAGCAAATTAACCATTATATTATACATTACAAGCCATTAAAAAGTTATTGATGAAAAGTAATTTGACTCATAAAATGTTAAGTGAAAAAAGAAGGGTTCCACATAACAGCTATTGCACAACCACATAGGGGAAAAATCATCCAAATACACAGGGAATGGAAAGCAATAATCCTGCACATTTAGAGTAAATTGTGATTGGGGGTAGAACCAGAGGAAAACAATTTTTTTCCTTCCATTTTCTGACTTTCTTTAAATATTGGGGATGATACTGTTATTACGAGAAAACATAGCACAGCTATTTTAAAAATTGGAAACACACCCTCGCTCTCCTTGAAGCACCACCATTTGAGGCTGCCTCCTCAGAGGGCTCCCCGACTGCCCCTTTCTGGACAGATCGCTCATGCCCTGTCTCTTTCCATTCTGCTGTTCTTTGCTTCCTTTGTGTCTTCTGATCAGTTCCCCCCAGTTCGATGTAACACACACCATAAAGGTCTACACTGTGCTGGTGTGAACCCAAACAGAGGGGAGCCAAGGTGGGAAGCAGGGACATATAGACGTGGTCCCCTCCCTCACAGAGCTCAGGGTTTGGCAGAAGAGCCAGACAGACAAACCATGTCCCATAATCCAGGAACAATGGAAAAAGTGCCCCAAAGGAGGCCTAAGTAACCGGCATTGGCTATTCAAGGAATGAAGCAATGGGAGAAGGTAATGGTTGAGTTGGGTCTTGAAGGTGAGTAGCACTGGGCAGGCAGAGGAGAAAGGGCATTCATTCCTGGCAGGGGATCCACATGAGCAAGGGCCTCACAGCATAGCCAGTTTCAGGGATGGCAGCCAGGCTAGTGATCCGGGTGATGGAAAAGAAAAGTGAAGTTAGATCAGCAAGGGCCTGGGCACAGCAGGCTGCAGAGACTGGATCTGCTTCTGAGAACAAGGACACCCCCAGAGGTTTTCAAGGAGAAAAGGATGGACTCTGTAAAGGGACTGGCCTGTTTCCTCACTGTCACGTGGCAGAGTGCAGCTCATAATCAGGCTCAGAACAGATGCAGACAGGGGGATTTTTCACTCCACATAATCTTTGGATCTACCAAAGAACAAGGGATTCCCCAAAACCCCGTTCCGAGGCTTTAACTGACCTTTGTCCTGCACCAGCACCTCCAGCTCCTCCCGAACGCCATCGTACCAGCTTGTGATGTCCACGTGGAGGGAGTAATCACAGCAGGATTTGGTGTCAGCTGCTTCGTGCCACTTCTCGAAAGAGGTCAGTAGGCTGGACCCAGGTTCAGGAACAACATGGTCAACTGGGACAGAGAAATATGCATCATGATGCTTCAGACTCAAGTGTTCCAATGGTAGCCACATCATTACCACTACCACCATCATCACCATCATTACCATCACCACCATCATCATCATCACCATAATTATCACACCATCACCATTATCACTATGACAGCCACCATCATTATCACCACCACAATCATCACCATCATTATCAACCCATCACCATGACCATCATTACCATCACCATCATCATCATCATTACCATTATCACCACTACCACCACCATCATCACCATCATTATCACCCCATCACCATCATCACCATGACCGCCACTATCATCATCATCATTATCAACCCATCACCATGACCATCATTACCATCACCATCATCATCATCATTACCATTATCACCACTACCACCACCGTCATCACTATCATTATCGCTCATCACTATCATCACCTCCACCACCATCACTATCATCATCATTACCATCAGCACCATCATCACCACCACCACCATCCACTATCATTACCACCATCCACTATTATCACCACTATCATTGTCACCCCACCATCATCACCATCACCACCACCACCACCATCATCATCATTACTAACATTATCACCACCACCACCACCATCACCACCATCATCACCATCACCACCACCATCCACTATCATCACCACCATCCACTGTTATCACCACCATCCACTATCATCACCACCATCTGCTATCATCACCACCATCCACTATTATCACCACTATCATTATCACCCCACCATCACCACCACCACCATTATCACTAACATCACCACCACCACCACAATCATCACCATCACCACCACCACCATCCACTATCATCACTACCATCCACTATCATCACCACTATCATTGTCACTCCACCACCATCATCACCACCCCATCACCAGCACCACCATCATCACCATCACCATCATCATCATCACTATCATTATCACCCCATCATCATCATCACCATCTTCATCACCACCATCCTATCACCATCATCATCATCCCTATTATCACCCCATCGCCATCACCACCATTATCATCACCATCATCACCATCCTTTTCATAATCACTCCCACCATCATCATTGTCATACTGCCATCACTCACTATCATTAACCATAACCATTAGCAATGACATCATCACCATCATCTTCAGTCTTCATTACCACCATCATCACCACCATTGTCATCATCATCACCATCATCATAACTATTTATGGAATGCTTACTATTTGTCAGATAATGCCACAAAAGCTTGACATAAGTTCGTTCATTCAATCCTCACAACTGTCCTGTAAAGTGAAAATTAATATACCCATTTTGCAGATGAAAAACTTGAGGCTCAAAGAGGGTAAAGCAATTGTCCAAGAGCGTACAACTAGTAAGCAGAAGAAGGAAGGTTATCCAAGACCTGTCAGACAGTCTGAACTCTTACCCACTGCTCCAAGCTACCTCCTTTGGCACAGAATGCCAAGATGAAAAGGGCCTCCGAGACCCAACAAGTTCACTTCATCATCCTTTTTTCAAATAAAATCTTAAATGTAAAGTAGATGAGAAAGGGGAGCCTGCAGTCAGTCTTTTAAACCTCCCTTGAGGCTTACTGCCCTGTTTCTTTGCACCCCCACCCTTCACAGGCAGATGTCAAAAAGAGAAGTCTCACCTCTCCTCCTCCCACTCACACCTCCATCCACTTAAAGCATCAGGCTTTGCTAATATGACCCTCACATCTCTAGGTCTAATGGGGAGCATGCAGTCCTCAGTCTCTTGGCCTCTCAGGGCACAGAGAGTCCCTCCCTCCTTCCTTAAACTCGCTTCTCTCCAGCTTCCATGGCAACGCCACCTTCTGGCTTTTTCGTTCCTTTGTCCTACTTCTTTGGCTGCCGCTTCTCAATCATCCTGAGGACTCCATCCCCTACTGTTCACTATGCTTACTAATTGGATCCCTTTTCTTTGTGCCAGCTCATTGAAACACACCACTTGCTCTGAGCTACAGAACTCTGAACCCGGTTGTGTTCTTGGCTTCTCCACCGAGATGACTCAAAAGCTCCCCCAAATGAGAATGTCCAAAACCTCATGCAATACTCTCCCCACCCCGACCCCAGCTGTGGTGGACATCACCAACCAACGGTTCCACAGCCAGAGGCCCAGGTCACCCGTGGCACTTCCTTTCCCTCACATGCCCCCGTGTGTGACCCAGCACCGAAGGCTGTTGACTGGCCTCCTCCATATCCCTGGAGCTGTCCAATTCTGCCCACTCCATGGCCACGCCACCCTCATCTCTCAGCTGAATTACGCAATCGCCTCCCAACTGGTCCAGACACATCCCATCCAGGCCACTCTATTACCGGTCTCTCCAAAACACAGAACAGTTCACATCTCTCCCTGCTTAAAATACCTCAACATTGCCCATCACCCATATGAGAAAGAGCCACAGCCTCATCAGGCCATCGAGGCCCAGGGTTGTCCTCTCCTTCCAGCCTTGCCTCACAGGATGTCATCCCTCAATCTCGACACCCCTGCACCGTGGGCCTCCCTGCAGTCTCTGGAATGGGAGGTGTGTTCTCACCTCAGGGCCTTTGCACATGCTATTCCCTCCTCCTGGGGCTCTGCTTTTCTCTGCCCTCTTCTCCCGGTTAATTCCAACTCATCCTTCAGATCCCTGTACGAATGTCACTTCTTCAGAGAACACTTCCCTGAGACCCTGCCCCTCAGTTCAAAGCACTGTGTACCCTTCTTTTGTAGCAGGAGTCACAGTTTCTAGTCATACATGTGGACGATTAGTGACTCCCCAAGAGATGGCAGTCCCCTTGACAACGAGCATCATTCCTGCTTTTGTTCACCTGGTACAGTGCCTGGTGCGGACAACTCTTACTTAACATCTGTTGAATGAAGATGGGGAAGGGCGGGGACCCTTTCAGAGCCCTGGACTGTTGTCCTCGTGTGCTTTCATAGGCTCTTGTTCCATGAAACACACTTTGGAAACTGCCCTTCACAGGTGAGGAGGATAAGGCTTACAGGGCAGGGCTCCCCAGGGTCTCACAGCTGGTAATGGAGAAAAGCAGGGGACATCCCAGGAACCCTGGCTCCTCATCCAGTACTCCTTCCCCTGCCCTGTGCAGTCCTCCTGAACCCAGAACTTCCATGCCCATCTCTCAGAACTCTCATGTCCCATGCACTACATGAAGGAATCTCATGTACGTCTCCAAACCACCCTAGGCACTTCCCACCATAAGGCCCACATTATAGATGAGGAAGCTGAGGCTCAGAGAGGCTGAGTGCTGGCCACAGTCATGCAGTTGCCTGCTGAGTGCCAGTGCTCAGGTTCAAACCCTGGCCACTGGGATCCAAGTCCAAGTCTAGATCCTCCCATTTCCCATCCAGCAGATCCACGGGCTGCCCTTTGGAAGAGGGATCAGGACAGTGCTTGCCTCAAAAGTCGAGCCCCACCCTCCTGGCTCAGGGACTTGGCAAACTCTGCCCATGGCGGTGGGCTTCAGCCCACAGACCACACTTCCAAAGGGACTCCTTTGTGAAGGAGCGGGAGAGATGGGCAGGGTTGGGGCCAGCTTACAGACAGGCCTCCTGAAACCGAAGAGCCTAACAGTTGAAAGAACATTTACAATAAACTGTGGCCTATTTAATTAAAATTGCTTATTAAAATGAATCCAAGCAAAAGCGGCTCTTCAAAATCAACACAAGAAACAGCCATCGGGCTGCACAGGGCAATGGAGGAGGAGTCCAGTTTCCCAGACCGAGCACTGCTGGGGAGTGGTCTCACTGCCCGCAGTGTTTCCTTCCCTCCCCAACCTCACCAGGGCTCTCTGTGGCACAGTGTGCTCCTGTCAACTTTGGGCTCGGCCACATGACTGACCTTGGCCAATGGAATGTGGGTGGAAGTTGCAGCATGGAAGTGAGGAGATGAGGCAGTGAGAAGAAAGGCAAGTTTCGGCCAGAACCCCCTGCATTCTGCCATCCACCAGGAGAACAGAGTGGCTGGGGAGTCACTGGGTCCAGAATGGGAGACCCATGGTGCCTGAATCCAACCCAAAGCTAAGCACAGCCACTCCAGCCCCACTCCCACTCCTGCACACCCTCAAATGAGAAAAACAAGTGTTGCTTAAGATTTGGGGGCTGTTTGTTACGCGGTGTTATCACAGTATTACTGCAGCAATACTAATACAACCACTTCCCAGCTGTGTCTCCTTGGGCAAGTTGCTTCACCTCTCTGAGCCTCTATTCTCCCATCTGTCACAATAATACCTATGTCACTGGTTCTGAAACCATAGCCATCTTCACATCATGTTGAAGGATTTTTTTTTTTTTTGCTTTATCTCCCTATAATCCATGTCTTCTTTACTTAATACTTTTCTTTAAACAAATTTTGTTTCTAAAAATCTAAATGTGACTTCAGTCTCATGCTAAGCGATTATATCAATGAGATGTTGTTTTATTTCAATATTTTAAAAATAATTTTTTAAAATTGGTACCTATAAAACCGTATTGTTTATTAAGCCATCTTCTGTGGCCCCAGTGGCACACACGGTATGCTCTGTAAAACAGTGACCTGTGTCATAGGGCTGGGGGGAGAATGAAATCCAATGGCACCCTGGGCAGAGAGCCTCGAACACACTGAGCACTTGTGATGCTGGTGATGGGGAGGAGACCTCACAGTCTATGTCCCTAAGGCAGGGGACAGTGTCACTCACTGATCATCGTGGTCCCGCCCACCAGTGCCGCCCTGGTCCCTTGGAAGAAGTCATCAGCCGCAGTCATCCCCTGGGAGGGCTTCTGCAGGTACGTGTTGACATCAATACCTCCGGGAATAACCATCCGCCCGTTGGCTTCAATGGTCTTCACTCCACCAGGAACGATTAAGTTCTCTCCTATTTGTCTGGAGGCAAACAACAGAGACAGCCTTGGTTCTTAAAGGAAAAGTAGAATGGGCAGTCAACCCGCAGCTTCAGTTCCATGAAATAAACATTTCTGAGCCAGGCCCTTCACAAGGCCCTGGGGAGACAGAGATAACTCAGGCAGGGCACATGCCCTCAAGGGGCTCATAGTCTAATAGGACGTAAGACAGGTGGGCAGACTGTTAGAGCCCAGTATAGCAGAGATGATCGGGGGCACGAGGAGGGGCCCTTTCATCCAGTCTCATTATCTAAGAAGGCTTCCAGGTGGAGGGGGTGGCAGAGCTGAATCCAACAGAAGTGAGCCCAGCATGATGCATGTGCTGACCGTCATGTCTATTCTGATGTAACAGGTGCCTGAAAACTTCCTCCAGGAGGTTAAATTCCAAATGGGGAAGGAGGGAAAAGAGCCTACGAAATGAGAAACGAAGCCCCCGGGGATCTCCATGGGTGACTTATTGATGACGGTGGCTTCTGGTTTTTATTTGCTGGCACCAGAGTCAGGAGGTCCCTCAAGGCGCTGGGGGAAGAGGCTCAGCCAGAACCAGGAAAGGAACCCTGCAGCATCCAAGGTTAAGGTCTGGCTCAGACCATGAGATCTGACTGTGGGTGATTTTTATTCTAAAAAAAATCCAATTGTTGTGAACGCTTGAGATTGGGCAGCATATTAATTTTCTAAGTCACAAAAAACCCTAGTAATAAAGACACAGGAAGATGCTGCTTCAGTGACCAAAAGTGCAGCTCTAGACAGAATCCACAGCCAGGCAGCCAAGACAGCAGCCTCTGCCCTCCTGGGCTCCTGTGAGAAGCTGGGCCAGCAAGCAGGTCCCAGCTGGGGCTCCCCCAAAGAAGTGGGTGCCACACACTGTCCTCTTAACCCAGGAAATAAGCCTAGGACCGCATAGTGCCAGGGACAAGGTGGACACCCAGAAAATGTTACCACACATGTCCACCTCCACCAGGATCACCACCACCGCTGCTTTTAATAACCAATCCCTTATCCCCAGAATCTCCACTGCCGCTGCTTATACTAACCGATCCCTTACCCCCAGAATGTCCACTGCCATTGCTTATAATAACCAATCCCTTACCCCCAGAATGTCCACCGCCGCTGCTTATAACCAATCCCTTACCCCCAGAATGTCCACCACCACTACTAATAATAACACCAGAATGTCCAACTTGACTTAGGGAAATCCTTTCTTCCCCAGTCCTTCTGCCATCCTCTCCAAACGTGTGGGCTTGCCAAGAGCTGAAGGGAAAGGGGTTGGGAAGACACTCGACCCTTAACTTAAAAGGAACAGCAACTGGAGAACAGCGTCTTCTAAGCGCATCACGGCTTCTCTCATTGAAGGCTCACAACCAGCTCTAACAGAGGACAGGGTCGCACCCCAAATGCCATCTCAGGCAAAGGCCTGGGCACGGTCCAGGCAGAAGGGCCGCTGGCTGTAGACATGCACGTGGTGTGTCTACACATGGGCACGGACCTACACGTGAGTGTCAGCGGAATCACAGCTCAGTCTGATTCAAGCCTGTGACCGAGTCACCATTCAGTGGGGGCCAACAAGTACTCTAATGAGAGGTTCTTTTAATTATTTTGGAGATAGGGTCTCTGTCAGCCAGGCTGGAGTACAGTGGTACAGGTCATGGCTCACTGCAGCCTCAACTTGCTGGGCTCAAGCGATCCTCCCGCCTCAGCCTCTCAAGTAGCTGGAACTACACAGGCTTGCACCACCATGCCCAGGTAATTTTGTTTTTAAATTTTTTGTAGAGATGGGATCTCCCTATGTTGCCCAGGCTAATCTTGAACTCCTGAGCTCAAGGAGTCCTCCTGCCTTGGCTTCCCAAAGTGTGTGAACAAACATGCCTGACCTTTTTTCTTTTTTTCCTTTTTTTTTTTTTTTAAAGAAACAGGACATTTCCTGAACAGCCTGGTTGGCCAGAGTCCTAAGATGCTTGATGTTCAACAGTGAATGCCATCTCTGCAGCCAGAGGCTCTTTCTTACCAGGCACAATCATAGCCTCTTAACAAACTCTCTCTGGTCTCCCATCAGCAACCCTGCAAGGTAGGAGGTATTCTCATTTTGCAAAAGAGGACAGCACAACTCAGAGAGGTGTAGTGACTCCTCCAAGGCCACACAGCAAGTCAGTGATGGGCCCAGATTCAAGCCCAGGTCTCCCCAAGCCTAATATCAGAGCTCTGACCAGCAGGCTTTACTGCCGCCCTGCTTCCCTTATATAGGAGCCAGACTGTCCCTGAACAGGGATTGCACTAAACGGGACCCCCAGTGAATCAGAGGGACTCAGTGAATGGCGCTCAATAGCAATGTGCTGGAAAGGGAAGGAGGAGAGAGGAAGCTCAGCTCAGTGAATGAGACAGACGCCCCTCCCCCAACACCATCACCTCCCGGTGCAGAAGAAACTCTCAACCACCGGCACTAGATTCACCAAGGCTGAGTGAGTTAAATGGAAACCTCGATGAATCATAATTCAATGAATCACACAACAGCTGAACGGCTCTTAAGAAAACTTGGCAAATGGCCACAGAATTAAAGGATTCTTGGGGTTTCATTCAAGTGAAGGAAAGTAATTGTGCCTCTGTACCCGAGGTGGTCCCCGGCTCTTCCACACCTACCCTTCTCAGCCTGCAGGATGCACGTTCAGAATAAACACCCAAGGGCCCTGTGAGGCCTCAGTCACCGTCACTCACTCAGCTTCACAAGTCCGGAGTAGGACTGCCAACACGCAGAGAGCTTCTCAGCAACGGGTTCAAGTAAAAGGGGATTACAACCAAGAGGGGCTGACAGATAATGAATTTAGGGAAACTGCATTTTTCCTCAACAGCCTGGTTAGCCGGAGTCCTAGGACTCTTGATGTTGACACATAACAGCAGGCACTTAATGAATGCAGCTCAACCCATGGCCACTTGCTCCTTCTGTATACTCCGGGATTGCGGAGCTCTATAAGGGGGCCTGGCCCAGGAAGGACGGGGGTGGGTGTGGTCAGATCAAACTTCTAGCAGCAGGTGGTGTGTGGGATGGGGGAGCCCACGAGATCATTCTCAGGGTCATTTTACCTTTCAGGCTTCAGAAGCCCAGAGCCCCCACACAAAGGGGTGTTCCCTCAGAGTTGCTTTCTCTCTATCTAAGCCATGGTTGAGTTAGAAAACCTCATTTTTTGACACATCCTGACACCCTTCCCCACCCCCAATCTGCCTTCCTGACCATTCGGGATCCAGGTGCCCTGAGGCTGACAGGAGCATCCTCACCACCTGATGGCCAGCATTCATTTGTTTGCGCTTTCCCTGAATCGGTGCTCCAGGACCTACAGGTGCTGGGCCCCAGGGCGGGGGGCCACGAGGCAAGGCCCTGGTCAAGGAGCGATGCAGTGTGACAGTGGCTGCAACAGACAGCAGCTCACGTGCTGTGGGGACAGAGGGATGCACCCCACACCGTCTTGGGGTCAAGGAAGGCTTCCTGGAGGAGGAGTCGCATGAGCAGGGCCCACAAGGACAAATAAGAGATGAGGGGAAGGCAGAGGGACAGGGGAAAAGGTGTTCCAGGCAGGGGACTGATGGGTGCAAGGCTCTCAGGTGACAGCAGCCTGGCAAGTCCCGTGAGTCCCAAGTTTTCATTATGGCTGGAAGAGCAAGCAAGGAATGAAGCCAGAGGAGGGGAGGCCCGGGCTGGATTTGAAATGGTCAAAGTCTGGGACTAGAATTGGGGGGTGGGCTGGGGGGAGGCAGGGAGGGCTCAACTGTTCTGGGTATCCCTCTTCACTGGGTGATTTGCATATGTGGTCCCTTTCAATGCCCCCAATACTCCACAGCCCCTTTCCCCCAGCCTCCTCCTCCTCCTCCATCATCATCTCCAAAGCCCACACGGGCCCCAGGATGATCCTGTTAACAGTATCAATCCCTTTCTGCCTTCCCCTTGCTCCAATTCCCCTCTGCCTTTCCTTCTTGTGCCAGCCACTCATGCTGGATCCTTAAACAGTGTCCTTCTCTTCTCTTCCAGATTTCAAGGGAAGAGGCTGAGCACCCAGCAAATCCAGGTTACAACTCACAGAAAGAGAACTGCCCTGATCCTCACCCGCCAGTAAAATGTTAAGGCCAGCCAGGCGCGATGGCTCACACCTGTAATCCCAGCACTTTGGGAGGCCGAGGCGAGCGGATCACGAGGTCAGGAGATCGAGACCATCCTGGCCAACATGGTGAAACCCCCGTCTCTACTAAAATGCAAAAAAGTAGCGGGGCATGGTGATGCATGCCTGTAGTCCTAGCTACTCGGGAGGCTGAGGCAGGGGAGTCGATTGAACCCGGGAAGTGGAGGTTGCAGTGAGCCGAGATTGTGCCACTGCACTCCAGCCTGGTGACAGAGTGAGACTCCGTCTCAAAAAAAAAAAAAAAAAAGAAGGCCGCCGCCTACAGACCCCTGCCTGGCGTTATGGACTGAATTGTATCTCCCAAAATTCATGTTGAAGCCCCAGCCCACCCCATGGGACTACCTTTAGCGACAGGGCCTTTAAGGAGGTGATTAAGGTTGTTAAGGTTGAATGAGGCCACAGGAGTGGGGCTGGAATCCAACAAAACTGGTGACCTTAGAAGAAGAGACCCCAGGAGTGTGCACACACACACACAGAAAGGGCCCTGTGAGGACAGCCAGAAGGTGGTGTCTGCAAGCCAGAAGGTGGTGTCTGCAAGCCAAGGAAGAACCTCAGGAAGAAGTTCAGGAAGGCCTCAGGAAGAACCAACCCTGACGGCAGCTTGATCCGGGACTTCCAGCCTCCAGAACTATGAGAAATAAACTTCTGCTGTTTAAGCCACCCAGCCTGTGGCATTCCATTCCGGCAGCCAGCGCTGGCTAAGACACCTGGGTTGTCATAAGCAGGGCTGAAGAGGGAGCCAATGAGAAGAAAGGGAAGGAAACTCCAGCCCCAATGTCTATCTTTTCTTTAAGTGCCAAGGCTGGGCTTGGAAGCCACACATTCCTCCTTCCTCTCTGCTCTCCTCAACCCAATTCCAGAAACTGTGGGTAGGTGGAAGAAAGAGCTGTGAATTCAGTTGTCTCAGGGTGGAATCCGGGCCTTGACCCTAACTCACCCCGTCATATGGGGCCAGGTACCCAGACTCATTGGCCTGCCGCCTCCAAAACCACAAAACAGGAAACGTGTCTGCATTTTGCAGCCTTTGTGTGAGCATTGCAAGAGAGGAGCTGCCTCAGCCGTGTGGCAGGGAGCCTAGCCCGGGGGGGCACCCAAGAAATGCCAGCCCCTTCTCCACCCGCAGTGTGCACCTCCCCCAACCTCTGTGAGGTCTCTACCCCTGAAACACAGGTACACAGCCCCGTCATTCTAGGACAGAATGCCAGCCTTCTGTTCCATCTAAGGCCAGGCAGCCTGGCGACACAGGTTTCTTAAAAGGTCCGTTTTGATCAACCCACTTGATAAGTCCATCCTCCAGGTAGACGTCAGCATAAAGGGATTGGTCATCGTTGATGATCCGTCCACCTTTGATGAGGAGTCGGTCACTCTGCAAAGCAAGGCAAAGTATTAAGGATCCTTGGTGAAAAGCCAGGATAAAGTTTTTTCTTTTTAATTTTTAATATAAGAATTATCAAATATTTTCAAAAGTAAAGGCATTTAACTTCCCCCGCCCCAGATCCATCACCAGCTTCAATACTTCTCTATCCAATACTTCCTATTCTCCTTTCACCTTTCTCCCCTCTCACTTTGTTTTGTTTTTGCTGAGGTGTTTTAAAACAAAGCACAAGCACTGTATCTTTCCACCTATAAATACTTCACTAGATCTCTCTCACTGTTAACCCATTTCCCGTTTGCCCCGAGAAATGAGTATGGGCAGCAAGCTGCACTTTTTTTTCTAAACAGGAAAGGGGTAAGGACTTTTTAAAGAAACAAAACCAGAATCCATTATCCCAACGAACTCAATTAACTTAATACCTTGCTTATCAGTCAATAATCAGGCCCTCTTCAATGTGCCTTGATGGTCTCATAGACGTCTTTTTGTAGTTGGAAGGTTTGAACCAACAGCCATACCAGGCCCCACAGCACACCTGCCTCATCATCTCGGCAGCCTCTGTCAGCATCTGCACTGGCCCCTCCTCCCTTTTCAATGTCATTCGTTTGTTGAAGAAATTGGGTCATTTGTAGAACAGGGAGTTATCAAGGTATTATTAAATATGATAATGATCAACTTAGAGACATTTAAAAAGATAGTGAAGAGACTAAAAAAAGAAAACCCCATTTTTCCAGTACAACTCCCAGTTGACATTCTGATGTCTCCCCACTCTTTTTCCTGTTTTCTTCCCCCACAGTGCACACATCCACTCACTCATCCAAGCACCGATCAGCTACCGACTGATGCTCTCAGCTCCAGAGGGGACCAGGCACAGAGCTGGAATCTGCTTTCAGGGGGTTGACAGATGGAGAGACAGATGTTTATCAAGTCATGGGGTATGTGGGGTTGAGGAGGAGGAGAAAAGTGGGGACCTGCCATGGAAGCCAACCAAAGGGGCTGCCAACCTTATCTGGGGCATTGGGCAGAGAAAGCGCAGACCCAGAAAATAAGTCTAAAAAAGAGTCTATTTATACTTCCTATATCTACACTCTGTATGACTATAGATAGATAAATGGATGTGTCATTAGAGGAAGGTGGATAGATAAACACACACACACACACACACAGGATTGTATGAGTATGTCTACGTAAACATTCATGTATTCAGATGATGTTCTCCAAGGGATGTTTTCAATCCCTCAGCCTATCCTAAGGGCACAGACTAGGCTTTCAACCCTCTTCTATTTGTCAATACCATTCCAGAATGGAACTCAGCCACAAACATGTTTATGCATAAACATAAACAAAGCTTCACCATATGGAGTGTTCCGGGCAGAGGAAATGATATGCAAGTCAGAAACCAGAACATTATGGGAACCAAAAAGAACACAGTTCTGTCCTTTCTGCATTTTACCATAAGCACATCCCAACTTGCCGCACATTCTTCATGACTATATATCTATATATATATATATATATATATATATATATATATATATATACATAATTTTTTTTTTTGAGACGGAGTCTCACTCTGTCACCCAGGCTGGAGTGCAGTGGCACGATTTCAGCTTACTGCAACCTCCGCCTCCTGGGTTCACACCATTCTCCTGCCTCAGCCTCCTGAGTAGCTGGAACTACAGGTACCTGCCACCACACTTGGCTAATTTTTTGTATTTTTAGTAGAGACGGGGTTTCACCTTGTTAGCCAGGATGGTCTCAATCTCCCGACCTCATGATCTGCCTGCCTTGGCCTCCCAAAGTGCTGGGATTACAGGCGTGAGCCACCGCGCCTGGCCTCACTTCATGACTATACTTTTAAAATAATCACAAAATACTCCATCTTAGGGATACATAATAAATTGTTTAATATTTCCCCCATTGTTGGTTACTGAAGTGATTTTCTGTTTTGTACAGTGATACGTATTTTGCTGCAATGAACTTTTTTGTGCACAAAACTCCTTCCTTGGTTTGAATGATTTGTTAGGCAAAGTTCTCAGAAGCTTAACAACTGGGTCAAACAACATAAACCTTATTTACAGCCCTTGATAAAGATGACCAAACTGCTTTCCAAAAGGAATGCCCCATTCTTTGCACGAAAACACTAAGCACTCTTGTTTATTATTAATGTTTGTTAATTTGTGTTCCTTTTCTTTTTTCTTTTTTTCGAGACAGAGTCTTACTCTATCACCCAGGCTGGAGTGAAGTGGCATGATCATAGCTCACTGCATCCTCAAATTCCTGAGCTTAAGTGATCCTCCAGCCTCAGACTCCCGAATATTTGAGACTATAGGCAATGTGCCACCACACCTGGCTAATTTAAATTTTTTTTGTAGAGATGGGGTCTCAGTGTGTTGCCCAGACTGGTCTTGAGCCCCTGGCCTCAAGCAATCCTCCCTCCTCGGTTTCCCAAAGCACCGGGATTACAGGTGTGAGCCACCGTGCCTTGGCAATTTTCCACTTCTTGAAGGCTTGTAATTTTTTTCCATGTGCTTATTTTACCATTTGTATTCTCTCCAGGCTGGAGATGTGGTGACGAAGAAGACACAGTGTCTGCCCTGAAGCCCATCCCTTGGGTGGGGGAGAAAGAAGTAAACTGGGCCAGGTGTGGTGGCTTATGCCTGTAATCCCAGCACTTTGGGAGGCCGAGGCAGGTGGATCACGAGGTCAGGAGATCGAGACCATCCTGGCTAACACGGTGAAACGCCATCTCTACTAAAAATACAAAAAAAATTAGCCAGGTGTGGTGGCAGACGCCTGTAGTCCCAGCTACTCAGGAGGCTGAGGCAGGAGAATGTCATGAACCCGGAACGCAGAGCTTGCAGTGAGCCGAGATAGCGCCACTGCACTCCAGCCTGGGCAACAGAGCAAGACTCCGTCAAAAAAAAAAAAAAAAAAAAGAAAAAGAAAAGAAGTAAACTGACAAGAACAACCCACAGTAGGTGGTGCTCTGACATCAGAGCCTAACTCAAGAACCTGGAGGCAGGTGGTACATCTGGGAGGTGGTTCCAGGGTCTGGAGGGAGGGTATCCTGTTCAATAAATGAATCCAATAAAGAGGGCATATTGACCTGGCTAGCACTGTGGGCAACCAGAGCTTGATCTTGCCAAGGCCATCTGAGGAAGTGCACAGAAGGCACTTCAGTGGTCCCCTGGACCAGGTCCCATGGTCTTATGGCATCAGCCACAATGGCCCTGCAAGCCCAGAGAAGAAGAGTTTAACCCAAACTAAGGCATCAGAAACACATCATGCAGTCGGCTGCTCAAAGCTTCTTGCATCAGAATCATACTTCCCTCAGAGTGAAAGCCAAGGTCAGCGAGACCCCAGTTAATCTGGAGTCCCAGGTTCCTGGCAGTCTTCCTGCTCCTACTTGCTTTGGGCCCTGCTTGATGTTACTTATCTGAGTGCCCTCCGCTCGACTTCCCCTGTTTGGGACAACACACACCACCACCCTGCCAGCTGGCCCTACATCCCTTACCCGTTTATGTATTCACAGTATTTACGGCACATCTGGCAGGCTATGTATTTCTAGGTCTGTCTAAAATGTAACTTGCCACACTGGAATCACAGCTTTGGTGTGTTACCCCACTGGCAGTGCAGGACACAACTCCCCAGGGGACGCATGACACAGGCGTTGGTGGGGACGGCACTGCCTGGAGTTTGCACAGCACTTGTCTTTACTAGACCGTGAGCTCCACGGAGGCAACGGACTTTGTCCGTTTTCTTCACTGCTGTCTCTCCGGCATCTTGGACACAGCCTGGCTGGCTGCCTGGGTGACTGAACTGATTCTTGACAGATGAATGGGTGAAGATGGAGAGAAAGGCATCACAGCTGTGAGCCGAGGAAGACCAGTGTGAAGAGGCACATCCCGTTCTTCAGCAGGAGGGTCTCTGGAGGAAGATGTTTCAAGGTAAGTTGCTCCTAGGCCCCACAACCTATCTGTACCGCTAAAAAAGATGTGTGCATCCCCAGAGAGGAAACTCACCAAGCCTCTTGACGGCAATCCGGGACCAATGGGAAAAAGAGGCCCAGGCTCTGCACGTCCAGGAAGCACCCACAAGCTGGCGTGCATGTTTCCCCGGCTCCAGAACAGGAAACATAAGTCACCAGCAGCTGGTGCATGGCTTCCGGAACACGGCCGCCCCGCAGGCACCCGTCTGTCTTGTCACTATTAATAGGGGGCTTTTCGGGCTCAGCCCGAAAGGTGGTATTTTAATGCACTGTGTGCCAGAAGATTGGCCCAACCTGCTATGCTTTTCCTAGAATCAGATGGTGGAGCTCATGTTCAAATCCACTCCCTCCCCAACTACCAATAGACACTGCAAGCAGGGGCGCCCAGGCTCCAAGCCCTTAGTGTCTCTCAGGTGCTGGTCTACTTCTGAAAAAATAAGCCCACAGGAAGCCAAGCACTGATTCAACCTCTTCATGTTCTTTCTTAAAATTAGTAGTTCCTTTGCCTCTTAAACAGGCATTTTCAAAGCCATGTGCTTCAGAACTCAAGCTCAGAGAGATTTTAGTAGGTACAGGCCCAGACAGGGGTTACCCGGTGCCGTGAGTTTAGAAATCTCTAGGTTAAGGCTGGGTGCGGTGGCTCACACCTGTAATCCCAGCACTTTGGGAGGCTGAGGTGGGCGGATCACGAGGTCAGGAGATCAAGACCATCCTGGCTAACATGGTGAAACCCCGTCTGTACTAAAAATACAAAAAATTAGCCGGGCGTGGTGGCGCACGCCTGTGGTCCCAGCTACTCAGGAGGCTGAGGCAGGAGAATGGCATGAACAAGGGAGAAGGAGGTTGCAGTGAGCCGAGATCGCACCACTGCACTCCAGCCTGGGCAACAGAGTGAGATTCCCCGCTCCCCGCCCACCAAAAAAAAGAAAAAAAAAGAAATCTCTGGGTTAAGCAGAAGCAATGATGTCTTTATGACAGAACTTTTCAGATCCTTGCCTCTGCTGATATTTGATACGAATACTCAAGAGGAGAATTGAGTTGATATCTTTTCCAAACTCAGGTCCCTTTGTGGTGTGGAAAATCTGAAGGGATACTTTCCCACAGAAGAGACCGTAGGAAATGGGCTTTGAAGTTACGTGCTTTGTGACCATTTGCACAGAATGGTCCGTGTGGAATGTTAGGTCTGATCCCACCTCGCAGGGAAATGAGGTCCACGAACAGGTGTGACCTCCAGGTTCACACAACCAGTAAGGATGCAGGCTAGAGCCAAGGGTTCCTAATGGCCTGTCCAGCATTCCAGCCACCAAGCCATGCTTCTGTCCCATGTTTAAACATTCCCAAACTCTAGAATCCATGACACCTCATAAGAAGATAGAACTTAGAACCCTCCCCCACCCAAGTAATAAGATCAACGGGCCTTGCCTTCTAAGGCTGCCTTTCTCATGCAGGAAATATGAGTGCACAGAACTGTATACTAAAAAAGTAAATGTTACATAATATATGTTTTTAAAATTAATAACACCAAATTCACATATTTATAAAAAAAAATAATACCGGTGCCGTCTATTGCCTCTCACGGGGTTACTGTGAGGGGAAAACAGCAGATGTGAACAATGGTACGCTCTGCACAAACATTATTATGTATAACCTAGGCCAGGTGCGGTGGCTCACGCCTGTAATCCCAGCACTTTGGGAGGCCGAGGTTGGCGGATCACCTGAGGTTAGGAGTTTGAGACCAGCCTGGCCAACATGGTGAAACCCCGTCTCTACTAAAAATGCAAAAATTAGTTGGGCGTGGTGGCAGGCACCTGTAATCCCAGCTACTCGGGAGGCTGAGGCAGGAGAATCACTTGAACCCAGGAGGCGGAGGTTGCAGTGAGCTGAGATCGCACCGCTGCAGTCCAGCCTGGGCAACAGAGCGAGACTCCATCTCAAAAAACAATTATTATGTATAAACCTTGAAGAAATAAAGCATCTCATGAAAAACTCAGCCAAAGTCTAACAGCTGAATTGATTAGCTAGGGCATGTCAGAGATACAGTTCGTTCCACAGCGACAGCAATGACCTTTAGAGCAAATCATGTTCTTGTGTCAGCACCACTTAAAAGCAAAACGTCCACACTCAGACAGAGGTGGGCTTGGATCCTGACTTCACTTATTATCCATGTGACTTACCGAGCCTCAGTTTCCTTGTCTATGAGATGGGGATAATTGGCTCTGCGTCCTAGGCATGTATTTGAAGTGCTTACTCAGCCCAGGCCTGGCAGGTGAAGAGCTCATTGTTCATTCTCTGCCATTTTCTGTGGCTAGAACTCCACTCTATAAATCATTGTTTAAGGATGGGTGTAAGCAGCTTAAATGCAGCTTGTGCCCTCAAGGGGTGCTCAGGCCAGTGAGGGAGGCTAAGTCAACAGCTGGCCTTTGCTGCCAGTGTGGGAAATGCAGAGGGCCACAGAGCATGGAGGCAGCCTCCACATCAACCCTGCTAAGGGGAAAAGCATTCCCTCTAAGCTTAGAGGATGAGTAGGTATTAGCCACACAGCAAAGGCGAAAAGGGATCCTGAGAGAGGGAAGCACACGGTGTATTAGTCCATCCTCACAATGCCATAAAGAAATGCCTGAGACTGGGTAATTTGTGAAGAAAAGAAAAGAGGTTTAATTGGCTCATGATTCTGCAGGCTGTACAGGAAGCATGATGCTGGCATCTGCTTGGCTTCTGGGGAGGCCTCAGGAAACTTACAATCATGGCTGAAGGCAAAGTGGGGGGTGGGGGGTGAGCACCTCACAGGAAGAAGAGAGAGAGTGGGGAGGTACCAGAATTTTAAATAACCAGATCTCCTCAGAACTCACTCACTATCACAAGAACAGCACCAAAGGGGGAAATCCGCCCCAGTGATTCAATCACCTCCCTCCAGACCCCACCTCCAATACTGGGCACTACAATTCAACTTGAGATTTGGGTGGGGACAGAGATCCAGACCATATTCCATGGGGAAAGACACAGAGGTCAGAAGCAGCCTGGCATGCCTGGGGATCTGTAAGTGGTCTTCTTTGGCTGAAGGGTGACCTCAAAGTGGGGAATCTGGAAAGGACTGCAGAAGCCAGATCTCAGGGACCCCAGTGCCATGTGTAAAGGGGAGTCTGGGCTCTGTGGTGAAGGTCATGGAGGGGTTTTCATCAGGGAGGAACCGGAAGATAGAAACATTTCCAAGCTAAGACATCACATGAGCGCTGGGTGGAAATGGAAGAAGGGGAAGGAATCGTCTTTATCTTCTCCTCAAAGCTGGGATTCCTCAGTAAGAATGTGTAGCAGGCAAGTTTGCAACAGGTATCAAAGGCCTTAACAATGTTCATGTCCTTTGACCCATAAATTTAGTGCTGGGAATTTGTCCTCTAGAAAATATCCAAAACAGGGTCACAAAATGATACACAAAGATGCGATCCAGAATTAATTACAATGGTATAACCACACCAATAATGAAGTATCATTCAGCTACTACAGCTACTCAAATATCTTCCAGGAAGTTTTAAGCACGAACAAAAGTGCTAGATAATAAAATGTGAGGAGAAAAAGCAAACTACAAAATTCTTTGTTAGGAATTCAAAATGAAGTGGATCTGGAGTCATTGGCTTCCCCTACGGAGACTTTGGGGTCCACACCCATGATCTAACCGCCAGTATAATGCACAGCTGTCTCCCAATGCACAACCTTCCCCCAATGGTCACAGTTCATGTGCCCATCTCTCATTGAGCTGGATACCCCTTCATGGCCAGGGGAGTTCTGCGTATTTCATCTCTATATCCTCAGGAACCAGCCAGGACCCTTACACAGTATTTAGCAGATGTTTGCTGGGCAGGAGGGGAAGAGGGAGGCAACAGACAAGAGGCAAGGAGAGACAGAGAAAGAAGAAAGAGAACGTTTGAAAAGAGAGAGGGAGTGCAAAGGAGAGAAAAGGAAGAAGAGATAAAAGAAGGATAAAGAGGAAAGGAAAGATGGAAGGAGGAGGAAAGAAAGGAGAGAAGAGAGAAACAAAGGGAGAAAAGAATACATGGACACATAATAAATCTCTCTTTTCTGCTTTTCAAATTCCTGAAAACCTAACCCCACTAGCTGAGAGAGAAGCCTGGCAAGTGCAAAGCCTGCACGCTACAGATGCTGCAGGAAGGCGTCCTCGCGAAGACTCTACCAAAACCCTGCTGGGCTGCATTCCTGTCTCTACTGCCAAATGTCTCATGAGTCAGAGGAGCAGCCAGGCAAGAGAAAGGGATTCTTCTCCAAACCTACTGTCATCTCCCATCCAGCCCCCACTGGGAGGAGACAGCTGACATTGGCAGGACGCTTTTGTTCTTTTTCACAAACATTAAGCATTAGGTTGAGCTCTGCTTACAAAAACTAGCCTTTAAAGCTTCAGGCATTTTTATCCACAGAACAAAAAAAACAAACAGCAGCAACCACAGTCAGCCTCAGCTCAGAGGGGAGGTTCTGGATGACAGTGAATGTTCTGCATCACTGTCTATTCCTGAGTGAGGCATTAAACCTCCCCGGGTTCTGTTCTCCCTCCTGCATGGTGGGAATAAATCTGTCATCTCCACCATGAAGGTGGATGTCAGAAGGCATACAAAATCTATTAAGGTCTAGATTTTAGAAAAAAAAAAAAAAAAAAGAGATGGGATGCTATTCTTATCCAATCAACCTCTATCCAAAAATCACTGGTTTAGCAACCTTGGCTATCTGAAAAATAGCAGAGAACCAAAGCTGTTATTACGGTGACAGAGAAAAGACTGTGACTATGTCATCAAGGAGGGGAAATTTGAGCTGAGTTCCACAATATAAATAGGAGTTCAGAAGTCTAGAAAAATTGGGAGAGGAGAAGGGAAACATTCCAGCCAAATAAACATTAGATACAGAGACACGGTCTTCTGAAAGTTCCAGGTACTGTGGGTAGGTGAGGAACAGGTGGGGGTTGGTGCTGTCCGCGGTCCTGAATTGACATGGACACAGAGACCGTGAGTTTTCTCCAAACCCTGATGCTGAAGACCCCTCAGCCCCCTACCACATCCAACCTTATAGTTTCTTACTGCTTTTCTTTCTCAGCTTCTTAAAAAAAGTCTTGTTTCAGCCAGGCGCGGTGGCTCACACCTGTAATCCCAGCACTTTGGGAGGCCGAAGCGGGTGGATCATGAGGTCAGGAGATCAAGACCATCCTGGCTAACACAGTGAAACCCCGTCTCTACTAAAAAATACAAAAAATTAGCCGAGCATGGTGGCAGGCGCCTGTAGTCCCAGCTACTTGGGAGGCTGAGGCAGGAAAATGGCATGAGCCCGGGAGGCAAAGCTTGCAGTGAGCCGAGATCACGTCACTGCACTCTAGCCTGGGTGACAGAGTGAGACTCCATCTCAAAAAAAAAAAAAAGTTTTGTTTCAAAACTTCTTCTTTTGGCCTTGCAGAGTCAAAATAATCATGACTTATGTTTCCGAGTGGACATAGTTGGCAAGTACATTTCAGTGTTGGTAGATGAAGACCTTACACTACTTCCAATACTTAATTCTCCCACCCCAGGAAGTTGGGGTGAGGGCAAGCAACTCCCATGGCCCCCACTAGAGCAGTCATTGCAATCACGAAGAGGTGGGTGTCAACATAGGGTCTCAGAGGCCACGCAAATTCAGATGAGGTTACCTGATTCCTCAGTGGGAAGGGCAGGAAAGCTCAGGGTAACTAACTGACCAGTCTCTTCTGGAAAGATGAAGAAACCCTTTCTTTCCAAAGAGCAAGCAGGGAAATGAGCCTCAAAAAGATCAAGGGAGCCCATTTTGTAGAAATGTGCTTATCCAAGCATTGAATGCAGGGGGAACTGCTTTCTTTTAGAACAAAGGAAATGTCAAGGTGGGTTTTGAAAGTTTTTAGTCCTTTAAAGGCCACATACTCATGATGTTGAAGCTGATATTCGCAATTCAAAACTTCAAGATGATCGGTAGGCATATCCCCCCACCACCCCCCTTCTGAAAACTGATAGCACGACAGCATGGCCCAGCTGGTCCTCAGAATGCCCTGGAATTGCCTGCTAAAAATTCCCATCGGGGCTTTTATCAAGATATTCATTCACCAGATCTAGATTACAAGCCAGGAATTTATATTATTAACAAACATCCCCAGATAATTTCAACACAGACCCTCTGTGGCAAGTCCTCACCATGCCCCAAAGTGGGTGCAGTGCAGCCGCCTGCCCCACTGACTGTGGGTGTTCTGCCCATGTGACCTGCTTTGGCTGGGAGTGCACCAGTCTGAGCACAAGCTTTAAGGGGCAGATGGGTTCAGCTTTCCCTGACAGTCCACCTCCTGCCATGAAAACCACAGGACCCAAGGAGTGGCAGCCCCAGAATGAGAGGATTTGAGGAGCACACCTGACCCCAACAGAAGACTGAAGACAAATTGAGTTGAGCCCTGCTAAGCATCTACCACCCACAAACCTATTGCCATAAATAAATATTGGTTGCTGTAAGGCACAGAGTCTAGAGGGGGTGTTTGTTAGGCAGCATCATCGCATCAAAGCAAATTAATACATCGTAAAGGTTCTGTGCTGGGAGCCACAGGGGTTGCTGCATAAGAGGTTTTATAGCTCAAATACGTCAAACTTCCATGACTTGGTCCCTACCTTGAATAACCAGAGCCTTCCCCTTGAGCAAGCTCCCCACTCTGGCCTCCTTGCAACGGCAAGTGCTGCCATCCCATCCAGCTGCACACTCATATTTATTCACAGAAACCATCCATTTGCCTTTGATTTTGCCTCCGGGGACGACAGCCTGTCAGCCAGTGGCCCTTTGCCACACTATCCAGGAATGCAACCCACGAAGTGGCAACCGGTATGAGCCTGAATCTAATTAACACACATTCGTTCCCCCTCTCACGGGTAGGGGACAGGGCGGCTTTCCCCCTTTCATGAATGGGAGATACAGGTAGTCCCCATGGACTGCAGGACTTTTTTTCCCCCCGATATTATGCCTGTTTCCATGACAACTGCAGTTATAAGTGCACAATTTCAGGTCCCACTGTACCAGCAGACTTTCAGGGAGCACTCCCTGATGGACTGAATATCTGATTTTAAAACAGCACACCTCTGTCACAACCCTAAGAGTGGGCAGGGCCTGCACGCTGCATAGGGAAAGACGATGCTAGCTGCATGTGTGATCGGTAACTTGACCCATTTCTCTGTGTTCTGGTCTGTGCTTCTTGCTTTATAGAAAGAAATCCGAACAGAACTCCTTTGCCTTAAGAAGTGCACATTCCTTGAGCTCATATTAAGGATCAGTTCTGCATTACATGGGTTTTCATTTTTAATTCTTAAATCACCTTAAAAGTGGGAATAAGTATGACAAGTGAGGAAACTCAGAAGTAATTTGCTCAAGGTCACACAGCCAAGAGATGGTACAGCAGCTAGGATTTGAACCGAATTCCACCTGGCACCTATACAGAGACCACCCCACTGCCTCTCGGTGGTGAGACTAGTACAGTGTTCTCTTCAGTGTACCTAGTTGATACATCTGAGCCTCAGTTCCCCACTCTGTAAAATAGGGACAGGCAGTGATAGACTACACTTATCTGCTCAGTGTTTATCAAGTACATACCCCAGGCCTTGCACCTCACCTGCCCTCTTGACACGATTATCGTGAATGTGGTCAAAAGTGGTTAAGGCAGATTAAAGGCCTCGGAAAACTGCAAAAGGCTTTCTAGGGGAAATACATTACATGCAGAGACCTGTCATCTAATAAACATTGCCAATGCCTCCTGGGAGCCAGGTGCTTATATTTACTCTCTCATTACATGCTCATTTAACAAAGAGGCGATGTTTGGATATGAATGCAGAGGCCAGACTGCACCTAACGATATGGGTGCAGAGGGCAGACTACCTAGGCTCTAACGTGGCCCCACACCTCCAAACTCTGTCACATGGGTGAGTTCACCTCTCTGTGCTTCTGTTTCTCATCAAATGCAGAGGAAAATTTTGAATGTGAAATGAATTAACCCACGGATAGCACTTCGCACAGTGCCTTATTTTTTTTTTTAATCCTTGCAACGTGGGGTAACATCTCATTAAAATGCTCAGTTCCATTTTCAGCTTATCTCTCATCTGTCCCACCTCAAACCTAACTCTTTTTTAGATCTTGTTGCATCTACTCTGGAACTGTTCTAATACCTACCTGCTGACTTTCACCTCCCAATGCACCTGCCCCAGATAAGCCCTCACCCCATCTCCCTGCCACAGAACTTGTCCACTCCATATGACAGGCAGAGTGACCTTTCTGAAATGCAAATCCAACCATGCCTCGCTTCTCCTCAAAATCCTTCACCAGCTTGTCCTCATCTGTAGGACAAAGCTCACCTCCTAGGCTCTTCCCGGCCTGAGCCCGGCCCTCTCTCGGCCGCGCCCCACCACATCTATCTACGCACACCACGCTCTGCCTCCCTAACTGCACCTTCACAACCTGTGCCTTCCTCTATGGCCTCCCTGCAGCATGCATCTCTGGCCACATCTGCTCTGCTCATTGCTTTCCAACTCCTTAGTCACGTGCAGTGTCTTGAGTCCAGGATCACAAGGTCACTCCTTGGAGTTCCCACAACATGAGGCTTGCATCTCTGGTCCAGCATTTGTTCATGACACTCATTTTCCAGCTCATTGTAATATATCTTATTTCCCCCATGAGACTGAAATCCTTGGCACCAGAGATGGCAGCTTATTCCCACATAGCTTCTTAGCGGGGTGATCTTTGGCAAGATACTTAATCTCTGTTGGCTTCAGTTTCCTCATCTATAAATGGAACCCATCAAAATACCTACCTCACAAGATTACTTGAAATAATATGTAAAAGCACCCAATACACTGAACACTGTCCTATGAAGTTTAACATTCTATGCCAAATGCTCTAACATTCTATGCCAAATGTTCATGCATTTGAGGATGCAGGAAAAAGCTTCAATTGCTTTTATCAGCTTCTCAGAGGAGTTGATGGCCTTAGGAAGCCTTTAAACTCGTTTAAGAGGTTCCCAGTAATTAAAGTTTTATTTGGATTCCTTTTTATTCTGCATGTTCAGAAATAAAATATAGCAAAAAAAAAAATGAGACGAAAGGAAAGGAAAATGAAAGAAAGTAAAGGAAAACCTAACACCGTATGCGGAAATCATGATAGAGGAGGAATAAAGAATTGGAGTGGTTTTGGAAAAGAGAAGGTCCTAAGTAATGGAGAAACATCTTCCAGTGCCTCTAGGAATAGCAGTGTGGAAGAAGAAACTTGGGGAGACTCTTGAGAACAAAAGTAAGGCACAAGGCAGAATCCCACTCTACATAAAGAAGAGCCTTCCAACAACAGAGCTGTACAAGAGTAAAGCAGGTTGCCATGTAAAGTGGTGATCTCCCTGTCATTGGAGGTATGCAGAGAACATACTGGGAATTTCTGCACTGAGGGGAGAATGGTGGGGGCAGGGGAGAAGCAGTAGACAGACACTTTTTCCTTCCTCCTTAATTGTACAACATAAAATTTTACATAATTTAAAAGTTCGATTCAACGTTGAGGTTATAGAAATCAAACATTTGCTGAGATTTTATTAGACCTTAAGCCCTAAGGGTCTATGGATATGGTATGATTTAAAAATACATGGCAACATAATTTGGGGGCAGGTTCAAAATTTCCTCAAATAGCCACCTTTTTGCTGTATGTAATTCTGCATCAGATCCAATGAGTCTTCCCATGGAATTGACTCCAAGTTCCAACACCAGGTCATTATTTACTCAAGGCCCTGGGCAGAGCACAAGATGTGCAATGTGACGATCCCACTTGTGTGTAAAAAGTACCTTTTGCAAAAGCTTCCCATTCCATGTGAAATGCAGCGAAGCCCATTACTAAACCAGATCTGCCCTCTCCCCATTGTCAAAGCACCACTTCAGGGGCCCCCACACCTTCTTTTCGCTTTGAGCTCCAAAACTCCTCATGCCACCTTCATCTCATTCTGCATAGTAACTACCTTCATGTTAAATCCACAGACAGTGCCTTGTTAAGGAAGACTAAATGCAGCTGTGGCTGAAACCTCACTCAGCAAGGAAGTCCACAATCTTGCTCCCATTCACTCACTCACACAGTGTGGCATCCCCACTGTGAATCCCCAGTGTTCCTGAAGGGCTCCTGAGGAGAATCAGACAATTTCCCAGTCTTCCAAGTATCCATGGTCAAGCGGAGCAGATGGACATGAGCAACAAGCCAAAGTTACTGAAATTGAAGTGCTCACCACCCCCAGCCCAGGAGGAGGAATCCTTTATAGAGAATGGACACAGCTGATACAAAGGCAGAGGGCCACACATGGTGTGCCAGGTCAAGGCGAATGCTCTGGATGCCTGGGACACAGGCCCAAGGAAGGAGTGGGGAACTACAACCTCATATATCCACAAACATTGCTTTCTTCCTTTTAGCTGCTTGCTCTTGTTTTCTAGACAACTTCTCTATGAAGCATCCAAGATCCCACTCCACTTCCCAAACTACCAACACCAATTCAGAGTTGTTTCTTCTCAGAGCAAAGCTATGATTTGGTCATTACAGCTCTCTAGGGCAATGGTTCTCAACCTTACTGTACTCAGGACATACTTTCAAATCATATAAAATTTTGCAGCATTCTTGAAGGATTAAAGACCTAAAATTACACCAGGTAAGTCTGCAACCATCACCATGCCCTCCCACTGCAGTGTGACTGTAGCTGTCTTACAGGTCTATCATAGCTCTGATTGCACTTGGTTACCATTCAGCACCGTGGTGCTGTCCACTGCCCCGACCATGTTCTTTTATATGCTCTCACGGCAAAGTCCTCCGGTGTTCCTCTTCCATGGCAAGAGCTGACTTTTACTTACAGCAAATTAGACTCTATTCAACATCTCTCTGCTTGTGAATACTCAGGGCTCCACCTGAGAGATGCTACAATAATTTGTAGACTTGGTTGTAGCAAACATAAATTTTAAACGCTGATCAAAATTTAGCCACACATCGGCAGAGAATTTTTTTGAGTACACCACTGTGCTCACAGCACACAGGCTGAGAACCACTGGTTGTTGAAATAGCTTGCATTTTTCTGTCTTCTACCAATACCTTTTGTACATGGGCCCCTAATATCTATCTCTGTCCTTTGCCTCTCACCCTCATTCCAATCTATTCCTTATTGTCCATTGAGACACCTCAATTTCGAGCTTGCTACCAAATCCAATACAACCTAAGAACCAATGGTGGGATTTTTCTTCCAAACCCAATCGCTGTGCTTCCTGACCACCTCATTATCAGCTTCCACGGGTGTGTATTAGCATCTTTTACATGTCAGAACTTTCACATTCAATCCTCACATCTCCTCTAGAAAGACTGACTTTGTGCTTCTCTCCCACCGATTTAGAGCTTGATCATACAACTTGCTTTGGCCAGTACACTATCAGCAGATGTGAAATATGCTACATTTGAGTAGAAGTTCTTAAAGATATTTCAGGTTGCTGCCAATCTCTTGTGCTTTTCTTCTCCTTCAGCCTGGGTCTCAAAGTGAGGAGATGCACAGAGCAGACTCACTACCCACCAGTAAACAGGGGCAAAGTTACAGCCAACCCACAGCCCTCATGTAGCATGAGCAAAAAATAAGTGTATATTGTTGACACCTTGGGGTTGTATGCTATGGAGCAAAGCTAATACACCATCCCACGGTAATAATAATAAGAGCTAATCCACATTGCATTTAATATGTGCAGGCACTATTTTAAGCATCTTACACATATTAAGTCATTTAATTCTATGGGGAAAAAATCTTAGGAAATATCATTCTGATTTCCAAACATAAATCTGTACAGATAAAATTGATGCATAGAAAGAATAAGTGACTTGTCCAATTACATAGCTAGTAAGTAAAACAGCCAGGATTCAAAGCCAGATAGTCTGAGTTCAGAATCCACATTCCTACAAGCTGCTTTCATAATAACAGCATCTTACCTCAAGAACTTCCAGTGCCTTCCTATTAACCAAAGAAGAAGATCAGAGTGGCCTAGAACTTGGAACTGAATTATCTAATCCAACTCTCCCTGTCCAGAAAAGGAATCCGAGGCCCAGGGAGAGAAAGTGACTTGCTCAACATCAAATAACCCATTCATATCTAAGACACACTTAGAACCCACGTGTTATTTCCATCCCCTTGGGTGCATTCTCCCTGATTTCCAAAGCTTTATAGAATCCCCCCATAGCCCCACCCATTCACATGTATTTCCACTTCTGCGTCCTCTGATTCACCTGTGTGAAATATTCCACCCACCTTGCATGCCCTTCCCTTCCCTCAACCAATCAAGTCCCTCAACACCTGGCTGATGTCATCCTCCAAACCCCAAGAAGCCATCTCTTGTTGCTTCTGCCAGGGCTGAGTCATCTCTTCTCTGAATTCCTCTGACACCTGTGCCCTGTTCCGCAGCCTGCCTGCTTTCCTTCCTTCCTTCCTTCCTTCCTTCCTCCCTCCCTCCCTCCCTTCCTGTCTTTCTATCTTTCTCTTTCTTTCTTCTTTTTTGTTTGAGAGAGTCTCATTCTGTCGCCCAGGCTGAAGTGCAGTGGCATGATCTCAGCTCACTGCAACCTCTGCCTCCCAGGTTCAAGCAATTTCTCCTGCCTCAGCCTCCCGAATAGCTGGGATTACAGGTGCCCGCCACCATGCCTGGCTAATTTTTGTATTTTTAGTAGAGACAGGGTTTCACCATGTTGGCCAGGCTGGTCTCAAACTCTTGACCTTAAGTGATCTGCCCACCTTGGCCTCCCAAAGTGCTGGGATTACAGGCACCCTTTAGTCTTTCTTAAGTTGTTTTATGTGCATGCACTTTGTCACTTAGATGGCAAGATAATTAAGGTCAGGGACACACACACACACACACACACACATGCTTGCCCACCACACCTGCTGGTTAGCTACCATTCTGAATTTTCATTTCCTCAAAGACACAGCCTGAGTTTTCAGAACAGAGCTATGACCTGTTAGATATTTACTATGTGCCATGCACACTCATGTATGTTGTATTGTGTGTGCTCCATGTATTCAGTCTTGGCCATGTTTATTAGAAGAAATGGGCATTCACGGTTAAGGTGGTATAGTTACGTCACTTTCACTTTTATGTCCCCTCTGAGACATTTTTAAGAATTTGATTTAAACAAAATAATGTTTTCCCTAAAAATGGTCCACTTCTTCCTCTCTGATCATGACCTTGACATCATGGAGGGTGTTTGCTTCTCTGCCCTAGATGACAGATGCTCAGAGTCAGTAGTGGATGACTAATCATGGCCACTCCAGTGTCCTAATCACTGGCACATTTGTTCTGTCCTTCCTTGATCCTCAGTCCTGCTATTCGACTTCCATCTGATTTCACCATATGCATGACAAATCACTGTGGACATCTCAAATCCTTTGTGTAAAAAGGCAGGGAATCAACTGGATATCCATAGATAGGCTGAATGTCACCCTTGGGAAAAAGCATAATAGGCCTCACACATTTTTTGCATACTTGCAAATTAGAGCAACAAATCGAGCCTGATGTGATTTTTACTTGATCCTTCTTTCCTGATCATCTTCACTGTTTAATCAAACACACACACACACCCCCACACCCACACACAAACACATTTACACACCACAGACATACACTTACATTTACATACACACTGGCACTCACACACACAACTATGCATGCACACACACACACGGGCAGTGGTTTTCCTAGCACGCAGACCAGCCCACCTATCCTCCCTGCTTGAATGCAAGCTCTCCTTCCTCCACTGGCCAATGAAGAACCTTTACAAGCCTCTGAATCTCTCTGAGCCTCAGTTTACTCTTTGGGAAAGAGGGGTGATCTACCTAGGCTGCCTTTCTCACAGTTCTGTGCATAGAACTAGGTGAGAGATAATGGCAATTGTGCCGAATGCTTGGACTAGAGCAAAAACACATGTGATCGGTACTCATGAAGCTTCATTTTTAATAATACCCCGTCATCATCATGGTGGACACTCTTTACTCCTCTCACAACTGAGCAGGCCTCCCCACTTCGGTAGCTCTATTCAGAGCCAACAGCTTCTGCAGGGCTAGGAAGCCATGTGCCTTTGTTTGCTCAGAGCCACACCCAGGATGCTCTACTCACTGCAGTGGGCACAAGAAGCCGCTTCAGCTAAGTTAATCCCCAAGTGTGCCATTCATTAAAAAAAAAAAAAAAGACACGCATGAAAGAGAGCTTTATAAATATTTCACACAGTCCTTGGGGGCAGGAGCTAAGTGTTTCTGCTTTTTTGCTCTTCCGTCTCTAACCGGCTACTATATTGTCTCAGAAAAAGGCCAAGATGGAAAAAAGAGGAAGACACCACCATCATCGTCAACATGAGCAGAACGATCAGCCTCCTTGCCTTTGCCCATGCTGCGCCCCTGCCTGTGATGCCCCTTCACCTCCCCCACTCTAGCTCCCACCTCTCCAGGCTCTGAACTCATTGGCAAAGCTACACCCTTATCCCCACTGTGCAGATGAGACAGCTGAGGCTCAGAGGGGCACAGGATGACCCAGCAACAAGCAGGTGGGGACCTGGGGATGAAGCTGAGAGCTATGCCTGCTACACCAGCACTTCTTCCCATGAACCACACTTGATCCTTTCCAAGCCCCCAGGTCTCTCCACAGGCCACACACCATGGCTGTCAGAAACATCTCAACTGCCTTCATGATTTGATCTAACTGTGCAGCGGTTGCCCTGGGAAGCAGAGGGTGGGCTCTCCCGAGGCCGTCTTTCCTTCAGTTTCTCCAGCATGCCAACTCCTTTACCTCTGGGGCCCCATGGGCTCCACAAAGAACCCTGCTCTCCTCCTGTCCCCTCTGTCTCCCCTAGGACAAGGCTGAGTGTCCCTGCTGGGGTTTCTTCCGCCCCGCCGTATGATACCCTTAACACTTCACTAACACTTCAGGCTGAAATGTCAGCCTTGGCTAAGCTCTAGAAGGGCCAGGGCAAACCCATTCATCTCCTTCCCACTCTTCCTGGCACCCAGCACTGTGCTTGGTATGGCAGTCATTTGACAAGTTAATGCAAACCCACTAACAGCCAATGGGTTTGCCTTAACTTGTCAAATGACTACTATGGAACACGTTAAGGTGCAGCCATTTGAAAAGCCACAGTGCTCACCCATTTGTTACATGGCATTTAAGGCAGGGATCTGGTTCCTGTCACAACACGTGTATGTGTGTTATTAGCAAAAGGTACTCAGGAAGATGAAAGGTCCTATACAGTGAAGCCCCATTCAAGTGGATCCTCTCTGATTTGCTGAAGGTTTTGATTTGTTTAAAACCACAAACGCTTCTGGCTGATGTGGGCCAAATGAACACAAATGATCCTCATCAAGGCCCTCTTTCCCAGGAACTAAGCATAACTTACAGCCTCTCTCCTTCCCATGCTCATTGAAACCACCTTTAGAGGCTGCTGGAACCACCCATTTGATTTCTCTTTACACACAAGTTGACTAATTGTTTCACAGGAAGAACTAAAGCAGCAAGACCTGTCGGCAGATCTGAAGCCCTTACCATGCACCTAGCACACTAAATGCTTTGGAGGGTCACCTAGGATGTTCAGGAGTCCTGTGAAGGGGCCTACATCGTACAGCAGAGCACTGAGGTTCAGAGAGGCATCAGACACCCAGCTCCATCGGCTGGAAAAGCCTAGGCATCTCCACTCCAGAGGGCAACAGGCAGTAGGCCTGGTGACCACTTCAGCTTAGCAGACTGGGACTGCACACTTTCAGAGGCAGCATCCCACAGACCTGCCTTGCAGGCCATCCTATTAAGTTTCCACCTTGGAGACTGGGGACCTGAGAGCAGCAGAGACCTTCTGTGGGCACACAGCCTCAAACCCAGAACTCCTGACTCCTGAGTCACTGCATCACCCCGACCCCATCACCTGCCTCAGTTCCCTTGGGAGGCAGGGTTAGAGGGTCCCAAGGCAGGGACTTGTTCAAATATCACCTGCCTTCTTCTCACATTGCCCAGGAGGAAGCAACCATATGTGTTCTAGTGATTCTTGACCAACTAGTGTTTACGAATGGGCCGCTTACACCTCTGCGTCTCAGAGGGCAGAGCTGAGAGACGGAGAAGAGGTGGTGCCCACCCTCTGGATGGGGGCTTGGCAGAGGCCTGCTGACAAGAGCTGAGGCTGGGCCCAGGAGGAATTTTCTAACTCAAGACTCAGCCCAGAGCTGGGGCGGATGCAGGACAGTGCAGGGGAGGCAGGGGGCCTGGGTTCCCTCCTGACCTTCCTGTGGTGGAAGCCCTCAGCCCATGCTCTAGCCTCAGGGAGCTTTACGTGGGTAATGCCACCCGCAAAGCCTTGCTGCCACCATTTAAAGAAACAGGCCTGCAATACACGGGACAGGCCACTGGCAGGTGAGTGCAAGTGTCAATACCTCCGCCTACCTAAGGCTGCCCTCTGGCAGGTGCCCTGCGACTGTCCAGGAGCCTGAATTTTGCATAAATGAGCAGGCTGGGTCTCCAGTAGTCAAACCTCTGGAGTCACCCTGGAGGATTCCACCACGCCCAGAATCCCGCCTCCCGGCCCCGGGCTGCTCCTGCATACATGGGCTCCAGTGGTCCGCATCCCTCAGGAACAGTCAGGCTCCACGCTGATGCCAGGCAGGAACTGGGGCGGAGGGCCAGCTCCTGACCGCTGCGCCCTCAGCTCCCCACCCCGAGACAAAGCGTAAAGACGGGGATTCCTTTGTTTCCGGCCACACCCAGGGACGCAGCCCGGCTGTTCTGCCTCCACCACCGTCCCCACCCTCTCGCGGCCCAGCGTCGGGAACATTAACCCTTCCCGGGCCGCAGCCGCCAGCGTCGCCCCATTAGGTTATTTTTAGCTGCGGGGAGGGGTGGACCGAGCTTCCATCATGGCGCTGTCCCTAGGTCCGGACTTCCACTCCATCAGTAAAGGCGGGGAGTGGGGAGCGCTGGATGATCTTTTTCCCTCCTCCAGCGGGGGAGGTACCGGGCTGTGGGGTGCATGGGCCGGACGGTGCGGGGGCCGAGCCAAGGAGGCTCAGCTCACCCTCCCACCCCCGCGCGAGGCCTGCGGGGAGGGGGTTCGGACCCCTGCCCCTCCCTCTTTTGTTCGGCTCCGCATCCTCCCTGTCCACGCCATCCTCTGGCACATCCCGTGGGGGGAGGGGGCGGCAAGCCCGCGGGGAGAGGGACTCCCGGCTCCAGCCCCGCCCCGCCATGCGGGGCTCCCCCACCCCCATTGTCCCCAGAGGCTGGGGGAGGGGGCTGAAATCCCGAGACCGGCCCCGCCCCACCCGCGGCGACGCAGGAGGCCTCGGGGGGCGCCCCTGCCGGCGCCCCGTGGATCTGGACCCTGCCGGGCGCCCACTCCCAGCCCACAAAGGCCAGCGCGGGGCGGCGGGGGCGGGGGCCGCTTACCGTGATGTGCGGGATGCTCTTCTTGCCCTGGTACGACATGGCCCCCTCTGGCGCCCTCGGCCCGGCCGCTGACCTGCGGGGCTGTCTGACTGGAACCGGCGCTCTCGGCCCCGCTCCCAGCGGGCGCGCTGACAAAGGCCCGGGAGGGATAGAGACACGGACGGAGGCTCGGCGCCCGTGGATGCCCACGCGCGGCTGCCCCGGCTGCTCGGCCCGCCCGCCGCCGCTCCGGCTGCCAGCACCGCCCGGATCGGCGAGGAGGGCGGGAGAAGGAGGAGGGAGAGGCGAGGGCGGGAGGAGGGGGCTGCAGACAGCTCCTCCCGGCGGCGCGGAGCGAAGCCGGATTCGCCCCTCTCGGCTCGAACCAGGAAGCGCTTCCCTTCCGATCTCCCACCCCGCCCCCCGCCCCCCACCCGCCCAGCCCCGCCGACCCCCGCCCTGCGCACACGCCCTTGGCGGGCCCTGGCCTCGCTCTCGCGATCCAGAGAGTATGGTTTTCAGGGCTCCTTTAAAAGAAAAAGACGGCGCGGTCAGGGCCCGCGGGCGGCGCCACAGGTGTGTGGCCGCGCGTCTGGAGGCCTCCCCGGAACATCTGCGGGGGTGTGGGGGGAGGGAGTGTGGGACGGGGGCCAAGGATCGGCCCAAGCTGCTGGGAACGTTCTTGTCCCTCCAGGATCGCGCCCAAGGACCGCTCCCCTCTTGCCTCTCCTTCCATAGCCTCCGTTTATCCTTCCCGAGTGCCTCTCCCTGAATGCACCAAGCACTTTTTCCATCTCGGACCCCAAGCCTTTATTCACGCTGTACCCTCTCCCTGAATAGTCTACCCCAGACAAAAGCCTGTCCACTCCCCTAGACCCATCTCCAATGCCTTCCCCACCACGAAGCCTCTCCCTGCCACCCTCTCCATCCTAGCATTGAACCAGCCCTCCCTGGGGGCCTCTAAGGTGGAGCCCCCTAACTGGCAGAGGGAACAGCAGGGACAGAAGGGTACGGCCTTAATTAATGCTGACCTGTTCTACTCCAACAGCAGCTCCCTCATCACACAGCAGCCTGACACTGGGGCCACCAGGTCACCCCACAGAATTGCCTCCAAGACAGCAGGTGTTTGGAGGGCTGGGCCACTGGCACCAAGGTCTCCACAGCCCTGGGGACAAGCTGGGGGTCAGGAGGAGGACTAGGGTGCTCCTGCCTCCCAGCACTGTGGACACCAGCCCCGGAGTCCATGATCCAGATGTTGCTCCAGAGGGAGGTGGGCAGGAAGCCAGGTCACAGCTTGACAAGGTCCGTAACAGCAGAGGGGAAAAGATGAAAGAAGATGGAGGAAAAGGGGGAGCCCCAGCAAGCCCCAACCTCACTGGACAGGTGCCCCAAGTTCCCAGGCAGAATAAAACACCAACCTTGTCCACCACTTCGTTGTTCATTTTCTGCATGCGAAATCCAACCCCACAGGTCCTATGAAACTACTCATCTTTTCTGCTTTCAAGTTGCCATCCAGAGCGAGGGTGGCCTAGGCTTGGTACAGCTCCCCCAGCACTGTGGTTGGGGGCTGGGGCCCTGACCTTCACCACCCCAGGGGCCAGTCCCCTAATCCAGGGCAGGAGGCCAGAGACACCTGGGCCTTAAAATAGAGGTGAGGTTTTAGCTTCACAGAGAAGCCAGCTCAGTATCCCAGGAACACTAGGCATAATTTTCCCATTTTACAGACAGGAAATTGAGGCTTACAGAGGTAAAATGATGTACCCCGGGTGCAAAACATATTAGCTGCAGCAAAGCAGCATGGAGATGCCAGGTTCCCCTACACTCTGTTTACAACTCATTTCCCTCCACGCATTCATGCATCCCTGGCTCTCAGCGGGGCCTAAAATCCCTGTCAATGACCGGAAATTGCAGATGGGGACACTGTCCCTCCCCAACTCCTACACTCCCTTCCTTGGAGTTGTTAAGTCCTAGGTTCCCCGTACCAGGGCGTTCCCTGGGGTCAGTCTGGAGATCTGAGCAGAAAGCCCCTACAGCAAGGGACAAGACCACGTGCGTATCAGGGGGAGGAGCATCCGCCTGCCACTGGCCAAACAGATCGCTGCTCCCAAGCAGATTTCGCCGGTACAAAGCGCCGCAGCCGCTCAGCCTCCGGCAGCGGCAATCCTTGCGCCTGCGCCGCAGAAACCCCTCCTGCAGCCCAGGGAGAAGCCTGGTGGGCGGGGGGGGAAGGGCCGGGGCACCCGTTGCGAAGCCCTGGAGCGGTGAGGCCCGCCCCGGAACCCGAGCCCACTGTAACCCAAGCCTCAAGGCCGCTCTGCCGGCAGAAAGTAAAACCCTCCCTCCGTGGAGATCGCGAGCCCCTGAGTTCCACAGTCGCGAAGCTCGAGTGCTTTCGGAGCCCCGGGAGCGCCAGAGGCGCTGCCTTTTGTCCGGTGCCTGAGAAGCCATGGAGAAAGGCAGAGGGGACCACAGGGAGAAGAGGAAGGAGTAGGGGAGAGGAACGGGAGAGGTGAAGCGACCAGCGTCCCCAAGGGTCAGGGCGCAGCTGCGGGGCTGGCCCAGGCTGCGCCCTGGGGGAGATGCTGGCGTTGGTGACATTGACCGCAGTTCCAGAGGAACTCTCCTTGGGACAGCTACGGGCCGTGCACAAAGCGCCCTCGCCTCCCTAGTACTCCACCACGCTTTGAGGAAGGCCGGAAGAAGACGGCCACCCCCATCTGACAGATGGAGAAGCTGAGGCCCAAGAGAGCAAAGCGCCTTGGCTGGAAACCCGGATTCCCTGGTGCTGGTCCCGCTTCTCGGCCCGCGGCCCAGAAGCCTCCCCATCGGGCTCGGGAGTTTGGATCCCAAGAGAGGTCGGACCACCAGGGAAGGTAGTGGACAGGGGGAGATACAGAAGGGGTGGGGGAAGAGGAAGCTGGACTCTCGCACCATCTCCCTTTCTGATCACCCCACCACCACACACACATACACACACACACACACACACACACACACACACACACACCCTTGCTGTTGGACCTCTCCCTCGCGAGGCTCCGGCTTCAGGACCACGGAGAGCTCTGGAGCAACAGCCCGCCCGCGAAGGGATGGGGCCCGAAGAGGCCCACCACCGTGTTTACCAGTTCCCTGCTCCTATTCCTCCAGGAAGCCCTCCCAGATATCTGCCCCGATCAAGCTCTGCTTCCCTCCAGGCTCACTTTGGGTCACTCATAGCATTTAAGAGGGGAAGGTTTAATTAAAATGATAATGATTGTAATAAAAGTCAACAACAAACATTTATTGAATGCTCACTACCGACCGGCATTAACTGATTTAATTCTCACAATGAATCCGTCGCTCACCCTAGCCTGGGAACTTCTGGAGGGTGGGGCCAGGTTGCTGAGCCAGGGACCTAGCGCCTACCCTGGGCCTGGCACCTAGCAGTTCTCCGGCATCCAGGTCTGGACCAATTCGAAAGCTCCCCAGCCCTCGGATGCTCCAACTTCCGTTTTTCTGGCACCTGACCCTGGCTCTCGTCGGTCCATCCAAAGGCTACGCCGTCCATCCGCCCTTCTTCCCCCAGTTTCCTGGTGACCCCCAGCTCAAGAGAGAATACCCGCAGGGCCCAAGCCCTAGCGTTCCCTCTCCCTGATCCTCCCGGCCCCATGCTCAGGTCCGGGAGGCCAGAGACCCCAGTTCAAATCCCAGCTCTACCTCCACCTTGCTCTGTGAAGCAGGCACATCGGTGTGTGCTGTGGAGCTCAGGAGTGCCCCTTGAATCTACTGGCGCTTGAGGGTAGGGGTTTACGGCTCCAACTGCCCGACGAACTAAATCCTTAACCAAATCCTTCCCCCCAGCAAGCATGAGGGGAGCGCTCGGAAAAAAAGCTCCTTCCAGCTTTAAGCTGTGTGGCCGCAGGCGACTCGCGGAACCTCTCCCGGGGCCCGGCACACAGTAGGTGCTCTATAATTACTACCGACTGAGTGGATGGATGAATGGACCAACACGGAACGGAGCTCCAGTTCTTTTCACAAAACAGAATGAGGGGCCTGGGTTAGATTCATCCCAGAGGTTCCTTCGCGTTTAAGCGTCCATGCGGTAGCTTTAGCCAACTTCCCCTCTCAGAACCTCTCTCCCTTTCTGTAGAAGAGGAGCCGGGACTGGACCCGGGCGATCCCTTCCGAGTCTCACGGACCACGCCGGCCAGCCCCGACCGAGTCGCCCCAGCTCTGGGAACCTCTTGCATGATGAGGTGGGGGAGGGGCCGCGCCGTGGCTCTCCCCAGCCTGGCGGCCGCTGCCCCAACACCGGGGCCCGGGCATGGCCCTCGGGCGCCCCATGCCCTGGGTCCTCCCGGGGCCCGCCCCCCTCGTCTGGCCCGCGCGCGCCCCGAGGGTACCTGGCCATTGTCCCGGCCGAGGGGCAGGTCGCGGGGCGCGGGGCGGCGGATGCGCAGCGTCGGCGGCCGCTCGTCGCGCTCTCCGGGAGAGCTGACCGCGGAGCCCGAGGGCTCGCTCACGTCGCTGGCCGTGTCCTCGCTGCCTCCCGGCCCTGGCAGCCCGACCGCGTCGGGCCGGCCAGCGCTGCGCGGCGTGCGCGCCGAGCCGCGGCGGCCCACACTGTAGGCGTCGAAGTCGATGGTCTTGTTCTCGTAGGCGCCCTCCACCGCGGCGAACATGCCGCCGTACTTCTGGCGCGGGGTCTGCGCCGCGCTGCCCGGCCGCGCCAGGTACACGGGCAGGTCGTCCTCGGTGTTCCACGCGCGCCGCCGGTCCGCCATACCCGTCCAAGGCCGGCCACCCACCGCGCTCCCGCCTGCCCGCCCGCGGCCCTGGGCACCGCCGTGCGCCGCGCTCCGCGCCTCGGTGCGGGCCTGCGGCGGCCCGGGCGCGACTGCGGCCCAGGGAGGGGAGGGGCGGGGCGTGGCGCGCGCCGGGGCGGGGCCGGGGCGGGGCCTCTGGGCGGCTGCGGGCTAGCGGCGCGGCCAGCTACAAAGGACCAGGAGGCGGGGATCGCGGCTGGGGCGGGGAGGGACGGTGACGCTCCCGAGCCGCAGCGCGGAGGGCGGGCCGCGGCACCGCAGTGCCCTCGCCGCACCCCCCACTCTCCGCCCCCAGGCGGAGCGCAGGGCGCGAGGAGAGCGCGGGGCAGGAGCCGTGTGCGTACACTCGCGCGCCCACACGCTCTGGAGGCACACGCGGGTTCATACCTGCACACCAGACAATTACGCCAAACACATGAGAGATGCACAGACATGCTGGCACACACACGAGAGTCAATCACACATGCTCTCCAGAGATACACAGGGGCTCGATCATGCACACCATACTCAATGTTGCACACACATACACATATATGCTTGTGCACATTCCGAGTTCATTACAAACACACAACAGAAATCCTCATTGTCTCACAACCCCACTCACACACAGTATCACACCAAGATTAATTGCACAACTGGAGAGGCACATGCGTTGGACACACCGTTCATTCCGTCAGTTTTATTTTGCTGAGCGCCCACTAGTGCCTAGCACTGTTGTAGGAGCTGGGAACAGAGCCATGGACAAAAGAGACCAAGTGCCTGCCCTCCAGGAGCTGACCTGCTAAGGAGGGGAATTGGATACAAAAGCACCCATATGGTGGGCCAAGAGGTGGTAAGGGCCAGGAAAGGTGGTGCAGCAGCCAAGAGGGACATGCTAGAGGCACACTCCGACAGACACATAAGAGAAGCACATTCTTGCATGAGAATCAGCGACACACACATACACGTGCACGCCAATGACACCACACAACACACCAATATCAAAGGCAAGCTCAGGGCGATTCCACACATGTGCATCATAAACTGGCAACAGGATGCCCACACACAAGTCCACACCAGTAATAAAGGAAGTCAAAAGCTTAAATAAAAACGCTCCAGAGAAAGACACACAGAGACAGAGATGACCACACACACACAGCTGGCAGTCAACCAGACAGACAGATATTCCCTCATTCGAGGGGCACAGTCCACTTTTGTTGCTCCTGGAGCTTGCAGTCTGGGCGTTCTGGGGTTTCTCTGTCGTGGAGGTCGCTCTGCTGGGGCTCTCCTCTAAGGCCAGGCACCACCTGCCTCCTATAGACACCTTCCCTTATTTCTCCACGATTATCAGGCAGAGGATCCTGCAAGTCCCTGGGGACCCTACAGTCCCAGCTGCACTTCCTGGAGAGGCAGAATCGCCAGCTGCCGACCCCCTCCTCGAGCCAGTCTAGACAAGCAAAGTCAGGACTGGGTGGGGACTGCAGAGGGGAGCATCAGTGCTTCTTGCAATGTCCCCCCACCCATAGCCTTCCATGCTGGGAGCTGTCCCTTCAACCCCGGGCCCTGCCAGCTGCAAGCCAGAGCTCCCGCAGCGTGACCAAGCTCCAGGAATACCAGACAGACAGATGGATTCATGTTCTTGTTTTATGACTCTTGGGCCCCATGGACTGAGGATCCTGGGGCCGTCGGATCCGTGGCCTCAGCTGACACCTCCCTGAAGCTACTGTCTTTCAACCCTGCAACAAGGGGTCTGTGCAGCAGGTAGGTATTTTTACCGGCCCCCTCTTGGAAGAGGAAACAGGAGGGGAGATGTGAAATGGCTCCCTCAGGGCCTCAATCTCAAGGAGGTTCAGCCAGGCCTAGAGCGTGGGCTCATCCACTCGGTGGGCATTTAGCAAGTTATTTTTCTGTGCTTGAGAGAGAGGCTAGTGTGGGGACACAGATGAGTATTTCTAAGTCTCTGTCTTCAACAAGTGTTTACTCTCATGGGGGAGAGAGTGCTGAATGCGAGAACAGAAAGTTCCACACACAGCCTCCATCTACCTTCCACCCACCGCAGCTGCATCCTGGCTCCTCTCTCCTTGTGTCCCTGGGTCCACTGTGCAGATTTGCCACAGACACTCCTCTTGAGGCCCATCAGCCTCCAGGCTATCTTGCAAGTGTTTTCGATTTTTCAATGAAAATTTTTCTCTGTCCTGTGAAATACTATTCCCAGCCCATTCCAGGCAAGAACAATTCATGTCGAAAACCACATAGAAATTTCTTCTAAAACCCCACAAATGTTCAGGGTGACATAACCCAGAGAAATATCAGAAAACTCAAAAGTCTGAGTTAGGTGGAACTTTGGAGGCCAGGCCTCCTACTGCATGCTTGAATCTGCTCTCAACATCTTGAGGACACAGTCTCTCAGGCTTTGTTGGTGGTGATGGAAATCTTACTGCTTCTAAAGAAAACCCTTTCCATTGTGAGAAAGGGCTGGGCAGTTGCCAAGACTAGAGGGAGTGACGCAAGGAAGGAGCTGAGAAAGTGCTGTCTTTATGCAGAAGCAGGAAAGGATCTTCATAGCTTCTGCTTATAGAAAGTTTACTACGTGCCCGGACCATGGTAAGCACCTAACAGATAGTAACTCTTTTATGCCTCGCAGCAACCTTGAAACTGCCATTTTAGCCTCATTTTACAGATGAGAAAACTGAGGTTCAGAGACATAAATAACCTGTCCAGGGTCACAGCTGGCAAGTAAGACTTCGAGGTTTAAACAGAGTAGTCTGGTGCCAGAGTCCACATCGAAACAACTACCCTTTCCTCTCCCCAAGAGCCTGACTGAGGTGGTCCCACTGGGAGATAAGAGATAAAGGGACCTAGTTTAGGCAGAAGAGTCTAGGTGGTTGAGTTAGAATCCTGTTTTGCATGCAGTCTTGGGCAACTAATCATTCGACATTCATCTAACACACCTTTGTGGCGCCCACTGCGTGTCACTGACTTTATATCACTTCCTCTCACTCTTTTCTCCCCATGCAGAGGAGGCGATCGGACCCTCCTGAAACTGCATACTGTGTATAAGGGTCCTTGCACACACAGTTCATTTCCGTGCATCATGCTCTGCCTTATACACTGCTGGCTCCCTCAGGCAGCCCCACGTGGCGAACCAGGCCACTTCCATCTTCAGGCTGGAGCGCTGAGGATGACAAACCTTAAGCCCATTGCTCAGGTTAACCACCGGGAAGTGACTAACCTGGGATTTCAACTCAGGTTTGTCTGAGTTTTTTCCACACCATCTCATCTCAAGGTCAGTAACCCAAGCGCAACAGAGAAAGGGAGGAAGGAAACAAAACCCAGGGTATAAAGTTGGAAATGCACCCTCCAGCTTGCACGGAGACAGAAAGGAGCAATATTTGCCAGGGACCAACAGAGGCAGCAGGGGAAGCCTGAGATAACTGCCCCCATCCTGACGACAGCTGTGACCTCCCCCATCCCCCAACCCATCCTCCAACTGCTCCTAGTCCTCCTGGGAAGGAGTTCTTATAAGTGAATTACAGCACTACATTTGGTGAAGGACAAACCTTGAGCTCATCATGTCAGACATGAAACCTTCTTCCTGGGTGATGGCAGAGAACAGAAAGGGACACGTCAGATGGGAGAGGACAAGAGGCCAGTTCAGGTCCGATGTGGATTTTGTTTCGGCAAACCAAAAAAAAAAAAAAAATTCGTTCATTCATTGCAAAAAGAATGTTTTCAAAAAATGAAGGAAAGGGGATTGTAGTTTATCATCAGGTATATAGTAATGGATTATTGTCCTCATCTCAGATATAAGAAAAGATGTTCAGAGAAGTTAAACAAGTAAACATGTTCGGTTACATGGCCAGCAAGTGACAGAGATGCAGTTCAAATCCAGGCTCATTTGATTTTTAAATGTCTGCTTTTTTCTGTGGCCTCCAAATTAGTACATATGGGACTGTGGTGGGCAGAATAATGATGCTCAAAGATGCCCACACCTGAATCCCTAGAACTACTGCCCATGTTACTCCACATGGCAAATGGGACTCTGTGGCTCTGCTTACAGATCTTAAGATGTGGAGATGATCCTGGATCACCTGGTGGAGCCAGTGTCATCACAAGAGTCCTTTTAAGTGAGAGAGAGGCAGGAAAGTCGGAGTCTGAGAACGGGAGATCAGAGAACAGAAGCAGAGGTCAGAGTGAGAGAGATTTGAAGAGGAAGGAAGGGGCCACAAGCCAAAGAATGTGGGCAACTCCAGGAGCCAGAAAAGGCAAGGAAACACTTTCTCCCTGGAGCCTCCAGAAGGAAGGCAGCCCTGCCAACATCTCGGTTGTAGCCCAGGGACTCTGACTTTCAGAACTACAAGATAATGAATGTGAGTTGTTCTAAGGCAATGGGTTCATGGTCATCTGTCAAAGCAGCAATCAGAAATCACTACATGATTATAAAGGAAATCATTTAATTATTTGTGCAAAGTGGATTTGAGTACCAAGAAAAGCATTTATTCCCCACCAAAAATCAAGGGAATCCTAGCTCCATTGCCTTTTTCTGTTACGTCAGGGTCGACAACACTTTGTAACAAACCATCAATAAATAAAACATTCAGAAGGGAAAAAAACCCTTTAATTGTGAAAAAGCATACATTTTAATGTACAAAATTACACAAATTATACATTTAACTCACATAGAAAAATACATCTCAGTAACAAGAGAAAATGCCGGCCTATTTTACACAAATGGAGCGATCATTACAAATCCTGAAAACCCAGAGGGAGGGTTGAGCCCGACCCACAACTGGTCAGGAATCCAGTGAACATCTCCACGGACTGATGGTTTCACTGCAGGCAGGCCCCGGAGGATAGCTGCCCCAGGACCCGAGGCAGGTCCTGCTGAAGAGCTTCCGGAGGGGAGGTGTCGGGTCCTGTCGCTGGACCACTCCCGTGTGAACCAAGGCAGCTCACTCCGGGGAGGGGCAGGACTTGGCCTGCCAACATTCTCAGCCTTGAGTTTATGAATGAGGGCGCATAGGAGACCTTGTAGATTCATGCAACCGCAAGGTGTACAGTTATTGTGCATTTGGGATTCAGCGGGAAAGTACACAATTTCTAAACTGATGTCTGTGCTTCACAGCTTTCATGTGATTTCTGCCCAGGATTCAACCTGGAAGAACTAAGGAGTCCACAGAGGTTCTACCAAAGTGAACTTGCCAGCCTCGCTTATCACTCTGCCAATGACACTCATGCCTCTTCCCTGCCTCACCTGCAAAAGCTGGTTGTGCAAACCCGAACTGTGGAAGAGATCATCTTATTCCCCCAACTCAGGTTGGTAGGATAGACCCCAGCCTCCCACCAAAATGTGTTTGTGCAGAGCCCATTTTCAAAGGGGTGAGGGAAGGCTCCCAACATCCACTGACATGCTGAGTGCTTTAAGAAGCGTGCTATTTCTTTAATCTTCACACCTTACCCACTGTTTCCATGGAGGACTTTGAGGTTAAGAGAGGTAGGTACCCTGTCCAAGCTTGCACAGTTAGTCGGCAGCAGAGCCGTCGCGTGTCTGGCCCCAAAACTCACTCTCCTACTGCTGTTAGGTACAGACCTTGTCCTTTTCCACTAAAGAATTAATGGCTATAACGTCACTGCATAGACATTTATTTCCCCCATCACTTTCAATGTCCTATCTACAAATATTGTATTACACGACTTTAAAAAGAAAATACTGACTCAAAGTTAGTATCAAGTTTTCAGCCATTTTTAACAATCCCATTAATTTGTCTCTCTCCTCCCTTGTTCTATCATCACATAAAGGGATCATCAGCCCATGCTTGGACACAGCCTGCTGGTGTTTTCAGAGACAAAAAAAAATGGTGTTGGAAAAAACTCATTTTTGAGCTATCAATTCTTCCATTAGTCTTTCCATTACTCAATACATTACATTTACACTAAAAATGCAGAAGTCAGACTTGTATAGGAGCTGTGCTTTCTGAAGCCAGAGTAGGATTTAGGGAAGTTCACATGGGAAAGAGAAAACCCAATCCTTCAATCCCAAGTCTACTGAGTTCTTGAAAGCAGTTTTAGGTCCAACGTACAAATTATCTGTTTTTAGAAATTCCCATAACACAGAGAAGAGGACTAAATACATTAACAAACCCCAGGGATCTTTTCCTTCTACACCACCTTAAGGCACCAGAGAACTTCCAATAATTTATTTCAAAGCTAGGTAGGAATGCAGTTTGCCATTGGTGCACATGCCGAAGACAAATCTACTTTTGTTTGCTTACCCAACTGGCAGATATATCTATCACAGAATATCTCTTTCTGCATATTCTGGAGTTTAGGATGCAAACAACTGCACCCAAGAGATTCATTTAGTGTGTCATTTACCACCCAATTATATTATCTGAACTTTCATGGAATTGTGCAGTGACCAGTCACCAAGAGCTCAGCTCCAGGCTCTGCCACAGCGGAGCTCAAAGCAGTAACACATCATGCATTTCATTTCTTTAAGAACCACCAGCTGTTTAAAAGGCCCTCTGAGGGTAGAGTTACAAAGCCAACTCATGGTCAAAAATTCTCCAGAGATGAGAAGTTTCCTCCTGTAGACTCTGAGGACACATTTCTTTCCTAGCTAGGAGCATAAATAAATATGAGTCTAGCACAGAAGAAACCCACAATAGCATTTTAGAACTTAAATAGCACAGGGAATGGGGGAGTGGAAAGAGACTATGTGACTGTATTCCCATGGTTCTCCCCCAGCTGCCCATTAGAATCACTGGGGAGCTTTTCAAATAGATCTCTGCCCAGGGCCCCACCCAATACAACTTGATTTCAGTGGCCTGGAGAGAGGCTTGGGCATCAGTGTTTTAAAAAGCTCTGCAGGTGAGTCCAACATGCAACCAGGGTGAAGAATCATCAGTACAGAATGCGGTCTTTACATCCTTCAAATGACCTGGAGGGGGTAAGTGGCAGGGCTGCAGCCCCTCTTACCCTGCCTGGACTCCCAGCCCAGAGCCCTTCCGACCACATGACACTGTCTCAACAGAGAAAAACAGGTTGTGTCTAAAATATGTCAGAAATGTCTCGCACCCTATTCTCAGAAGTTGGCTGAGTTCTCAGAAGGTTTCACGTTTCAGACCTAGAATTTCACCCTGGAACCAAAGGGGAACTGTGAATCTCTTAAAAGAAGCTCACCAGCCTGAAGATGAAAAGCCCCTCTCAAGTTTATAAAAGTTTACTCAATAAATTGCTGAGTAAAACAAATAGAAAGGACCCCAGCTGTAAAAGGACTTGCGTTCCCTGTTCTCTCCAATGATGGGTAACTAAACTCATATAATAATCTCATTCCAAAGCAATTCAAAAACCTTTGACCAGCTTTGGTGCTTGATTTCACACCGAGAAACTAGGTAAGGAAGGCTACGGAAGGGTGGATTTAAAGATCAATCATGTAAGTCTAGCCAAAAAGTAGGTGAGTTTCCAAGATATCCTGGGATTCAGGGCTTCCCCAGGGCGAAATGCAGGCATGAATTCCACACAAAATGAAAGAATTCCTTAAACTAACATCTATCACTAGATGATGCCATATAGATTGCAACCCAGTAGAAAACTAATTGCATCAGACCAAGACCTAAAATTCTGAATCAGCAGAGCCTGCCCCATGGCACGGTTGGAGAATACTGCATAATGACATCCGAACCACGTTCAGTCCCATTTGCAGTCAAGTGGCTTTGTCACTGGACCGCAGATGTCAGTTAACCTCATCTGGGAATCAGTTTCCTCGCCTGTAAAATGGGGAGGAGAAGGATGCTTACACTAGATGAAGTCTGAGGCTGTCTCCAGCTCCAACAATGGATGTTTCCGGATCTGTCACCTTAATCACTGACCTGCTGGCTTGCCTGGGAAGGGCAATGGCAGGGCCACTCTGAGCACACAGCCCATGTGTGTCACCCTCTGTATGTCACCATGTGTGTCACCATTTGTATGTCTTGCATTTGTTGCAGCCCATTGGTCTGCAGAGCGATCAAACCACACTACCTCAGCGTGTCCCCACTGCCGCCACACCTCCGACATACCTATTTTAAGAACAGTGCCTAGCAGTTCATGGGGAAACGTTGCTATGCCAACTAGCTGGCTGTTGCTAATCATAATCTATGAATGTGCAGTACAACCATCTGACAAGTATTTCTTCTCTGCCTTAGCCTGTGGACTTTCTTCCAAATTGTCATATGACAGATCACCTTGTTCATAATGGCACACAGTAGGTGTATAATAAATGTGCATTATATTAATGACATGAGTAAAGTATATGCACAACATGTAATTCTGCAAAATGCCTTCCCATCCAGTTTTTCCATTATTGCGCACAGTAGGTGCCGAGGTGTGTATCTTATTATCTCCATTTGCCCAGCAAGTAAACTGGGGAGGGGAGGCCACTTTCCCTAGTCTCGGAGCCAATAACTTGCAGAACCCAGATTGCAGCCTAGCTATTCTGGTCTTAAACCCTAACCTGTTTCTCCTACATCGGGTGGTCTCTGTCATCTCTCTAGAAGAAAGTCAAATAACACCAATCCTGTATATACATGTAGATCTTAAGAGTTTACAAAGGGCTTTCCATCCGTATTCCCATTTCATTCAAAGCCTAAAGGTAAACTAAGAGGCAAGGCTCTCCGGGGCCCACACCTGGCCCACAGGGTGTCCTGTGTGCAGTGGGATGGACTGTTCACCCCAGGAGTGCTCCATTGGCCTTGCCCAGGGACCCTGGAAATGACTGAGGGGATAACCGAAGCAGCACAGGCTGGCAGGATCACCATGCTGTCTAAAGGTCTGGGGCCCAAGACAGGTATATTCTCTGGTACTGCCAGAGAAGTGGGTGAGGTCCAGATATGCAGGAATCACACAGACAGCAACAGATGAGCCTTCCAGGTAAAGCCAAGGCCCTTGGAAAGGCAGCTCAGAAGAGGCCCTTAATGAGTACTCATGGAGCGACTGAGCAGACTTACGCGGAAGCCCACCCACCAGGGCAGCAATTTGGCCTACTCTGTTCTCTCCCAGAACCCCAGGGCCTACTGTGGTGCCTGGCGCTTAGTGGTGCTCAATCAGTGCTTGTTCCTTGAATGAGTGAATGAAACCTGGTGACTGACAAACCTCAGTGGGAAGCTGGAAACCACACTTTTCCTTGTTCCCTTTTTTGAAGATATTTGGAAAACATGCCGTCTTTTTAACCTAGAAAACAGATCTCTGCTGGGGAAGGCAAGGAAAGGAATTAGACTCTATTGAATGTCTACTATGTGCAGAGCACCTTCCATTTCTCATTTCCCCCTGTGCTGTCAAGGACAGTGATATTTTCCCCACTAAACAATGGAAGAGTTTGCAGATCAGAGAGATGGGCTCACCTGCCCAGTGCCCTCAGTGGCTAATGCGTCAAGCTTAGGTTTTGAAATCAGGCCAATAGACTCTGAAGCTGGTTGTTCCCATGATGTTACATCTCTTCCTGGGTTGTGTACTGCAGGAAGAGGATTTGGAACCCTTGGACGTGACCTTACTTGTTAAGAAGTAGCATTTGTGAAGCATCTGCTGGGTGCCAAGCCCTCTGCCGGATGCTTTTCTTTTCTTTCCCTGCCTCAGTTAATCCTTGTAATAGCCCAGTGGGGAAAGGTGTGGCCCCTTTTCCTGTCTTGCAAATGAGAAAACAGATCCCCAGACGCTAGGTTGCCTGACATGGCCTGTGCTTTTAGTAACACCCCTTCCCATCCCAATTGCATTCAATGGTCAATGCACAACATCTCCTCTGTCTTCACAATACTTCACGAGGCTGCAATAGAAGGTTCCATTTCTCCCATTTTCCTCCAAAGAGGAAATTTAGGTTCAGAAAGTTTAAGGGCTTTGTCCCAGGGACCTGGGACAAGCAGGTAGCAGAGCTGGAAGTAGAATCAAGGCTTTGCAATGCCCAGTTGCAGGCCCTTCCTGCATTTCAGCAGTTGTATCACTTCCTGGCCTGTGAGACCTCGGGCCCCAGCCACCCTTCCTCCCTGGGCCTCTGCATTTTCACCCATAACATGATGGGTGCTGAGCAGACGAGGTGTCACCAAGCCATAGCCTGTGGAAACCAGGCAGCTTTTTCAGTGAGTGGAGGAGAAAGGAGTGGGGGCCCTGCAGTCCACTGAGTGGGGTGCCTCTCAGTGGGGGAGGGAGCGAGCTGGCTTCATTCACCTCTGACTGTGGCCAGGAAGATGGAAGCCCGATGCTGTCAGATACACTGATTTTCCAAGAGAAGCCAGAAATCCAGATTTGTATATGAAATCTCTTGGTTTTTAAATGTCACTTGCTAACTCCAATATTAAAAAATGCAACATAGGCATTTGTACACCTGTGTTCATAGGAGCAATACTCACAGTAGCCAAAAAGGTGGAAGCCACCCTAAGGTCCCTCAATGCGTGAATGATAAACAAAATGTGGTACATCCACACATTGGAATATTATTCAGCCTTAAAAAGGAAGGAAACTCTGACACATGCTGCCACATGAACCTCGAAAACATTGTGCTAAGTGATATAAACTAGTCATGAAAGGACAAAGACTGTATGATTCCACTCACATGAGGTCCTAGAGTGGTCAAATTCATAGAGATAGGAAGTAGAAGGGTGGGTGCCAGCAGCTGTGGGACAGGGAAATGAGGAGTGAATCTTTCATGAATATGGTGTTTCTAATTTTGCAAGATGAAAAGGTTCTGGAGATGGATGATGGTGATGGTTGCACCACAATGTGAATGCACTCTGTGCCACTGAAATGGATACTTAAAAATGATTAAGAAGATACGTTTTAGAGTTTTAGAGAAACATACCTTCTTAACCATTTTTAAGTATCCAGCTCAGTGGCACAGAGCTCATTCACAATTATAAAAAAAGTAAATGTAAGCCAAACATGATACATTTGTGGGCCAAATCTGGCCCAAGGGCTGCCAGTACCCGCTGTGGACTGGAAACTCTCTAAGGTCTGTAATGTGATATGGGGCCTGCCTGTTGCTCACCCAGCACCGACCACTGCCCCAGGTTCTGCGGAGATCTGAGACACCCATGGCCAACTCCAACCACCAGATCTGACTTCCAGTCACCACCCACTGTCTCACAGCAGCCAGGGCAAGAAAACATGTGGCTCACTGACGTTTCCCCGCTCAACAGCTGGATTTTCACTGCATCTTCCTGGGCGATGCTGAGATTTCACAGGTCCCTGTCAGGCCCCTGGCCGCCAGTGTAAGCGGGCCTCACAGCCCTGCAGTTTACAGGGAAATGGTGTCAGAGGAAGCAGACTCCCTGGGTCCAAGCACAGCAACTGGGCCGTGATGCTCTTTAACTGCAGAGCAAAAGGAGCTGAAATGAGGCTGCATGCCTGGGCACTTTGGGGTGCTGTGGTCAGTTGGGCGCAACTCATGGACACAAGTTGAGAGAAGAAGAGCTCTTCGCTTACTCTGGAAGCAAGAAGGCTGGGTGTGGAAGCTTCCTGTCTGGCCAGAGCCTGCCCCTCAGTAGGAACTCAGCCACTGGAAGACTGTGCCACACCCATTTTACAGATAAGGAGCTGGGGCGGATAGAGGCCAAGGGACAGCCTTAAAGTCGCCAGCAAGTTGGAGGCAGAGTCCGTCTCTGGATTTCCGGACAGAGTCCTTTCTGCCGAGACTAGGGGTGCTTGGCTACTAGGGTGCTTGTCTACCAATCTTATTTGCAAATCTGATGAAATCCATGCTCCTTCTCCCTAGGAAAGAGTTCACATGCATACAACTTTTTGTGCAGGTTGGGAACTCCATCCTAGCCCAAGCTTCTTCAGCAGCTCTATAATATCAAGATAACTACTACAGTGATTTTTTAAAACCATCATCCTATCATCCCCTCATCACCCATCTTGGATGGAAGCTACGCAGAATGGTAAATCAATGAGTCCTTATGGCAGAGTGCACTCCGAGACAACCGTCAGTGAAATACCTAAGTCGAAGGAACTGCATTTTACAAACACAACAAGGATCCTGACACTTGGAAAGAATCTTACAGTGTTCAGGTGCTTTTCCAGCCATTAGCTCATTTGGTTGTCAGAGCAAAACTGTCAAGTAGGCATATGACCCTCAAACAGACGAAGAAGAGGATGTTGGAAGAAGGTAAGTTATTTGTGCACGGCGACCCAGCGTAGGAGCAGCAGAGCCGACAGGTCCTTGGGACTCCAGACCCGGCTTCCTGTCACTCACATGGCATTAAATATGGGCTTCTTACAGTCAACAGCCATCTCTTGGGTCCCCAGGTTGGTATCATACAGAGTAGAAGTATTCCCTATTAGTGACTTGAGACAGGAAGATGGTTGCTTGGCTTATAATTTGGCTCACTGGAAAGGATTGTAAATCATAGGCCACCTCTGCTCTGTCGGTCAGTTGAGAAGGATGTAAATATTTTCCAGCTTGCTATGTTTGCCCCTGTGCTGTCTTCCTTCCTGCAATGACAAAATCAGGGAAACAGGTTCTTAAAGGGAACATAGCAACCAGTGTGGCTTCTACATGAAGCCATCCACATGCACACACCTTTACGTCACTGGGAGACCCACTTTAAACACCATATGTGGTGGACTTATATCATGGAGTATCTATCATACAATTATCAGCTTGCTTTCCAGGAAAGAATCTTAGCTTGGAATTATTAGATAATGCTCTCTTTATTTGGGGTGCTTCAGACCCTTGACATGATATGGAAATTTTATGTTACTAAGCATTCATGCACATTCTGTAGAGAGGGTTTCTAGCTTTCAGGAGCCTCTCAAAGGGGCCAATGGCCAAAAGAAGGTTGAGAACAACTGAAGAAGAAAGACAAACTGGGGTGCTCTGGGATGTCGTCATTTGTTCGTCCAACAAAAAGTGATGGGACACCTGCTGTGTGGTAATCTCTATGCTAAGCACGGGGGCAGGGGGGCGGGGGGCAGAGGGACGGATGCCCTGCTTGCCCTCCTCACGTTACAGAGGGTGACATAGGAATCATCAAACAAATGCAAGTCCCAGGTGCTGCTGTAAAGGAGGAGGGGTAACAGTGGAGGCGCGGACAGCAAGAGTTGGTGTCAGGGTGTCAGAGGAGGAGCCTTCAGCCAGTGCAAAAGCCCTGGAGAGAGAGGGAGGGAGCAGGAGAAGCCGGTGTGAAGAAAACAGAGAAGCAAAGAGTGATGTGGCAGGAGATGAACCTGTGACGGTTGGCAGCATGGCAGATGTTGGCATGGAGAGAAGTGGGGGGGCGGGGACTCCAGACATGGTAAGGACTCAAAAATGATTTTGCAAGGGGAAAGGAAGGAAGAAAATGAAGGAGGGTGAAATAAAGACTGTCTGGAGATGGTGACATTCGAGCAGTCTTGGAGACAAACAGGAGTTTTCTGGGCAGAGGAAACAGGTTGGGCAGAAGCCAAGAAGTATGGGAGAATACAGGCTGGGAGGGGCTCAGCACAGCGTGAGTAGCGGAGAGAGTGGGTCTAAAGAGCTCAGTTTGCCAAGAAGAGCCTTCATGGATGCACCAGATTAATAAACATATCTGAACAATGTGACAGTGTGCAGAGAGGGACCCTAGGAAAATCAAAACTCTGTCTGTGCACAGCATCCCTTTGCAGTTCCACAGTTGCCCCATGACTGACTTCACCAAGCCAGGCTTTGCTGCAATGCTAAGGGTCTCAGAACTGGGCAGAGATGGCTCACACACAGCTCGTGGCCGCATCCATCCCAAGGGTGTTAGTGAGGAAGCCAACCTACTCAGGGCATTGTTCGTGTAGGTGTCTTTAGTCTCCTTCTCAAAATGTATTTTTATCTATCTGTAGGTACACAGCTTCAAATCCTTTTTTGAGGAAGGAATAAGCAAGACAAAAATAAACCAGATTTAAATCCTTGAAGCTTATAAGACCATTGGTATCCAAACTTATATATAAATCAGAATCACTTGGAGAACTTTACAAGAATTCTGATTCTTAGGCTCAATCTCAGATTTATGAATTCAGTGTTCATGAGGCAGATCTTGGAAATCTGTGTTTCCAATGAGTTCCATGCTATGCTCATGCATTAAGCTGGGGGGACTCTTATGTGTTAAGCTCATAAGCACCTGGCATCTGGGTACTGCTGCAGTCAGTGATGCTCCACTACGAGGACAAAGCAACAAGTTAAGCTTGTAGTAACTGTCACTAGAAGCAGGTGGGTGATATCAAACACAAGAAGGCAACATTCTTTCCCTACATTATACATGATAACATATAGATACTGCATTCACCAATAAGTTAATGGAACAACCGTTTAAGAAGTAACAAGTACCACAGGGTCACTTCCAAAATCCATGTGGGACACTAAAAGATGCTAATTTCTGATAAAGTTTCATCAAAAAAAATCACAGGAATTATAGATATCCAACATCTGAGAGACAATCATCAGATGCAATAAATAGGATAGATCACTTTTGGTGGTGGTGGGGAGGGTCATGTAATAGGAATTCTAAAAGAAGACTTTAAAATATTAATGATCACAATATTTGCATATATGTTCTGTAAATGAAAAATAGAATAACTGATGATCTCTACAGGCGAGCTAAACAGTAGACTAGACACAAATGAAGGCAGATTTAGTAAATTGAAAGGCAGATCTGAGGAAATCATCCAGAATTCAGCCCAGAGAGATAAAGAGGCATATGGGGGCTGGGGGAAGAGGTGCTCTAGATTGAGTTGTTAGTAAAGGTCTTTCTGAGAAGGTGACATTTGAGTTGAGACCCAAATGACAAGGAAGATCCAGCCATGGAAAGCAATAGGGCCAGGGGTCTTGGGCATAAAAGAGAGAAGTAAAAAGGCCCTAAAGTGGGGTCAAGCTGGGCAGGAACATGTTGGCATGTTCGAAGGACAGAAAGCAGACCCCTGAGGCTCCACTCTATGAGAAGGTGCCATGAGGCAGAGGAGAGTACTCTGCATGGAGTCAATGAGTAGAATCAGCTCAGAAAGCTGGTTAACAGGAGACATATTTCAGTTGAAGGTAAAGAAGGACTTTTTAACAAAAAGAGCTGACCATTCACTGATTCATTCATTCATTCATTCATTCATTTGCTTGTTTATTCATTCACTCATTTATTTGCTCATTTTTAAGTACCTACTATATGCCAGGCACTGTGTTCAAGGCTATGGAGAATGTTGAGATGAATAAAACCCAGACACATGTGTCCTCAAGGGCCTTATATCTGAGTGAGTAAAACAGACAAGCAAGCAAGTATAATGCCAGAACAGAAGGAAATGCTGGGTTACAAAGTAACAGTGTACTAAAGAGAGTCAGATGAAGGATCCATTTGAGAAAGCTGACTGAGACATTATGACAGGGTACATGCAGGAAGCTCACTGCACTGCACTGCATGTGTGGGGATATCAGAGAGGACCTCTGACTTCAACCAGTGGGCTCTGTGATGTGACGATTCTATAAAACCACAGGAGGCATTCATATGTCCTGGGGAGTTGGCAGCGACTAGGCTACAGCCTCCCTTCAGAGTCCAGTGGAGGAAGCAAATGTGTGAAGCAGACAATGGCAGAGACTCCAAGCAGGGAGACGACCATGCGATGGGGAGGGGGGAAAGCCCTGGGGTATCAGAAAATGAGGGCAAAAATGGGGACACTAGTCCATGACCTACTTAGTTCCAGACCTTTGTGAAGACAAAAGCTCCTCAATGAGAGAACACCATCCGATAGGAGAGACCAATACATACGTGACTGCCCTTGACACCATTCACCTAGCTCCCAAGGTCATGCAGCCTTCAGTGGGGATGCACAGGGGATGTGGGAAGGTCATACTTGGGGACCATTTTGTCACTGCCCTTTCTCTCACTCTGATCTGTAAATCAAAGAAGAACCAGCCTGACCTACTTCAAAGATTTAAAATGCCTGGAAAGTACAGAATGGGGGTTACCTGCTCTGTCATTCACTCCCCTGAATGGCCATTGTCCCAGCCCAGTCCATGACTGCCTCTTAGCTGGACCACAGAGAGTTTCCTAACCAGGCTCCCTGCCTCAGGCTGTCCCCACACAATCCACTCTACACAGCAGCCAGAATTCCTAGGAAGCTGATGACATCCTGCCATTGTTTCAAACTACTACATGTCTTTCTCTGCTTTTAGGATGCAGCCTAACTTAGCAAGACTTACAGAATATCCTGTCATATCTAGCCCTGCCTATGTCTTTGAGTTCATCTCTTGAAATTCAAACCCTTCTACGTCATGCAGGGACCACATGACCTCCTTGCAGGCTGAGCACACTGGCCTTGACCACCAAAAGCAGGGTTCGGTGTCCAGAGGGAAATAAATCATCTAGCTGTTGACCGCAACCAGATATTTTGCCCATTTTAAAATCAGATTGTTTGTTTTTCTGTTGTTGAATTGTTTGAGTTCCTTGTATATTCTATATAGTAATGTCTTGTTGGATGTATAGTTTGCAAATATTTTCTCTCATTCTATAGATTGTCTCTTTACTCTGTTGATTGTTTCCTTTGCTGTGCAGGAACCTTTTAGTTTGATACAATCACAGTTGCATATTTTTGCTTTTGTTGCTTACACTTTTAAAGTCTTATCTATAAAATCTTTGCTCAGACCAATGTCCTGAAGCATTTCTCCCATGTTTTCTTCCAGCAGTTTCATCGTTTTTGTCTTACATTTAAGCCTTTCATCCATTCTTGATTTTTATAAGTGGTGAGAGATAGGGGTCTAGTTTCAATCTTCTGCGTGTGAATATCCAGTTTCCCTAGCACCATTTATTGAAGGGAATGTTCTTTCCCCAATGTATGTTCTTGGCACCTCTGTTGAAAATCAGTTGGCTGTAGATATGTGGATCTGTCTCTGTGTTCTCTATTCTGTTCCATTGATCTATATGTCTGTTTTTGTACCAGTACATACTGTTTTGGTTACCACGGTTTTGTAGTATATTTTGAAGTCAGGGGGTGTGGAGCCCCCAGCATTTTTTCCCCCCTCAGGATTGTGTTAGCTATTTGAGGTCTTTTGTGGTTCCATGTGAATTCTAGAATTTTTTTTTCTATCTCTGTAAAGAATGGCATTGGTATTTTGATAGGGACGGCATTGAATCTGTAGATCGCTTTGGGTAGTATGATAATTTTAGCAATATTAATGGAGCTGAGATTTTATACAAGATCTGTCAGACTTCAGGATCCATGCTCTTGAGCAAGACACAGAGAAACATACATAAAAAAACCCCAAGAGAAACTGTTCATGAGAAAATGTGAACAGAGCAGGTGCTGACCAAGGACAGGTTAAACCTAGTTCAACTTAATGTGATTTTTACGGAATGCAACCTGGTTCCAATATATTTCCTCAGGGGATAGTTAGCATTTCTCATAGGGAATTAAATCTAAAATTTAAGCCTTTTGAAAAGCTTCAAAATTTAAGAATCTCGTCAATCTGTTCCATCTGGTCACTAATTTTTATATTTTAAGTAATGTTTGTGTTTATGATCCACATTATGCTATAAACAGAATTAATGTGAATTGTGGTGTTTTTAATTAACATACTAGTTATTCCTAAGGAATTATCTAGAGTGTGTCCTTGTATAATCAGTTGAGGAAAGAGATTTTCAAAGAGAAAATGACCCCACAATAATCACCCCACTCGATCATGGCTGAGCTTGGAGTGGCCTCCCCAGTTCCTCAACCAATAACCTCTCTACCTCACCCCCTGCCAGCATTCTTCAAGAATCTTCTATGTGTGTAGCCCTGGGCAAGAAGCTTTTTTGGTGTTTGAGGGGAAATAAGATAAAGTCCCTGCCCTCAGGTGCTCTCTTTTTTGTTGTTGTCAGTGGAGTGGGGGGGATACCTCTCTATTGAATTTGAAAGTAGCACCATGTCCCTATTTGTCTAACAGATGTTTCATCAGAGCCAATGGGTTTCTTCCCTTTCTTTCTTTTTTTTTTTTTTTTTTTTGAGACGGAGTCTCTGTCGCCCAGGCTGGAGTGCGGTGGTGTGAACTTGGCTCACTGCAAGCTCCGCCTCCCGGGTTCACGCCATTCTCCTGCCTCAGCCTCCCAAGTAGCTGGGACTACAGGTGCCCGCCACCATGCCTGGCTAATTGTTTTTTGTATTTTTTACTAGAGACAGGGTTTCACCATGTTAGCCAGGATGGTCTCGATCTCCTGACCTCATGATCCACCTGCCTCGGCCTCCCAAAGTGCTGGGATTACAGGCGTAAGCCACCATGCCCGGCCTCTTCCCTTTCTGTGCCTTTCGAACTTGTGGGGTTTTCTGGCCCTTCTCAAAACCAGAACCCCCACATCGAGTATCTGTGGTGGATGGTTGCCCAAACATGGATGTGTCCTCTGATGGGGAGCCCACCAGCTGTGCCAGGGAAGTCTGTTTCATGGACAACTCCAACTATTGGGGAATTCGTTCATGAGTGAAGTTACAATGAGACTTGCTAGAATGTGTGTGAAGCCAGGGAGGGAATGCTTCACATGTCACTTACAACCCCAGCAAGGGATCCCTTTACAGAGAGGGGCCTCTCTTCAGATAGGTAAGCCTGGTTCCCTGGCTGCCTACAGGTCCATCAGAATGACAAAACATGCAGAAAGGCCCAGCTTGGCCTGCTTCACCACTCAAGGTGGCAGGATCCATTTTGCCTGCCCCAGATAAAAAGATGAAGAGGAAACTTGCTGCTCTCAGGCCCTGGTGGGGAACAGAAATAGAGAACCACAGTGGTGAGCTAGCAAATGTTTAACAACTGGCTCTCAAAACAAAAACAAAAACAAAAACAAAACAAACAAAACACTAGGCGTGGTGGCTCACGCCTGTAATCCCAATACTTTGAGAGGCCCAGGCGGGCCGATCACAAAGTCAAGAGATCGAGACCATCCTGGCCAACATGGTGAAACCCCGTCTCTACTAAAAATACAAAAATTAGCTGGGGATGGTGGTGCATGCCTGTAGTTCCAGCTACTTGGGAGGCTGAGGCGGGAAAATCGCTTTAACCCCGGAGGCGGAGGTTGCAGTGAGCCAAGATTGCACCACTGCACTCCAGCTTGGGTGACAGAGCGAGACTCCGTCTTGCAAAACAAAAAAACAAAAAACAAAAAAACCACACAAACAAACACAAACAAACAAAAATACCAGACCTGATTTTCGGCATTTTTTAATTTCCGTGGTGTAAACACTCCTACTATGGCTGATTTTAAGCTGCTGATATGTTGGTAAGAGACGCATGCAATTGGCTCTCAAAAGGCATGCAGGAAGAGCCAGCTCCAGTCTAGCACTCCACTCGTGTGTGTGTGTGTGTGTGTGTGTGTGTGTGTGTGTGTATTTGGGGAAGACATACATGTAAGAATGAATGAATGGATGCATGAATGAATGAGAGCAGGATACCAATTTTGCAAATGTAATAGGAAAAAATTGGAATGAGGAAAATATTTTTATAACTGCAGCAGATAGGCCTTTATGAAGAAAAGGAGCTGGGATGAGTGTACAAAGCATTTTCAGCAGTGTTTCTACCAAATTACTTTCAAGGAAATGTATCTGTCCTTGTAAAAGGGGTATGATGGTGAAAGAGTGCACCAGTGTTCTAAAATGCACCCAGTATTTTGTTTTAATAGGGTATGGTAATGTGACAGACATAGAGACAACTGTGTTTGAAAGAAGAGTTTATTACTCACAGTTCCCTAGAGGAAGGGGCATGCCACACCATGCAAGGCCACAGAGGGAAGCAGGAGGCAGAGGAGTGCAGAGAGAGCCTGGCCCAGAGCCTTTATTGTGAGTTCTGCAGGAAGAAATGGGTGAGGCAGGGGAGGCAAGCCTGAGCATGCCCAGTACTGGAGAGTTTTAAAATTGTTGCATGCTCTGGGTTATATTTTTGCATGTTCTCTAGTTGTTTGACACCTGGGCCTGGGATGACATGTGGCAGGGGAAATGTTGGCTTGGTATGTTAGATAAAGGAGGAGACTGGAAACCTGCCAGGCTGTAGATTGTCTGGCTTGCATATGAAAGGCGTGCTCACAGGGGAGTCATTTCCATCTCTAGAAATTAGCCAGCCCTGGCAGGGGCCGTATCTCTCTGGCCAACAAGGCCCCAAGATGGCAAAACATCACAAACTATAGAAAATAAAATTTTATTAATACAACCAGCTTTGGAACCGACTACCTGTGTGGCCTAGGGCAAGTTACTTAACCTCTTTCTTCCTCAGTTTTCCCATCTGTAAAATGAGGATGACAACGCCTACCTTATGGGGCTGGTGTAAAGAAGGAGATACTCAGAGGCCTTAGCAATGGCAGAGCTGGCATCTGATCCTGGGAAACTACTGGAAACTCCAGACCATAGCTCCTTGATGAGGAGGAGGCCGTGTCTCTAGTGTTCTGCACAGTGCCTGGGGAATGGCAGGCAGGCAATGACTATTCTGGGAACACATTTTGAGTGAGGGTAGTGAGGGTCAGAGAAAGCTCTGGTGTGTAGAAATAGCATATACTATGAAACAGATGAGCCTGTTCAATTTCCATGAGCTTCCTAATCACATGGGGAATGGAAAATATAGATGAGATAAAATGCTTTCTTCTCAAAATGCCCTAATATTTTGTTTCAATATCAAGATTCATTAGAGCCATTTCACTTTCGCTGTCCTTAACATTCCGGTCCAATTGATGGATTCGTTCAGGAGTCAGGGTCCCTTTGAATCTCATTACACTAGGGCTCCTGGGTGTATTGATCCTATTTAGAAATAAGGCAGTAAATCGTCCACAGACGTTGGGACCAAACCTCCAGGCTGCCAAGGGAAAGAATACAGAAAGCGGGGCTTTCTCGCTGCATTGTCTGCTTTTAATTTAACTTTTAGCACAAGTTTGAATTTCTGAACCAACAATAGGTATCAACAGCTTTAAAAATGTTTATTCCCTTGGAGACAATAATTCAATTTCTGAGAATCAATCTCCAAGAAATAGTCTTCTATGAAGACAAAGATTTATAGACAATGATAGTCATCTCATTACCCCGGCAGCCCAAATGTTCAATAACAAGGGTTGAGAAAGGTTCATGCTATGTAATCATGAGAAGTAAAGTTTATGAAGACAATGATAGCATGAAAAAATGCCTACAAGACTAGATGAAAAAGTAGATAAAATTGTATATTGACTATGATTATGAATATTGTATGGAAACTTACCCGCAGGGATAAAAAAGAATATGAGCCAGGAGGTTAACAGATTTTGTTTTTGTTTTTATGGGTGTTTTTTTTTTTTTTTTTTTTTTGGAGTCTCGCTCTGTCGCCCAGGCTGGAGGGCAGTGGCGCAATCTCGGCTCACTGCAACCTCTGCCTCCCGGGTTCATGCCATTCTCCCGCCTCAGCCTCCTGAGTAGCTAGGACTATAGGCGCCTGCCACCATGCCCAGCTAATTTTTTTTATTTTTAGTAGAGATGGGGTTTCACCGTGTTGGCCAGGATGGTCTCGATCTCCTGACCTTGTGGTCCACCCGCCTCGGCCTCCCAAAGTGCTGGGATTACAGGTGTGAGCCACCGCGCCTGGCCTTTTATGGGTTTTAATGTTTTCTTAACTGCTTTTCTCTGTGTTCTAGTTTTTCTGTAATAAGCATACATCACTTAAAATTAATTATCACGGTTTGAATTTTTAATACCTATATAAGTTTACCATGTCCTCTCTTACAAAGCCAGCAGATCTATCTGAAGAAATGTGTGCGATGGTGCTTCTCATTTTTCGTTTGTTAGAAATACTTAGAGGGTATAATGTCCTATTCTATAGCATTAAAGTTATTTGTACTTGATCTCACTTGGACATAATAACCTTGAGCTTGTTTTACAAGGCTGAGTCAGTAAGTTAATGTAGCCTGGGATTTGCTTATGCACACAGAAATTCAGATAAAAGCCATTTCCATCAAATCAAAAATCAGATGAAGGTGCCATCTCATAGTCTATTTCCCTACTAGGATAAATTCTCCTGTATTTCTAATGAGTTTTAGTTTAACCTTGATTGTCTGTCTGGTCACTTCCTTAATCCAATGAGTAGCTCAGAAAGTAATTACTCTAAATTCTACACCTAAAAATATTATCTTCAATATACAGGACAGGCACCGCAAATGTCTCTGCCCTGCTTCCAGTTCAACTCTCCTCCTAACGACCCTCCAGGGAATGGCCAGAGGGATCTTTCTAGACTGTAAATCTAGTTCTGAAATACCCCCTTCCTGGGTCCACCTGCCTTAAGAGCCTCAGTGGTCCCTAGGGCCATGCCAGGACCCCCTTCATCTTGCCTGTCAACATCACCATTTCCCATCATTTTGTCCACACGCTTTAAGGTTTGATCATATCCAGTTCCTGCCATTCTCAGACACAGTTTGTTCTTGATACCGTTATGTGCACACATGCTACTAGGGAAAGACATGGTTCATTAGCCAACCAACAGCTACTCCCAGTTCCTTTCTCCTTTGTCATCTCCTAGACTAGAGCTTGGAAAGAGGGACCTTGGCTCTCAGGTAGGAATGACCATGGGACACATTTGTGGGCATCCCTGGCCAATGTATGCTGGAGGTTTGCCTTTTCCTTTCGTCTTGGGACACAGTTGTGAAGACTAAAGCCACAGCAGCCACCTTGTGACATGAGGCAGTGACCACCAGGAAGAAAGGCTAGCAAACTGAAGACAGTGGTTCTGAAGGATGGAAAGCAACTGAGTGGTCGGTAGCATCACCAAGGTACCAAACCAGCCCTGATGCCATGCACTTCAGTCTCCCTGATGAGTGGGTAATAAACACGTGCTCGTTTCAATAGGATGTGTCCTGTTTCTTGCAGCTAAGCATCTCCTGCCTGACTCACTCTTCCATCACAGGAGGTAAGTTCAGTGCCTGGAACATTCTAGAAGCTCAATCCAGGTTACTTCCCTCTCCTCTTTTTCCTGAATGTTCCTTTTAGGCTACACTTACCTGCTGGGAAGTACACTGTACCTAGAACCATAGATTTCACTGAGATAGACCAGGTTTTGTATCTGCAGGCACAATTTGGCTGCTTGTGAAAGGAACCAAACTGAAGTTGCCTGGGCAAAAATGGCACAGGAAGGCAAGGCTAGTCCTGTAACAAGGGATGGGTGTGCAGCTACCACAGGGGCAGAGCTCAGCTCCACACAGTAGTGACCAGGGACCCAAGCATTGCCAAGAAGCCCTACCATTTTCCTGGTTCCTGTGGGCTGTGACTTCTTTCTTATTCTGTCCTGGCTTCCCTCACTGGACAGGGAACAGACGCACCAACAGCTCCTGGTTACTCTGGGGGGCCCATGCACAGAGAATCATAGTTTCAGAATGAAGAATTCCCATTGCCTTGCCTGGATTTTTTGTCTGGGTGTTGACCAATCAACTAGGAGAGGGGTGGGGCTTAACCACGCCGAACAGACAGCCTTGGGTCCCTGCCCACCACAGAGAAGGCTGGGAGCCAGGACCTGCCCCCAGAGCTCAGACCCCAGGCACTGGGTTGTTTTCCCTCACATCGCAGCCCACTCCCTTCTTCCCCAGGACACAGAGGAGAACCAGGTTGCCTTCAGGGCAGGGTGACTCACCCAAGGGCAAAGCTATTACTCTGCAAGTTTCTAAAAGCTGCCTGTCTTGGATTGGGCACCCTCAAAAGCAGAGCCTGAGACCCAGACAGGGGTGCAGGTGGTTTATTTGGGGGGAGATCCCAGAAGTAGGAGTGAGGGAGCAGGGAGGTGAGACAGGGAGGGCAGAGAAGACAATATCCAGATGGGTACTGAGGTCACTCCTGCAGGAAATAGGGTCACGGCCCCGAGAGCACTTCTGTGAAGAGCACAGAAGGCCTCGCAGATCTTCTGCTTAGAGGACAGGAGCCTCTGCTTGAGGTGGGCACAAGCAGAGTCTGAGCTTGCCAGCAACAAAGCACTGCAGCTGAGAGCAGAGGCAGGCTGGGGACAGTGCCATCGGGCCCAAACACATCACTATGTGGACTGAAGAGGGTGGAAATCCAGAGCTGGCTTTCCCTAGAAGTTGGAAGTTTCCCTGGTTCGACACCAAATTAGCCAAACCTAAGTAAAGATTTGGCCACAGGAAAGTGGATCCAAGATTTCCAGATCACGTACATCATGCCTACGCTACCAGAGGCCCCCACATTTTTTGATATAATTCTCAATTTGTATGACTACTGTATCCTTATCCCACTGTTATAGATGAGGAAGCTGAGGCTCAAGAGTCATTGAGTAACTTGTCTAAAATCTGAGAAGGTGAGCTCATTCACACAGCCCTGCTTAGCCAGCCTGGGGCTGCAAAAGCTAGACATTTTAAATCTTTAAAATAAAATGTGTTTGTGAACCATAATATACAGGAAAGTATAACTGAAAAATATACATGATCCTTCTTAAAAAGAATAACAACCTGAAGCCATTGATGCAGGAAAGTCGTAGGTTTCAATTCCTGTATTTCTTTTTTTTTTTTTTTTTTTTTTTTTTGAGATGGAGTCTCGCTCTGTCACTAGGCTAGAGTGCAATGGCACGATCTCGGCTCACTGAAACCTTTGCCTTCCGGGTTCAAGCGATACTCCTGCCTCAGCCTCCTGAGTAGCTGGGACTACAGGCACGCACCACCACATCCAGCTAATTTTTGTATTTTTAGTAGAGACAGGGTTTCACCATGTTGGCCAGGATGGTCTCGATCTCTTGACCTCGTGATCCGCTCACCTTGGCCTCCCAAAGTGCAGGCATGAGCCACTATGCCTGGCCAATTTCTGTATTTCTACTGAAAGCTATAGTATGTTTCTTTCTTGAGCCTTGAAAGCACACACCCAACCCCAGAAGGCATTTAATTATCAAGCACTCCAGCATTTCAGCTGTGCCCACCCCGGTCCTGGTTTGCACAGGTCATTAGAAGTCATCCTGCCTTCGACTTCCATAAATCATCCCAGGCCAAGCAGGGGCCCAGGCGAGAGGTGGCGTGCAATTGGCACAGAATGCAATGAGATGCGGCTGGTCATTCATCAGAGAGCCGGGGACTGGCCCGACGCAAATGACGACTAAGAAAAATGATTCTAGGGCCCCGAGGGTGAAGCAGGTAACGAAAGGGCAACATTTGATAAAGAAACTGTGCTGTCACTTCTGCTGTCAGGAAGCTCCGGGAAGAAGCCCTCAGAAACAGTAGGCCCCCCAAACTCAAAACTCAACCACAAGAAACAAAAGAGGAGGCGAGGTCATATCATACAACCACCTCCCACCGCAGCAGGGATGGTGAGCTTCAGTTATCACACAGCAGAAAGAACGTCAGCCAGTTCAAATCCAGGTAGCACAATTCACACCTCACGTCCCATTTCACAGATGGGGAAGTGGAGTCACAGAGTGGGAGGGCCTCGCTCAAGGCTCTGCATCTGTTACAGAAAGCAGTGCTGCTGGAATTCAAACCTGGGTAATTTCACTTCAGAACCACATTCCTAACTGGTCCACACCGTCACCTTTGGAAATAAAAACAACCCAATGTCCTCCCACAGTTAAGGATTTGCAAGTGGCTTAAGTGGGCTCATTCACTGGTCATGAACTGGGCTCCTGGTCTGGGTCCAGCCACAGTGGCTGCAGCCCAGAGAGGAGTGGAGCTCAGGGCTGTGCCTGGTCTGGGCTCACCTTGCGAATTTCAGAAGGAAGCTCTAAGGGAAATGAGAGAGCAAGTCACGTCTTAAGTGGGGCTTGTAAATTGACTTTTTGCTGCATCCAAGCATCCCAAAGGCATACTAAGGAAAATGATGACCTCTCTCCGCCCTTCTGCATTTAGCTACAGTACATCCTTTGCAAATGGGCCCCACTGCAGGGGTCAGCCAGGTGTTGCTTCTCAGCCTGGAGGCATGCCAGAACGACTGGGGAGCTGCCAAAAGTGTCCCTCCCTGGACCATTCCAGACCAAATGAATGGAGTCTCCTGGCGGGGGACCCCAGCAATGCTATCTTTTAAAGCATACCCCTCCCAGGTGGTTCTAACGTGCAACCAGGGCTGAGAATCACCGGTCCAGACTGCATTCCTCTGCACAGATGGGGAAACTGAGACCCGGAGGAGTCAAAGGGCTTGCCCAAGTCTCGGTGCTTCTCAAGAGAACTTGCTGCTATGGCTCCTGGTTGGGACAGACGTGGCTCCCTCTTTCCCAGGTGGGACATTGCTAGTGAGCGGTAGCGGGGAATGCTGGGGTGTGGGGGCAACGTCAGATCGCAGGACTCCTCTCTCATTCAGGGCCCCTGGCTGTGCCATTTCCGGAGCTGAATGTATTCAGGGGCCTGTTTCCAGTTCAGAGGAGCCCCAGGCTTGAGGGTTGGCAGACCCAATGCCCGATTTCCATGGCTACCACAGCTCAGGAAGGTTCTAGAAGTCTGGATGAACTGGCGTGGAGTGTGTATCACCTTCCAGGTGACACATTAGATCTTCTTTCACTCACTCCCTGTAGGCAGTGGACTGAGGCAGGGGCAGGTGGGGGTGGGGGGCACACCCTTTCCTAAAGGGGACTCACCTGCCTCATGCCTCAGCAGCCCCACAGAGACTGTGCAGGAGGCCATGTCGAGGACGTCTCCCAGGAAGGTTTCCCTGAGCAGCTATCAGCTGAAGCATGGGTGGAGAGGATAGCTGCTGTCTCCAGAATCTCCCTTCCAATGCAACCACCCTGACCCCAAGGCATTAACCCCAGGTCAGCAAACGCCACACTGAGACACTGAGTAGTCAGGCCTTTGCGAGGCTGGCTGCTGCAAATAAGAATTGGTGCCTACTGGGCCCTGGAGGGACCACACCAGCTGAAACCGCTGCCATGGCAGACAAGAAAATGCTCTCTTGCTGAGCTCCCACAAAGCCCATGGGAGAAGACGCTTCACCAGAATCAACTCTGAAATAGGGGTTTCTTCGGGCACAGGTGGCCCTCCCTATCCATGGGTTCCACATCCATCGATTCAACCAACCAGGGATTGAAAATACTCAAAGAAAACTTAGTCTGTGTTCAACACGCACAGACTTTTCTTGTCATCATTCCCTCAACAACACAGTATGACAACTACTTATAGAGCATTTACATTGTATTAGGTATTATAGTAATTATAAGTATTTTAAGTAATAGAGATGATTTACAGCACACACTGTGTAGGTTATATGCAAATGCCGTGCCATTTTCTAACAAGGACTTGAGCATCCTCAGATGTGGGTCTCCTTAGGAGGTCCTGGAAACAATGCTGCACAGATACCGGGGATAACTCTATGTGCATTAGTGTTTCTTGCATAGCAATTGGGAGCTCAGGCTCTGGAACGAGACTGCCAGGTTCAAATCCCACCTCTGCCACTCACTAGCTGTGAGATCTGTTTTTACATCTGTGAGGAGGGTATGACAGTCATGTCTACTTTGGAGCTGGTTGCGATGATGAAGTGAGTTGAGGTGTGCGCCTGGTGCCTATAACAGGGTCTGGAACATGGCAGGTACCTACTTCATGCTGGTTGTGATGATTGTCTCAGCATGGAGGATGAAGGGAGAGAATAAACATTGCTTTTTTTTTTTTTTTTTTTGAGATGGAGTCTCACTCTGTCACCCAGGCTGGAGTGCAGTGGCACAATTTCAGCTCACTGCAACCTTCATTTCCTGGGTTCAAGCTATTCTCCTGCCTCACCCTCCCAAGTAGCTGGGACTACAGGTGTGTGCCACCATGCCCTGCTAATTTTTGTATTTTTAATAGAGATGGGCTTTCACCATTTGGCCAGGCTGGTCTTGAACTCCTCACCTCAGGTGATCCACCCATCTTGGCCTCCCAAAGTGCTGGGATTACAGGCGTGAGCCACAGCACCTGGCCAAATATTGCATTTGGTTTTCCAAGCACAAGTACCATGATGGTAGAGCAAACGCAAACAACTCCGTGCTCAACAACTGCTGACTGCAAAGGTGTGCTGTGAGCTCCGAGGGGTACTAGATTTTGGTCTCACTGGTCAGGGCAGAATGGCTGAGCCCATGGGAAGCCTCGGGTTGTACGATGCTTCCAGGAGTGGCAGGAGCAGTGGACAGTCACCCTCATGCTGAAGAACTCTGACCACAGCTGGGATTTCTCTGGGATGTGGCCTGCTTATCTGAGTGACCTGAGACCTTGATACCTGAGCAAGCAGCTGGTCCAGGAAGAGCCAGGCAATGTCCCAGGAGCAGTTCCAGCTCCCCATCCATTGCTGGGCCCTTCCACGCTGAGGGAGGATCCCAGGGGATGACAGGTGTCCGGCGGGGATGTGCGGTTGCCTGTGATAGGCTTGATGATGTGTCATCCTCCTGGGCTCCCTGACAGACTCTTCAATAAATCTGCATTGCTCAGTCCTGCCGTGCAAGTGGATTCTGTTCAGGAACTCAGAAAGAAGCCAAGAGCTGCCTCCCAGTCAGGCGGTGGGCTGGGGGAGGAGCCTGAGGCCCTGGGACAAATGGCCTCCAGGATATATATACACACATGCGTGTCTGCATATGTAGACGGTGGCACATGTTATGTGCACATATAGGGGAAGGGATGAATGCCGTGAGACAGTGCAGATAAAGTAACAGAATGCAAAGTTAGAGTTGGCTTCCAGCTGACAGACCCTGCCAGCATCAAAAAGCAGGAGGGCTTCGATGTGGGGAAAGCTTCCAGGGAGGCTCAGGGGTGGGGAGATGCTGAGTGTGTTTCGGGAGGAGCCACCGGGTGGGTAAGTTGGCAGGCAGAGCTGGAGAGAGGAGGAGGAGGGGACACTCGAGAGGGTGGAAAGCTTCCATGCAAAGGTAGAGAGTTTGGATTTTACCCTGCAGATAAGAGTGGGTGGATATAAGAAGTATTTTTGCACACAGGAGTGATATAAAAAGTGCTGCCTTTCTAAAGAAAGAGCAGTCTGACGGCCGGTGCTGGGAGGTGAGGAAATGGGGCCAGGGAAAGCTGTGATAAGGGTGTGGCCAGAGGCTGCCTGTGAAGGCAGAGAAGGCTCAGCTACTGCATCAGGCACAAAAAGCAGCAGAGTGTCTCTCTGATCCCATTTGGAAAAAAGCCCCCGAAGGAACCTAATAACTAGGAACAGCAGCCCCCTGCTCTGCCCCCAGTATGCTGGTTTCTGGTCAAGCAGGAAAGTGATGAGAGCCCAGAGGAGATACACACTTGAGAGATCCCAGGGTGGCTGCCTCAGCTCAGATCCCAGTGGCTGGAAGACAAGCCTGCAGGGTGGAGGCTGTCAGAGCCCAGAGCACAGGGACCACATGCAGGGAAAGCTAATCCCAGAGTGGTGGGCCGGGGCCCACTGCGATGCACGTGACAGTGATGCACGGGGACAGAGGATGGGCCCTCCCATCTCCTCAGAATCCCAGGAGGTGTGTCTTTCAAAACAACTGCCTGAAAAGATGCAAACCTTAAGTCCGTGTTTCCTACACAATGAAAAACAAATAACCTTGTGGGTCGGGTAACTCATACCTGGCCCTCTACTGCACAGTAGTCAGCTTTCACTGACTTGGTCCAATTTGTCACTTACTTATCGAACACCTTCTAGGTGCTGGGCCCTGCATCAGGTGTTGGGGCTATGCTGGGAAATAAGACAGAGTCCTTGGGGGAATTGGACCCACGGGAAGGGGCAGGCGTGGCATGCCATGGGTAACTCTGCAGAAGAGGGCTTCGGGGAGAGTGCCTTGCTTGTAAACTGCCTATCTAACCATCTCACCTGTAGATGGTAAGCACCATGAGGGCAGGAGAAGGGTTGTCCTCCTGTCCCCTCCAGCTCCTGCATCCATGGCAGTGCCCAGCCTGCAGCGGCCCTCGTGGCATGCTCATCAAATGGGCAGATGGATGCCAGACTCTAGGGTGGGAAAGGACCCAGGGAGTTTGCTGGACTCCAGCCTCCTGGCTCCAAGTAACACACAACTCATGGTCTCCTCATTAGCTCTCTCTCCTCCCAACCCTGTCCCATGGCTCTGAGAGACCTTTGAAAGGCAGGAGCCTAGACCTTCACCTCACCCCAGCTTCTCTCCCAGCTGCCCTAAACTGTCATTAGTAATCATCATTCTAAACATTTTGACAGCACTTCAGCATTCACAATCCACTTTTCACACATTTTCTCCCTGGGAGCCCAAAGAAACTCTAAGGAGGGACACAGAGTGAACTTTCCTGGAGTAGACGCGATTTTCCCTGTTCCAGGAGGGAAAGGGACCTGACATTTTGCACGTGTAATTAACTTAATTATCTCAGCAACAATGCAAGGGAGCGATTATAATCCCTGTTTTACAGATGAGAAACTGATATTCAGGGAGGTTACAAATGTGGCCGAAGGATCGCAGCTAAAGGGTGGTAGAGTTGGGATTCGAACCTGTTTCTGACTCCAAGTCCAGTAATAACAACAAGAACAAGGACAGAAACAGTGATGGCAATGAGCCCTGAGTGTGAACTCTGGACCAAGCGCAGAGCCCACATGTGCTACTAATTGTGTTCATTGCTAACAAGGGGAAGGGGGATGCGGATTAGATAGACTCAGGGAGGAGGCTTTTGTGGCGGGGGCGGCTGGGGACAGGTGTGCATTAGTGCCTGCCTGGACCCCACCCCACCAGCACAGGTGCAAGCAGATGGAGAGAATGATAGAAAGGAGGCAGAACCCACAGGGCTGGGCGAGGGATCGGGGGTAGGGATGGAGGGGAGAAGGCTGGCCTGGTGCCAGGCATGATCCATCAGTAGGGAATGTGGGAGGCTGTGTGGTCACTCCTAACCCAGCCCCTCCCACAAATTTCCTTCCAATGGCTCCGGCCTGTAGACTTAGGCCACACACATTGAGAGTTGTCATGGTTAATACTGAGTGTCAACTTGATTGGGTTGAAGGATGCAAAGTATTGTTCCTGGGTGTGTCTGTGAGGGTGTTGCCAAAGGAGATTAACATTTGAGTCAGTGGGCTGGGAGAGGCAGACCTACCCTCCATCTGGGTGGGCACCATCTGATCAGCTGCCAGCGTCGCTAGAATAAAGCAGGCAGGAGAAGATGGAAGAGCAGACTTGCTGAGTCTTCCAGCCTTCATCTTTCTCCCATGCTGGATGCTTCCCGCTCCTGAACATTAGGCTCCAAGTTCTTCAGCTTTTGGACTCTGGGACCTACACCAGTGGTTTGCCAGGGGCTCTCGGGCCTTGGGCCACAGATTGAAGTCTGCACTGTCAGCTTCCCTGCTTTTGAGGTTTTGGGACTCAGACTGGCTTCCTGGCTCCTCAGTTTGTAGATGGCCTATTGTGGGTCTTCACCTTCTAATCATGTAAGTCAATACTCCTTAATAAACTCCCCTTCATATATGCATCTATCCTATTATTTCTGTCCCTTTAGAGAACCCTGACTAATACAAGAGCCAAGAGTCAAATGGAAACCAAAATAGTCGATTTCTGATTAAACTGCAGGAGCTGATGGCTTAGGTTTGAGGCCAAAAGTGGGGGCTCCTGGACCCTCCCCACATCCAGCCCTGGAGGCCTATCTTAGCGAGAACTGGGACAGGCACAGCACATTCCCAGCCTGCCCCACACCCAGGGCCAGCAGGAGCAGAGAGCAGGAAAGGCCAGACGGTTTGTTGGAGGCTGAGCAAGGGTAGAGAAACCTCCTGGCCTGGCCCCGAGCATGAGCCGCTGTGAACCGTCAATCCCTGGCTATAGGGCCCTCAGTGCTGAGAACCCAGGGCGGGCCTGGAGCAGCAGCCCAGGTCTTCTGCCATCAGAGTGGCTGGCCGCCTCTCTCGGGGAGGAAGGAGGAGGGACTCCTGGGCTGGGAACTGAGATCAAGTTCCACGTGGATGTGGGGAGAGGGGTATCCACTTGCACAATATGAAGCGGCTTTATAGAGGAAGATGCCAAGTCCAGCTGTAGCTCTTTCAGTTGCCCATGGAACATCCAAGTGGGAACAGGAAGGTGCATTATTACAGAACAGCAGGTCAGAGGGTCCGGAGCTTAGCAGGGAGGTCCCAGTGGCCGCCAGGTGCCAGGGCAAGGGTGGAACCCTGGGAAGGAGCACTTGGGTGGCAGGTGTGCAGCTCAGGAGGAAGTCTGGGAATTCCCTGGCCAGGAAGGGGAGTGGGAGAGGTTTGGGGGGTGGGGCAGGAGGTTCGCAGTGGTGGCCATGCACCAGGTAGGAGAGGACCAGGAAGCTGCTTTTGGGTTTGCCAAGATGTTGGTCTGGGCCACTTGGGTTGGGAGGGAGAGGCCAGCAGAGGGAGTGGAGACAGACTTCACTGAGTGGGGAAGAGAAGGGACCAGCTGATGGAGGGCCTTCTGAGATGGGCAGAGGGAAGGGATATGGCGCTCGGCAAGGGGAGACCCGCAACCCCTGAAGCAGCAAGGAGGTGTGGTGGGGGGTGGGCTCTAGTGGGGAGGGCTGTTGGGGGACCCCCAGGCCGCTGGATCCCCAACTCTCTTCGCAAAGGACCATTCCAGGCAGGGAGGCATGGGGAGCCCTGAAGCTTGTGTGGGAACTGGTGACCGTACATTCCGCAGCATGAGAACTAGAAAGATAAACTTGAGGCAAGGCCAGAGGGCCTCAGGACCGATGGTCACCCTGTTGGGAGGACGGTACCAGTGGACAAGGACTGGCAGAAACAGCCAGCCTGGCCCCGGGAAACGCAGAGAGGAGGATGGCTGTGTCCCATGAGCAGATCCTGTCCTTTCACCAAGCATAACACTGGGTTTCTATGGCAACCTGCCTCTCCCACCAATGTGAGCTTCCACCCAGCACTGCCTGAGCACGGCCCTGTGGTCACAGAAATGCCCAGACATGGCCCTGGCCTTGGGGGGCCCACAGTCTGGTAGGCGAGATAAACACCTACACCAGGGTTTGGGAGCGAGGACCAGGGTTGGGGAAGCACTGAGCCAGGCCTGGGACCCACCCTTGGCAGCGGGGGATGAGCTGGAGTTCACCAGGTGATGGAAGTTGGGAAGGGGGTCTTAAGGACTGGAGAGGGCTGGGAGGAGATGCAGACCCAGGGCAAGATCTCAGCAATGCAGAGAAACCTGAGGCCTCACAGGGAAGGCTGTGACTGTAGGCAGAGAGGGGTTCCTGTGGAGATCGGCAGCTGAGTCTGCCATGCAGAAGGCGGAGCCACGCACAGATCCATGCGGACGACACGATAGCTGGAAGGAGGGGCTCCAGGGAGTTTTCCTTTCGCCCAACGTGTCTTTCAATAAGGTTTAGATTTTTATAATGAGCCCCTATTAATCTGGTGACCTAAACACTCATAATAGTCAAAAAATGGAGACAACCAAAATGTTCATCAGCTGGTGAATGGATAACCTAAATATGGCCCATCTATCCAGGGGAACATTATTTAGCCACGAGAAGGAATGACGTGCTATCACCTGCTACGGCGGAGGCTGACCTTGAAAATGGGACGCTAGGTGAAAGGAAACAGACACGAAGGCCACGTGGTGCATGATTCTCTTCCCACGAAGGGCCCAGAGCAGACAGACCCACAGGGACGGAAAGTGGACCGCCGGATGTCAGTTACCCCAGAGCGTGGAGGGAACAGACAGGGACTGTCTAAAGGGCCTAAAGGGGACAGTGTTCCTTTTTAGGACGATGAAAACGTTCTGAAATTAGTGGTGATGGTGGCACAACATTGTGAAGGCACTAAAAGCCACAAATTGTGCACTTTAACGTGGCTCAAATGGTGAATTTTACATCATGTGAATTTTGCCTCAATTTTTTTTTTTTAAAGGGCAGATGACCCAGCACAGTACCTGTGTCCCCGGGCCCACAGACCATATTTTCTAAGCCAAATGACAAGCGCAATAAAGTGGTGGAAATAAACCAGGCTGTAAGTTCAAAAGCAGCGCCCAGGCCCACCCTGCCTGCATGACCACTCATCCTTCCAGCTGTTTCCCACACAAACAGGAAACCTGAACTCTGGCCCGAGGGGGAACCAAAGTGGCTCTGCGGCTCATCCATATTCATTCATTCACTGACCATTCATCCGATCAGTACATATTTTATGACTGCTTTCCGTGTGCCCATGTTTCTGGTGAAATATATAGAAGTTCCTGCTCTTATGGTGCTTACTGTGGAAGGGGAAGACAGACAGGGAGTGTTCTGGTGAAATGCGTGGAAATTCCTGCTTTTACGATGCCCACTGTGGAAGGGGAAGATAGGGAGCAGATGCATGCTTGTCAGATGGTGGTGACCACAAAGCAGGAGATGGAGGTGGCAGAGAATGTCTGGCGGTGCAGTCTCCCCTGGAGCCAGCTGTGCCTGGAGGCCAAAGGACAGGCCATGGAAGAGACACTGTGGAATCAGGGCTCAGAAGCAGGTCTTATGGCAACAGCTCAGAGGGTCATGTGTGCAAAGCCTCCAGGCCTTGCTCCTTTTCCAGCCCATCTCTGACACTGACCGCTCCCCACTCCAACCACACTCAACTCCCTCCAGTCTTTCTAACCTCTCCCCCAAGCCCCTTTGTTTCCCCTGCCTGGAGCTTACTCTCTTGCTTTCTGTCTCTGCCCTCTGCTTGACGACTCCTATCCAGTGATATGGCTTGGCTCTGTGTCCTCACCCAAATCTCATCTCAAATTGTAAACCCCATGTGTTGAGGGAGGGACCTAGTAGGAGGTGATTAGATCATGGGGGAGGTTCCCCCATGCTGTTCTGGTGATAGTGAGGGAGTTCTCATGAGATCTGATGGTTTGAAAGTGGGAGTTTACCCTGCTCTCCCTCTGTCTCTCTCTCTCTGTCTCTCTTTCTCTCCTACAGCCATGTTAGATGTGCCTTCTTCCCCTTCTCCTTCTGCCATGATTGTAAGTTTCCTGAGGCCTCCCCAGCCATGCAGAACTATGAGTCAATTAAACCTCTTTCCTTTATAAGTTACCCAGTCTCAGGTAGTACCTTTAACAGCAGTGTGAGAACAGACTAATACACCCATTCTTCATGCTTCAGCTCAGACATGGCCTCCTCCAGGAAACCTTCCCCAAATGCACTGCCAATCCCCTCCCCAACACCTGCCTGGGTCCCTCCCCTGGGGTCCCAGAACCCCCATGTGCCCTGCCACTGATGTGTCCTGAGTTGACAAGCTCCACCGCACAGGAGGCCTGCCTCACTCGCCTGAGTACCAGTTACAGCTTCCTGCAGGCCTCTGCAAATACGGAGCTCACATTAATGCGTGGAACTTGCAATATATTAAGGAACATAATGTTTATGGTCCTCTATAAAGGGTAAATGTTCATAATACACCTGAAAATTTAATTCAGATAGAGCTCATTAAGGCAAAAATAAAAATCTTTCACAAAATTACTCGGAAACAGTATCCATTTTCTATTCACTGAGTGTCTGCCATACTCAGGATCCTGGAATACAAACTGCAAGGTAATCTTATAAGGTCAAAGGCAAAAACTGTAAGCAAAACCTTTCATGGGCTAGCTCTTGCTCTTCCCCTCTCATACACACACACACACATACACACACACACACATACACACACACACACACACACCCTGAAGATACCTCGGACAGCAGCAGCTGGGTTCCAGGTCACCAAGGGAGTTCGTGGAGCAGATGATGAAAGACCTTTGTTTGTTCTGACCAAGTGCTTATGGAAACCAGGAGGCAGATCTGTGTGCTGACAGGGACGGGCACGGAGAAGTCGTGATTTCCCATGAGGCTCTGGAGGAAGGACGAGCACCGGGATGAGCTGAAGGCATGAACACCCTGCATGCTTCCCGGTGATAAAACATCTCCCTGGGGCCAGAAGGCATTCTACTGCAGATGGCACCTTCTCCTGTCACTTCCAAAGATGCAGTGACTTCCGGCATACAGACACAATTCCTAACAGGGGAACCTCCAAATGAACATGTCAAACGCTTTTTTAAAAACTTTCTTGTTTTTCCCTACTAGAGATGTTTTAGGTATGCCTTAGAGATATTTGGTGAAAGAGATAAAAACAAAAAATAAGTCAACCTTCCCAGTGTTTTGTGTGCTTTCAACAAAATTGAGATAATAACATTTCTGGGGGGTTTTGACTTTGCATTAAAAGATTTCCCCAAAGCATCATCTTTGTAGCAGTGATTGCTAACAACTGCATCATTGTCCCACTCATCATTGCATAGCTACCTCCTAACACTGTCCCTGATACCCACAGTAGGCATTCAATAAAAATGTGCTGAACAAATGTGAAAAGGCCACTATTTCATGGAGTGAATATATCATTTCCTCATCCATTTCCAGGCAGTTGGACATTCAGATTGTTTCTAAGAACGCACTATTATAAATCATAGCACGATAAATCCCGCAATTGGTTATATCTGTGTCTCAGTGACCAACCAAGAACCCCCAGAGCGGCTAGTACCAGTCAGTTTTCAAAGGTGTGAATATTTTTCAGGCTCTGATGCGCCTGTCAGCAGACGTTTTTTTGAAGCCCATATCTGCATCGGTTTGAAGGCGGGAAGTTATGTAAATATTCCTTTATCCCAAACCCAACAACCAAGGTAGCCAGAATTTACATTTTGTTTTGCAAAAGCGAGCACATTCTTCTTTAGGAATAACATTTCCTTGACTTTTATGCTCAATATGAAATACGCACTTTTATAAACCCAAGAGAACTGACTCTGAAGTGAATTGTGTTTTAATAACAGGGACTTGTGCTGGAAACAAAAGGACAGAAGGAAAGGGGAAAGGAAATTTACAATTTACTTCTTATAAGCAGAAAGAATAAAAGTGAGAAACTCCAGGAAATGTAGTTTTTCTGAATGAAGGATGCCCTGAGTAAATGCAGTGGCAGTAAACTCCAGGCTGCCCAGCGCTCTGTGAGCGCTAGCCCTAAAAGGCACTTGTGAAATTCCCCATCTGTGTGCACCACCATATAAATAGGAGAGAGTCAGAAGTTCAAGTGCTTGGTCCAATTATCTCATTCTGCAATGATCTAATAAAGGGCAATTAAGTGTTGAAGATGCTAGACCATTAAGCTGTGTTGTGACAATAACCAGCTTTAAATATTAGCTACCCCGCAGTAAGCAAATTTTATTGGGCTCTACTAGAGATGCCAAGTTAGAGGTGGCTTTTACTTGATAGGTTTATGCCCTCGTGAATGTATTTGGCCTTTAAATTGTGCGCCTGTGTCTAACAGGACGCAGGTGATACTTCTAGGCATGATGACAACCAGGTGTTGATAGAGAAAACATTGGGCTCATGAAAGAGGCTGCTCTGTATGGTGGGGAGTGTGGGTGTGCAGCACTGAGAATCGGGGAGCCTGGACTCAGTGTCCTGTGGCTGCCTTCCCATTGACGTCTCTCTAGGCCTCAGATTCCTGTTCTGTTCAATGAGGATGTTAGATTGGATGGTCTCTGGGCACCTTCCATTTCTTTGGAAAATAGCAACCAATTATAAGAGGTAACATTACCTACTGACTGTCTTTATGTGTCAGGTGCTATTTGGTCAGCTCTATAGGGATTAACCCTGACTTCCGGCCCCCATCCTTGCTTGACTTCCTATCCCCGCAGGCTGACTCTACCTTCTGGTATTTGCTCAATCCACCACCAGACTTTTTTGAACCCCTTTCTTATGTTCAGCTGACCACTTCATAAAGTTGCTAGAAGAATCAAAGTGTTCAGGTTTTGTGAATCTTGAAACACTAGACAGTTTTAACAACTTTAATCCATGTGTCTGAGCAGTGCCTCCCGTGTCTCACTGTGGGCGTGTGTGCAGCAGCTCTGCATAGAGCGGGCATGAAGCAAGTGCCTCTGGGGCCCCGCCCGCCCTGGGTGGGTCTGCTCATCACCCTCTGGCTCTCTCCAGAGCCGGATCCCCCTCCATGAGTGAACATATGTGTTACAGTTTACAGTGTTGCACTCAACTCCAGTGTGCGTCTCCCCTGGGAGCACGTGAGCACCATGAAGGCAGGGACCATGCTTAGATTCACCTCTGCTGTCCATGATGCCCAGCATGGGCCTGGCAGGTACTCCTCAAAATGTTGAAAGACATAAGTGGAAGAAGAGTGCTGGGAAGCGGAGAGGCAAAGGGGTAACGGGATAAAGAAGGAAAGAAGGGAGGGACAGTCCCGGCCAGGAGTGCACAAACGCCTCGTGCATAAATGAGCAAACAGTTCAGGTCCAGCTGGCAAAGCTCACATGAAAGTGGGAGAGCCTAAATCTGTCCCAGTGAGACTAGGATGAAAGAGCCATGTCCCGGATCCTGCAGGTCACTGGAATCCAACTCTGTCAGGCCCAGCTGAAAAGGAACTCGCCAAGACTGGGGCTGAGCTGAAAACAGCCCCTGCAAAGAGTCCCTGCAGACTCAAAGTCCAGGCTACTTGGCTGGTGTGTTCCCATGACCTCAGGGGTTTGTATTCAGGGCAAAGGAAAGAGAACCAAGAGGCGGCCCCCAAACACTGATGCACAGTGCAAGGGACACCTAGTAAGTATCAGTTAGGGAATCTAGGAGTGGTGTTGGTTTCCCATGTAGAAGAACACATCTTTGCATTTGAACAGAGTTTTATGGTTTGCAAAAACTTTTCACTGTCAGTTTCTCAGGTGCGAAGATAAAGTGATTTACCAGGATTCTCATGTCACAGAAGAGACAAAGGAAGTCTAAAAACACAGAGCAATTTTCCCCAAGGTCATGCAGCCCTGGCGAGGCTGAGCTGAACTAGAAACCTGCCCTCTGCCCTTCTAGACTGCCATGTTTCCACGCTCCAAACACAGGCTCTGCGCGGCTGTTTTCCTCCTGTCCTTCCACACACTAGCCATCAGCAGCCCTTGTGATGTCTGACGGGGAGGCCCACTCCACCCTCTCTGCAGGGGGATCCCTCTCGTTCAGCTCTGCCTCCTCCAGGAAGGCTTCTGAGGAGCCTAAGGTTTGCACACCCCTCCCTCCCATCTTCCCCGTGGATCCAGGCTCTCCTTTAGGCTTTGACACAGAAATCACCACCCCGGGGTGTCACTGTCTCATTCAATGTCACTTCCTCCTTCTATTCATTGATTCCAGAAAATCAGCAGAGCACACAGAGAAGGGGAAGCCGAGGCTGGAAAGGGGAGCCAAATTGTGCAAGCCACGCAGAAGGGCAGAGGAGAAGACAGGCAATGTCACCAGCTCAGTATTTACGGAGAGTTGTCACCTGACCCCAAAATGCTAAGCTCTTCCCAACGCCCCCCCGCCCCCCACCCCTGCCAACTGTCTCTAATTTCCGTGCAATGTTTGGCCTCTTGCCCCCCTCTCAGCTGAGGAAGGCAGGTGTAACTCACTAACCTGCCAGGTGTAAACCCACTGGCTGGCTATCTTCACAGGCAGGTGAACCATGCACACAGTTCTTGGCTGAATGCCCCACAGAGCAGAAGCGTGTCGCATTTCTACTCTGGCACACTCTTTCCTTGGCCCATTTATGGAGCACGCACATGAGTAGCGAGGCTGGGCTCCGTAAAGAATCCAGCCATCAAAGAGGGAGGCAGGCAGCGGACAGCTTGCCTGGTGCTGTCCTGGTGCCCAAGTCCTGAACCTGAGGTGACCAGGTGATCATCTACCTGGAGAAGGAAGGCATCAGACTGTGGTGGGAACATTACAGTGTTTGTTTGTTTTGGAGCCTGGCTGGAGTGCCGTGGCTCCATCACAGTTCACTGCAGCCTCGACCTCCCAGGCTCAATTGATCCTCCCGCCTCAGCCTCCTGAGTAGCTGCAACTACAGGTGCATGCAACCACGCCCAGCTAATTTTTATTTTTTAATTTTTTATAGAGATGGAGTCCCCCTGCCTTGCTCAGGCTGGTCTTGAACTCTTGGGCTCAGGCAATTCTCTTACCTCAGCCTCCCAAAGTGCTGAGATAACAGGTGTGAGTCACTGCACCCACATTACAGTATTAAAAAAGCAAGAGAGCTGGATTTCAATCCCAGATCAGCAGAAATAGAAGGCATCTTTTTTGAACTTCAGTTTCCTTCTGCACAGAGGAGAATATTACTAGTTAGCTTCACAAATTGTTACAGGGTTTAAATGAGATAGTGCATTTATAATGGTGGTGCAGCTCCTGGCATACAGCAGCCACTCAATAAATGGCGGAAACCATATTATCATTAATATTAAAGACCGTCATTTTCTCTCTGCCTTATAATTTTTGTAAACAAATTTCTCCTCAGAAGAGTTGCTCCCAGCACCAGGGATCAGGACCCTGACACCAGAGCCCTGGACGGGAGCCTGGTGTTGTCTTGTGCATCCTAAGCAATCCTAACAAGCCTCCTCTCTGCCTCTGGATCTTTTCTTCCATGTCATATCTTAGCTGCCCTCGTCTCTCACAGAGGGTGGAAGAAGGATCAGATGCTGGGATGCATGTGAAAACACTTTGTCAAGAGTGCTTTTGAATATTAGCTTCATGGAACACAAGCGCAATGTTTGCTCACTACCACCCCACTTAGAAACTCTGGAAGGCTCCCTACTGATTCTGGGAAAAGATCCAAGGTCCCGAGTCTGCCACTCACAGAACTTTGGGATGGGGATTTTCCTACTTCTCCAGCCTCTATGAATGGCAGCTCCTGCCTCCACCTCCCGTCCCTACTCCCATATTCCCCATCTGCTGTGGGGCTGACCCCTGACTCTGGGCTTTCCCAGCACACACTGGTACACACCAGACTCCACGCCAGTTACCTGCTCAGGTGGCTGGAGTCCCTGAGGGCTGGAGCTATGTGGCTCATCCCCATGTCCCTGACACCAGCACTCGGCCAGCACAGACCCTCTAATGTCTGCTACTAAGTGAGCTGGGGGTTAGGGGCGTACTCAGCAGGAGTTGTTTTGACTACGGTCGTGCCTCCCTGCGGAGCTCGGGTGCCCATGGGAAATGGGCTAGGCATAGCAAGGTCCCCTCTGGCCCAGACCCCCTTGAAGGACACTGTTCCCAAGACCTGCACTGACGCACCCCTGGGAGGCATGGGAGTGAGCCAGGGATAGTGAAGTCCCCTCCAAGATAGAATAAAAGCCAATGTGGGGGTCCTGGTGACAAGACTGTTGGGGAGAGGAGTGGGAGGAGGAGGTCAGGAGAGGACGAGACAGGAAGAGGAGAGGGAAGGAAGAGATGACAGAGAGGAGAGCAGAAGCAGGAAGAGAGAGAAGGGTGTCTGTGAGCGAGAATCACCTCCCTACTCTTTTCTTCTAAAACTGGAGCAGCAGCGTGGTGTAGGGTTAAGGACACAGGCTTAGACATCTTCCCACTCCAACACAGCCCCTGGCAATTCACTTCGCCTCCCTGCACCTCGGTCTCCTCATCTGTAAGAAGGGGTGAGCAGCTCACTGGATGGCTGTAGAGAGTAGACGGCTGCATGGTAAGGCGAGGTGGACAGTGTTTGGCGGCGACACAGGAGTCACGGCTGCTCTGAAACTCCACGACCACCCACACACATTGGTCCTTTCCAGGTCCTCGCTGTTGTTGTTCTCTTCCTGCTCAGACAGCATTGCCTGCAGATTCCTCTGCAAGCTTCCTCATATTGGAAAACTCAGCACAGAGTTTAGCATTTTAAATAAATCAAACTCCACTCCTCCACAAAAGGACTTTGTGTGGCTTGTCATCCCTGCAGGAGAAGCTCCAGGCTCGCTGGTCTGGCTCAAGAGTCCTCTGCCGTCTGGCCCCTGTCTACCTTTTCTCTGTGTCCTGCCACTCCTCCCTGCACCCTCCTCCCGGCCCCACTTAACTCCTGGCATGTTCTTCACCCATGCTTTTTCCTCAGCTCCAAACCACCTGCCCCAGGCCAGCTACAGGCCCTGCACACTTGCCATAGCCAGGCTGGAGCACAAGCCTCCCTTCCATGTGTGTCTGGCTGTCCTGGCCCGTGAGCTCCTGAAGCCTAGAACGAGGGTTTACTTGTAAATAACAATAGCAACAACAATAATGATGGCATTTATCATAAAAATGCCAACAGCTATTATTGTGTACTCACTATCATGGGCCAGGAACCAGGCAAAGTGTCTTTCTATAGCCTGAGATGCAGCCTGGTATAGGCTTAAGTGCATACACGTGACCCTAAACTGCCTGGGTTCAAATCCCAGCTCCCTACACTTCTGGCTGGGTGACCCCAAGCAAGTTACTTAGCAGCTCTGTGCTTCAGTTTCTCCAGCTGTAAAACATGGTTAATAGTGCGCAGATACAGTTGTCATGAAGGCTAAATGAGTTAAAATATGGAAACTGCTTAGAACAGCACTTGGCACACAGGAAGCTCTAGGTTCATAATTACTGCAGTTAACATGGCCTTATTTTTTCTTCTACAGGAGGAGCAGTTCTCACAGGTCAGTAAAGGAAAACCCACATGAGCAATGGTGCCACTGCCACTCCTGGAAGGCTGCCCTGGCCTCTGTAAACCAGGGGATGCAGTTCGACATGGACGCAGACAGAGTCAGGGAGCTGGAACTGAGCCAAGGTCCTTGGAGGGCTACGCCCCCAGTAACAGGGGGAATTAGAAGATAGAGAGGAAGTTTGTCCTGGCTTGAGTTCTAGGTGAAGAGAAAAAAGCCATCCTTAAGAAGATGTAACCATAGCCCTATATCTCATGGGAATTTGGGGTTGAACTCCCTTGAGCCTGTGATATATTTGGGGCTGATGCTGAAACACACAGGATTCCTATAGATAAATCCCCAGGGCTGGGTGTGGTGGCTCATGACTGTGATCCCAGCACTTTGGGAGGTCAAGGCAGGCGGATAACGAGGTCAGGAGTTCGAGGCCAGCCTGGCCAACATAGTGAAACCCCGTCTGTACTAAAAATACAAAAATTAGCTGGGTGTGGTGGCGGGCGCCTATAGTCCCAGCTACTCGGGAGGCTGAGGCAGGAGAATCACTTGAACCCGGGAGGTGGAGGCTGCAGTGAGCCGAGATTGCGCCATTGCACTCCAGGCTGGGCGACAGAGGGAGACTCCGTCTAAAAAAAAAAAAAAAAAAAAAAAAAAGCCCCAGAGGCCAACATTACAAAACGCCCAAGAAAACAATCCTTTATGAATGAAGACATAAGATGTATTTGTCAGGAAGGTTAAGTTCCCCCAAGAACATCAAATAGTAGAACTATTGAATAGAGACCATAAAGTGGATTCTTAACATAATTAAGGTAATGTCTAACTAACTTGGATACGGCACTTATGATGGGACAGTACAACTCTAAGAGCTTTATCTATATGGATTTATTTAACCTTAAAATAATTTTAGGTTATTTTGGTAGGTAGGTGGAAGGAACCCACTTTGGTAGTAGTTGGAACTCCCACTTTAAAGATGATGAAACTAAAGTACAGAAAGATCACACGGCCTGGATTTAATCCCCAACAGTCTGGCTACAGAGTCTTCATGCTGCAGGAAAAAAAAAAAATGAGCTTCAGGATTTATCTAATGAAATTACCTAGAATATAGCTTAGAAAGACAGAAAGAGGATGGGTGCGGTGGCTCATGCCTGTAATCCCAGCACTTTGGGAGGCCGAGGCGGGTGGATCACCTGAAGTCAGGAGTTGGAGACCAGCCTGGTCAACATGGTGAAACCCTGTCTCTACTGCAAATACAAAAATTATCCAGTCGTGGTGGCGGGCGCCTCTAATCCCAGCTACTCAGGAGGCTGATGCAGGAGAATTGCTTGAACCCAGGAGGTGAAGGCTGCAGTGAGCCGAGATCGCACCACTGCACTCCAGCCTGGGCAACAATGGCAAGACGCCATCTCAAAAAAAAAAAAAAAAAAAAAGAAAGACAGACAGAGTTAGACATAAGTTAGATATAGAGGTTATGAGCCACAGAGGAAAAAATTGAGTCAGTCTAAAACTTAACATGAGTTTCAGAAGGAAAGAAAAGACAAGGGGTTGAAGGTGTAATATTCAAATATATAACAGAATTTTTCAGAAATGCTGAAAGATACAAATTCTCAGATTCAGAAATCATGAACCCCAGGTAGGATAGATAAAAATGAATATATGTCTTATAGCAGAACTCCAGAATCACAAAGACAAATAGAAGATGCTAAAAGCAATCAGAGAGAGAGAAATTGATTACCTAAAAGTACATGGCAGTTACAGCAATAACAGGCGTCTTCATGAAAGCCAGAAGACAGTGGAATAGCATTGTCATACCACCAAGAAGAAATAATAGAGAATCTAGAATTCTATATGAAGCTAAATGATCACCTAACCATAAAAAAAAAATAATGACATTCTCAGGCAAAGACTGAGAGGTTTTTACTGCTAAATGCCTTGCTAAAAGAATACTAGTAAGGAATGTGCTCCAGGGAGAACTAAACTAAACTCAAAAGAAAAAAAAATACAAGAAAGAACGGCAACTAAAGAAACTGGTAAATCTAAAAAAGTATTAACTATATAAAATAATAATAGTGGCTCATGTGAAAAGTATAAAAATAGAGTGAAAATATATTCCTGGGAAACATAAAAGATGCAAGGGGAGGTATGAAAATTAAAGCCTTCTTAGGATTCTCTGTGCGTGAGGAAGTTAGAGATGCCAAGCCAAGAATGCACTTTGAAACGTTAAAGGGTAGCCACTAAAATAATGGAAATATAATGTACACCTAGGGTGAAAAGTAGAATAAAGAAAACTTAATCAGTTTCATACAAAGCAAGAAAAGTGAAAAATCAGAAGCATAGCAAAGGCAGGGTAAACAGTAAGCACACAGTAAGATGACGGATAAATATACATATATTTGTCAGCTATAATGTATATATTATGATATACATATATCAGTTATCATAATCATTATAATGGACTAAACTTTCCATTTAAAAGACAAGGATTGTTGTAAGCTTAAAAAATTTAAAATACAGCTATATGCTGTTAACAGAGACATACTAAAAATATAAAGACAGAGAAGGATTGACTGTAAAATAATGGGAAAAGGTGTACCAAGCAAATACTAGCCCAAGAAACTCAGAATAACCATATTGACATTAAACAAAATAGACTCAAAATCGCAAAACATTATTAAAGATAACAAAGGTTACTACCTAATTGTAAAACAAAGATTCATGGTATAATAGAAAAATACTAGACTGCACTAAATATTAATAATATAGCCTCAAAATGTATAAGGCAAAACTAAGAAAATTAGAAACAGAATCGCCATAGTTGGGTATTTAAACACATCTTCCTCAGAACTTGACAGATCAAGCAAACAAATGTACCAATGAGGAATCAAAGAAAATTTGAAGACCACAATGAACAAGTTTCATGTAATGGACGTATATATAAAGTCTGAAACATTAGTATAATAGCCAAATACGTAATATTTTCAAACATACATGGAACATTGCCAAATGCAGTTATAATCTTGGAAATAGAGCAAGCCTTGACAAGTAAAAAAAATGGAAATTATATGAACCATATTCTCTGGTTACGATGGAATTAAAACATAAATAATAAGAACAAAATACAGAAAATCCCACATATTAAGAATTTGAAAGTATCCTTCTAAATGACTCATGGATCAAAGGGACCATAACAGGAATTAGGAGAATCATAGAGTCTTTGTCACCAAGGGGCTCTCTCTTCAATAACCTCCTCCAACAAGTTAACAATGACAATGTCCTAAGTAGGCCCCAAGGATCCAAGGGTCACAGCGGGAGGGGCCCTCTGATCTAAGGAGGTGGCCTTAGGATGGGGAAAGACAAGCCTTCCCAGCATTGAATAAGAAACAATATTAGGGTGGTTTTGTAATCAGTTTACTAGGTCCCTTGAACAGGCCATTTTTTTTTCTCCCTGGGCCTCAGTTTCCTCAAATGAGATGGATGAGCTGATTAATCTCCAAGTCTCAGATAACCTTTTTTATATTTAATTTGAACCTGTCCTCAGTTTTAATTCTACTTAATATCACACTAATCAAGACAAATTCTTCTCTCCCATTTCAAAATCTATCAAACTCCTTTCATAATGTGATGTCAGTTTTTTTTCTTTTCTTTTTTTTTTTTATCATTTAAGACAAATGATGTGTCTTTTCCACCTTTGCTTTCCCCTAATCCTCCCAAGTTTGCTGCTGTGACAGATGGCGTCTCCATCAAATAGCTTGCCTTCCTCTGCCTGCTCATGCTTCTCTGCTTTTTTGATTTATGAAAGAAATGGGGGCAGGGCTCAGTGGCTCATGCCTGTAATCCCAGCACTTTGGGAGGCCAAGGCAGGGGGATCACCCGAGGTCAGGAGTTCAAGACCAGCCTGGCCAACATGGTGAAACCCCATCTCTACCAAAAATACAAAAAATTAGCTGGGTGTTGGCGGGCACCTATGTAATCCCAGCTACTCCAGAGGCTGAGGCAGGAGAATCGCTTGAACCTGGGAGGCAGAGGTTGCAGTGAGCCGAGATCGCGCCATTGCACTCCAGCATGGGCAACAAGACTGAAACTCTGTCTCAAAAAAAAAGAAAGAAAGAAAGAAAGAAATGGAATATACCAGTCACCACCTGCCCATCAGCCATTATCCACAACCAGGCAACATCCTCTGTCACTGTCCCCTCTCCATTAGTTTCCCATCTCTTTCAATCTTTTCTCCACAGGGATCCAAAATGGTCTCCCTAAACTACAAGAAGTCCTTCTCTATTTGAAACTCCCCCTTGGCTTTGAGGGCACCATGGGGTCAAATATCAACAGCAGCCAGGTGAGAGCCCAGTGTGCTCACTGACGGCTGCTCCAGCAGAGCCTCGACATTGATCCTTTTCTTCTGGACATCTAGACTATGGAAAACTCTGCTCTGCTGTTCAGAGGCTTTCTCATTCCATTTCCTACTCCCCACCCTGCACAGCTTTGGAATGTGGCAAACGTCTGGAGGAGAAACCCACCCTGGCCTTTGAAGCCCCTGAAGTCTCTAATTTGTCTCTCCATCCCCATCAATGGTCATTGCACTGAACCAGGCCTGGATCCTCAGCCCTGTCCCCTGTCCCCAGACTGCAGAAAACCCCAGCAGGAGAGCAGCACTGACTCTCAGAAGATCTCCCCTCTCCAGGATTTGGCTCCTTTAGTCTTCACTGCTTCAGCAGTGATAAGAGACCACCAACCATGCAGTGGTTCTGGCCAGTCTACCGACAACATGCAGAAAGGGTTTTTGCATCCTCTGCCCCACTTTTTGATGTCAGACGGCTGAAAACACCCTCGGATCATGCTAATGCTGCCATTTTTGAACGTGGGTCCCATGGAAAAGCATGAAGCTCAGTTGCACATGTGCGTGTTTCTCCCTTCATAAATATTCATGACTCCTCCCATAGCTAATTAAATATGTATATTTGGCCACCCAACTCAGCATAAATTTCTGTTCTCTTTGTCCCTCACTGGAAGTGTCTGTTTCTGGCTTCTGGCCAGAGGTTATGCTCCCTAGCCTGCCAGAATGGCCACCCTGCAGGCTGCAATCCTTTATGGGAAATAAAGCCCTCCTTTCCAAATGTATGAACCTCATCATTCAGTTGACACACTTGATAGAAATCTTCCTTCTTATTTGTAATTCATTATACTATTATGGTTTTCCTAGAATTCTGCAATTCTCACTGACAGAAAGAACCCAGGTGCCCTTCCCCCAGGCCCTGATCTGCAGCCTGAATCCCACCATATCAGATGCCTTAATGGCTTGGCAGAGTTGGCCTGAATATAGTATTCCTGGTGACAGTGAAGTCCTCGCCTCAACATTTTGCTATGTGGATAACATCTGTGGAAGCTGAAGTGCCTGGTAAGTAATCAGGGCCTCAAAAATGTCATTTCCTGCCAGTGAAGGACTGTTTGCAAAGCTGGTTGCAAGAATCCCTCCCACCTCTGTGTGCACATTCATTTGTAATGTGACTCCCCTGCCCCTCCCAGCTAGAGGTGGAGTCTGGTTCTCCACACCCTGGACTGGCCTTGCCACATGCTTAGACCAATAGAAAGATGCAGAAGTGACGCCGTGGGAGATTTGAGCCTGGGCCTCAGGAGACCTTGAAGCTCCTGCTCTCTCTTTTGGAACCATGCCTTTAGACCACCATATGCAGAAACCTGAGCTAGTTTCTGGAGGCTGAGAGGATACTTGGAGCAGAAATGAGCATTCTAGCTGAAAAAACAGTCAACTGATGCCTAGCACCAATGGCCAGACACAAAGCCCTCCTAGACTACTCAGCCCCAGTAGAACTATCTGATGAATGACCCAAGTGAGACCAGCTGAAAACCACCCTGCAGAGCCAATCTACATCTAATGTGTATACATGAATATATAAAATGGTTGTGACTTTAAGCCAGTGAGCTTTAGGGTGGTTTATTACTCAATCATATCTAATTTATCTTCTTTCTTCTAATTAATAAAATGTTCTGATAATGATGATGATGATTTACATTAATTGGGTGCTTCCTTTGTGCCAGAGTCTATGCTGAGTGTTTTATAAGTTTAAAGCTCTTGTCATTCTGACAACAACACTGCGAGTTAAGTACTATCATTGTCCCTATTTGCTCACAAGGAAATTGAGACCCCAAGAGATGAGGCAACTTGGCTACAGTTGCAGAGCTTGCCAGCAGCAGAGCTGAGACCGGAACTCTGGCATGCTGGTTCTGGTTCCTGCACCCGTTGCTACTCCTTACATTGCTTCTCTCTTATTCTACCATCTCATCCCCCAACTTCCCACACCCTCATCTCTCATCCTCCTAACTATTCCCTGGTACCTGTGTAAGACGATAGGTAGAGAGAAACTAACATCTATTTGTTAAGTATTCATTTGTCCAATAACATTTCCTCATGCCTGCAGTGTGCCCAATACTTTTCTAGAAATTAAGGGCACCAATTTCTACAACACAGAAGACACGGCTTCTGCTCTTAAGAGTCTAAACTCAGGCCCAGCACACGCTAAACAGTCCAAACACATTCTCTCCTATTTTCCTCACTGCAGCCTTGTCCCCATTGTACGGAGGAGGCTGAGGGGAATAAACTCACTCAAGGTCACACAGGGATTGGAACTAAGGTTGGCCTGGCGCCAGGCCAAGGCTTTTTCCAATTTACAATGGGACTCCTCCTCCTCTCACTTTCACTAGGTACTCCTTGGGGCGGTAGGTTCCAAGTCTTCTCTAAATGAAATACCCCATTTCCTTTCTTTGTCTTTCTTGGGTTTTGGTTTCAGTCCCAAAAGCGCCTCCAATTATCAATGTTTATTTTTTAAAAGTGGCTTTCAGCTCAATTGTGCATGCATTTGTGGAATGCCAGGCATCTACCAGACACTGGAGAAAGGGTTGCTCCTGGAGGAATCTCAGTCCCAGCTGCCTAAGGAAGCTTTAGGGAGAGGTAGCAGTTGATTTGAAATCATCAGAGGTGTGGGGTGGGTTACAAATGGACTGAAAAGGCCTCCTTTCCTACATACACAACCCCAGGTAGCAGTAACAATCAACGCCAGACAAATCAATAGCAGCATCCACAGTGCCAATCTGGTTTGCTTAGAGCTAAGATCAGGAGCAGGGTGGTCTGGGCACAGTCCAAGGGCTTGGGGGTCATACAGGACCCAAAGGGGTTTGATTCTGGCTTTGCTGATCCCTGTATGACTTGGCAAGTGACTTGTCTGCTCCAAGTTTCAGTTTCAACATCTGTGAAATGGGAGGCAATATCAGTTTCTTGGCATCATTTAGAAATTCAATGTGACAGCATGTGTGAAAAGACCTTGGAAAATGCCCAGCACAAAGTAAGTAGTGGGGATGAGGGAGGGAGGCTTAAATAATTTTACTGAAATAATAATAACATCAAATATTTAGTGAAAACTTGCTCTATGCCAGGCCCTGTTCTAAGCACTTTACATATTTAGTTTGTTTACTCCTACAAGAGTATAAAAAAGGTGCTGCTCTTATCCCCATTTTATTTAGGAAGAAATGGAGGCACAAAGGGATTAAGAACTTGCCCACAGCTTGAGAGACTATTCCAGAATCCATTATCTTAACCAACATGCTATCCTGTCCCTATAAAATAGCATGTCAATACTGCATGTTGAATGAGAAATGCTTTAAATATCATCACATACAGTATGATCTCGTTTTTCAAAAAGCCTGGATGCGTAAGGATAAATGTCAAAATGTTGAAAATGAACATCTCTTACTGGTGGAATTCCATGTGTTTTTGTCACTTTATTTTTTTAATTTTCCAAATTCACTCAAATACGTATATATTAATTTTTATAAGCAGAAAAATGTTGTTTAAAATATGTTTCTTTCTCTCTGCTGTGCCAGGCTTGGTTAGGCACTAGGCATATATGAAAGGATATTTGATTATCCTAGTGTTCCAGGCAGGATCTTGGAAAACTTCTAGCCTGAGCCAGAATCGATGCTCAATAAACATTTGGCCTCGTTCCTCACAGAAGCGGCAGCTGTTTCCGTGATGCTACGTGTCCGTTAGGCACCCGCAGTAGGCTTCTTCTTAAAGTGATCACATCTTTTCTAAAACTGTTCTGAACACAACAGAACCGAACAGTATCTTCATGGTTCTGTTTCTTTGCATTCACTTTGAAGCTAAGCCCCTGAGTTTTCCCAGGGGTTCACATTTGGAATAGCCACATTTAATTTTTAGATTTTACTGGCTATGCACCTTTGCACTGATGTCCAAGCACCAGGGGTGAACTCTGGGACAGCCTGAAGGTCCGAATTCCAGGGAGCTGGGGGATCAGAGGAAAACCAGCCTCTCCCCTTCACCCCAACTGTGTGATCTTGGGAAGATTCCCAGACCTCACTGTGCCTCAGTTTCCTTATCTGCAAAATGGGTATCCTCTTTCTTGTTCCTCTCTCCTCACAGCTGTGAGAATCAAACAAGAGCACACATCAAGAGACGCTTTACAAACTGTGAATTCCTATCTGAGAGGCAGGAAGTACTTTTGAGTGTCTCGGCTATGAAGCCTCTAACACACCCAAGACGTAGAAGTCAGAACAAGGACAGGAAATTGAGAACCTGACAATACTCCCTTATCAGCTCCAGAAATCACACTCAATTAGCAAGCACTGCCCTGTGTAAGATTAGACTCATCGGACTTCATCTTATTTCCTTAAACGACGAATTCCTTTTGAGAGTGAAGATAAACCCCCTACAGCTATCTAGATACAAAGATGGATGCTGACAGGGCATGGCCAGACAGTGGGGGCCAAAGGTCTCCCTCAAGCAGTCCTTGCTTACCTGTCATGTTACAGCTGGGCAGTCCCACAACAGGCTCTTTGGGAGGCCTCTGGCAGCCCCCATCTGAACCCTGTCTCTCTTGCCACATGTCTCTGACATACAGAGACAAATAGACACACAAAGCCCTGGCGAGGAAGTCACAATACCTGCGCTCTGGGCATCGAGCTTCCCTGGCCTCCTGGTTCCTCCCTCCCCATGGAGAGTCATAGTGGACAGTCTCTAAGCTCCCTTCTTCTCTCAAAGGCTGGGCTCTCAGCTTCTCCTGGCTTTCCCTGGGGAATTCCTCCCTCAGCCCCTCCATGAAGGCTGGAGGCCCCTTCTTGCCCCTCAGTCCTCTGCAGGGGAATGACTTGTTTATACGGCTCATGACTCTGTCTCATTCTCTCTCTCCTTCATTCTCTGCCCCCCAGGAGTTCTCCCACTATCCTGTGCTCCCTGGCACCTTGGAGACACTAGGTGAAACTATGTGGAATGAAATGATCGATGAGACAAATAGAAGGAGTGAGCGAGGGGGCAGCCCTCAGAGAGAAAACATGGTCCAGAGTCACATGGCCCACTCTTCACTATAGCTGGTGATCACAAGCCACACCTTGGTTCATACCTCGGAGAACCTTCTGGAAGCTCCAGTGGAGGAAGCAGCACCCCCCACGCCTGGCCTGTGCTGGGATGGAGGATAAAGATTTAGCTTGGTACCCACATGAACCAGATGCACCCACGCCCTTAAGGAGCAGGCAGCCTGCTGGGAGACAGGCAGGGACAAGGAAACAGAAGAGGGCAGCTGGGACAGGGCTCAGCGGCACGGTGGGAAATGGAAGCTGGCAGTTCAGAGGCCTGGGGCGGAGGGGTCTGGGAAGACTTCCCCGGGAAAGGGAGATCAGAGAGGAGAGGACTAACACTTCCAAGCAGCAAAGATGGATGAGCCAGCCTGCTGCCTGATTGACTTAGTCCTTACCAAAGTCTATTCCACACGGAAAGAAACTGAGGCACAGGGCCACCAAGACACCTGCTCCAGGTCTTGTAGCTGGTAAGTGGCATGGTTGGAATTCACACCAAGGCTCCACGCCTGTCCCCACATTTCCAAAATGATTCTCCACAGGCCAGTGGCTCTAGCACTGGAGCGTGCATGGGGAGGTGCCTTGGGCTGAGGGTTTTGCGGCCCTTCCTGGGAGGAGGAAGCTCCAGGTCCTCCGAGCCCCCCAGTCCCCTCTGCATGAAATAAGCTGAAGCAGCAGGAGAGGGTTTCCCTTAGTAAGCAGCATTCGGATTTGACTGCCTGGCACCGGCATGACATCTTAATCAATCTTCCCACAGGGCTATTCACGATTCAGCTTGGTACCCACATTCCCGGGGGACCCCACAGCTGCTAGAACCCAGGCCCTGGCTGAGGCCACATCTCAGGGGACTCACTTCATTTTCTTCTGTGTCTTATCCTGCATTTAAGTAGCCCGGCCAGAGTGCCAGCACCCGGGAGAGGGGAAACCTCCGATTTCATTGACAAACATGGCTCGTGAATGTGAGCCTGGCACCTGCAGATCGGAGACCCACATGGGATCTAACAAGCAAAATGAGTCGCAGGGCCCTGTGGAGTCGGGGCAGTGGGATCTCTTCCAAGGCCTTCACCTTGGAGAGGAGGAAACAGAGGCCCCAAAGGGTGAGGCCTGCCCAAGGAGGTGCAGATCAGACTTGCCCCGGCCCCTGCCTCCTAACCATCAACCTCCTTGTTGCCATCTCAGTTGCTTCTATTAATCATTTGAAGGAAACCTGCATTTTTCTTGACCAGCTGGCAGGCTGGGCCCTGGGCTGGGCTGGACCCTGGGCCGGGGCATCTGCCCTCTGTGTTTTCTCACACTCGGCTGCCCTGCTGGCTGTTGTTCTGCCCTCTTGGCCCCAGTTTCATCCATTCTCTGGCCCCAGGAGGCTGACCCCAAGGATGACGTCCCTGGCTCCCTCGGCCTCTGACTTCCAGCTGGGCTCAGCCAATGGGAGGCACAAGGAGAAGGCTGGAGAAAGGGAGGAGAGAAGGCTCTAGAACTTACTCTCCACCCCATCAGGAGTAGGTCTGGCAGAGGCCAGGCTCCTCTATGGCAGACCCCGGCTCTAGCTCTCCCAGCCTCCAGGAGCGGCAGCGCCCTCTCCCCGCCCTCTGAACCTAGGGTGGTCACTGCTTCCCACGCTTGCCACCCTGTTCACCCCTTGTCCTGCCCCTGAGCAGGACACACCCTCTGCTTCCCAGGAGTGCACAGTCAGCTGCAGAAGGAGCTCCCAGGGTGGGAGGACGGCAGCCAGGCTGGGGCTTGAGGGGGCCTGGAAAGGACTGGCAGGAGGGTTTAGTGCCTTCTTCACAAACCCAAAACCCCTAGACCTTCAATGCACCCCCTGTGCTGAATATGATAAAAGATGTGTATAGAAAGTAAAAGTTCCTCTTCAAAGTTTCCCTTCTCGTTAAAGAATAAATCGTAAGTGTTAGAAATAATAGTTTCTTTTAAAGACTAACTTCATGCTAGACATGCTCACAGGCATGTAGAACATTCTATGTCCTTGTACTTTAACCAAGATGTCCAAGCTGGACATGCTCACAGGCATGTCCCAGCTTGCAGCCTATGCCCCTCCCTTATTTGGGAATGTTATTACTTTCCTAAGTCCTTTCATAAGCAACTTCCTCTTTTCCTTTGTCTTTCTATTGCCTTTACCTATTTAGAAAAGTTTTAAACTGTTAGCCAATCGGGTTTCAGTTTAGATTGTGCGGTCTGGCTCCAGCCAATGGAGACAGGACACAGTAGCAGGGACAAACTGCATAAGGAATAAAAATTGCTTCCCTCCTTTGTTCGGATGTGCTCTCGCCATTATTACATCTGCGATGAGCACCCTTTCTGCAGAAAGTAAAGATTGCCTTGCTGAGAGAATTAAATTTATGTTCAAGTGCTATTTCTTTGTGGCACTACAGAAGATACATTTACATATAACAACGTGGGAGGTGATAACACACATGGTGCTCTTGGCCAGTGCCCTTGGAGAGACCACCATTTCAATAAAGATGACAGCCAGGGAAGGTCACAGGCTTGGCCTGCACCCCATCAGAATTCCCACCGACTCACTCATGGAACCTATTTAAGATGAAAGGTGGAATATTCTGAACAGTAATGTATTATTTTATTCTTTTTATTATTTGAACAAATAGACTCCCTCAGTCACCTCTTTCCTGCTGAGACCCCATTCATGAGATGAGGAAGCTGAGCTGTGTGACCTCCAAGAATGAAGCTGAGCTGTGTGACCTCCAAGAATGGCCTCCCTTCCTTACTGACCCCAATTTGAGCAGTTGGAGAGTTTTATATCAAGCCCCCAGCAGGGTTGCAGATTTGTTAAGAAGAACTCAATGCCCTTGGCCCTGGAAGAGGCAAATGCTCTTAGATGAGGTGGCTGATGAGAAAGGAAGTTTACCATAGGAGGAAAAGACCTCAATAATTGTGATGCTTGGGGCACCTTGGGGAAAAAGAATGCAGCCTCCAGAAATAATTCTGGCAACCAGGCGACCTGTCCATGCAGCCACGTGCAGAATGCAAGCTCAAGCAACGGATGGGAAAACAACCCCTGAGAGGCTAGGGAGCCCCTTCAAATCACCGACTGGTGAGAGGCAGAGGCAGCTCCCGCACTGCAGCCCCGAGGGCCTCCCACACTCACAGCCCTTCCTTTTGCTGCCTCTGAGGTCTTTTTCACCCCCACTGGAGCCCTGGATGTGGCCTCATCCAGGCTGTAGCCTAACACTCTTCCAAGTCCCAGAGATGGAAGGAAACCCCAGGATACCGGCTGGATCGTCCCCCTGGGAGCCCCTGATAAAATCAGGACTGCTTTATCTACTTTCAGTTTCAAAAAACTAAACTTAGAAAGTCTAAAAGTGGGAGCTGTCAGCCCAGCCCCCAGGGTCCCTGCCAGCCTCTGCACGAGATCAGACGCATCCAGATGCAGGCACCTCTTCCAGGCACTCCTCACTTCCAGGAGGGTCTGTCCCCTATGTGCGCCCACAGGATCTTGTCAGTACCTCTACCTCCATGGTCAATTTGGGATGAATCCACCAATGAACCTGCTTTTCTCTCCCACAGGTCTGTGACAACCCATGGGGTTGGGGACACTTCTCTCTGTGACCCCAGCAAGAGGCACAGAGCAGGCAGTTAGTAAATGCTGGAGACTGAGAGAGCAAGGCTCATACAGCACATAAGCTTTGCAGGTGCGAAAATTCAATTAACTGAGGAACTGAAGAGGGGGCAACGGGAAGTGCTGCTAGGAGTCTTCCAGCAGGTAAGTGATGAAAGAATGGTATTATAGGACACCTCGAATTCGTAACTAATGAGTTCATGATCTAGGTATTGGGCATTAGGGATGCTAACATCACAGAAAGAGAGATAGCCAGGGCTGGGCGTGGTGGCTTACGCCTGTAATATCCACACTTTGGGAGGCCGAGGTGGGTGGGTCACCTGAGGTCAGGAGATCGAAACCAGCCTGACCAACATGGTGAAACCCCGCTTCTACTAAAAATACAAAAGGCCGGATGTGGTGGCTCACGCCTGTAATCCCAGCACTTTGGGAGGCCGAGGCAGGCGGATCACGAGGTCAGCAGATCCAGACAATCCTGGCCAACATAGTGAAATCCCGTCTCTAATAAAATACAAAAAATTAGCCGGGTGTGGTGCCATGCACCTGTAGTCCCAGCTACTCAGGAGGCTGAAGTAGGGGAATTGCTTGAACCGGGAGGCAGAGGTTGCAGTGAGCTGAGATTGTGCCACTGCACTCCAGCCTGGTGACAAAGTGAGACACCATCTCCAAAAAAAAAAAAAAAAAATTAGCCAGGCGTGGTGGTGGACACCTGTATTCCCAGCTACTCGGGAGGCTGAGGCAGGAGAATCACTTGAACTTGGGATGCAGAGGTTGCAGTGAGCCAAGATTGCACCATTGCACTTCAGCCTGGGCAACAGAGTGAGACTCCATCTCAAAAAAAAAAAAAAAAAAATAGAGAAAGAGAGGCAGCCAGACATTTGCCCCTGATGGAAGAACTTAACACCACCTTTAAAGGAGTTTTGAAAATAAAACCATTGAATCTGGATAAAATCAAAGCTCTGGAGCCAATGGCCAATTCAAGGACAGACAGCAGAGGGGAGAGCACAGCAAACACCACAGCAGGGACACAGCAGCAAGACCCCCGCCCTGCGCCCGTGAAAAACTGTAGCACAGTGACCTGGTTTCCTCAACAGCATGTTGCAAGAAAATAAAAAGAGAAGGAGGCAGAAGCTATAGATGAAAAGACTTTAAAGACACACCACCAGGGTTCACAGATTGATGAGTGAACAAACAAGATGTGCTTCTTCCAGACAAGGGAAGATTATTCACCCTCAAAAGAAGGAAATGCCGGCCCACGCTCCAACACGGATGAACCTCAAAGACACTGTCCTAAGTGAAACAAGCCAGTTGCTCACAAGACGACAAACATTGTGTGATTCCGTTCAGATCAGGTCCCTAGAGTAGCCGGACTTATAGAGACAGAAAGTGGATTGGTGGCTGTCAGGAGCTGGGGGAGATGAGAATGAAGAGTTACTGTTTAATGGGAACAGAGTTTCACTTTGGGAAGATGAGAAGGGTTCTGTGGGTGGATGGTGGTGATGGTTGAATAACAATGTAAATAAATGTATTTAAAGGTTAAAATGGGAATGTAAATAAATGTACTTAAAGGTTAAAATGGGCTGGGCCCAGTGGCTCACGTCTGTAATCCCAGCACTGTGGGAAGCCAAGGCAGGTGGATCATCTGAGGTCAGGAGTTTGAGACTAGCCTGGTCAACATGGTGAAACCCCATCTCTACTAAAAATACAGAACAACTAACCGGGCATGGTGGCGGGTGCCTGTAATCCCAGCTATTCCAGAGGCTGAGGCAGGAGAATCACTTGAACCTGGGAGGCAGAAGTTGCAGTGAGCCAAGATCGCGCCATTGCACTCCAGCCTGGGCAACAAGAGTGAAACTCCATCTCAAAAAAAAAAAAAAAAAGGTTAAAATGTAAATAAAATGCAAATTTTATAGGTTGGTGCAAAAGTTGGCGCAAAAAATTGTATAGGTTGGTGCTACTTTTAAATAGCAAAAACTGCAATTATTTTTGCACCAACCTATACGTTCTGTATATTTTATCACAAAGAAAGACAATCACAGTGCGAAGACCTTATTAACATTCTGATTCAAACAAACTGCAAATATTTTTTAAACTATAAAACTGACAGGCCACTTAGACATTTGAACACTGATTGGATATTTGATGAAGTGAAGGAGTCGTCATTTGTTTGAGGTGTGATGGAGCTGGTATCGTGACTGTTTAAAAGATGAATTAAATGATATGATATCTAGCTTTACTCTGAAATAATATGAGTGGAGAGAAGGGGGTGGTGTAGAAATAAAACGAGATTGTTCTTGAATTGGTCATTGTCGACGTTGCTGATGACTACGTGAGGTTCCTTTTATTATTCTCTGTACTTTTGTCAAGGTTCGAAATTTTTCAAAACAAAATATTTTCAAAAATGGGGTTGAATCTGTTCTTTTACTCGCTGAGTTCTCCTGGGCAAGCTACTTCACCTCTCTCCTGCCTTCCTTCTTCAACCAGTTTTCCACTCAAAATGGCACTTCCTCCAGGACATCTTGACTGATAACATCCAATAGAAAAGGTCACCCTCCTCGTTTCCTACCCACTGTCTCCACCCCCGTTTTTCTTCCCTCACGACATCGATCAGGACTTGAAATTACACAATATATATGAATCTGTGTGTAGCCTTTCTCTTCCTGATGACTTGTTCATAGCTGAATCCCATACACCAGGAAGCATGACTGCACATAGGAGACGATCAGTAAGCATTGATCATGGGAATGAATGAATGAATGAATGGATGGGTGGATGAATGAATGAATGAATTACCTACGGCATTAAGGCAGTGACAAGAGTCCCTCCAGGTCAGCATAAGCATGAGTGAGACAAGGTGCTCAGCCCACACACAGAACAGAGTAGGGGCTCATGGCCACAATTTCATCCCCAAAGCAGCATGTGCTTTTCTTGCACTTGTTTTCATGGACCCTCAGCTCCTAGCTGGATGGCTGGCTATCTTCTGGACCAGAACTAGGGTCCCGTCGAGAGTCCCCTCATTCTGTCTCACTGCTCCCAAACCTGCCAACTTGAAAGTTTCTCTATGCCATGAGCGTCCTCTTTACAAACTACAAAAGGTAGTTTTCTGTACAAAGTTGAGAGACTATCAATCATTCACAACTTAGTGTGAAATAGCTAAACCAAGTGACTTTTCTCATAACAATATAGTAAAGCCACCTGCATTGAGGGAATGAAGGGGGGTGGTGGCACATGATTGTGAAGCAAGAGACACCCTGGAATGAGAAACTGAGGCTCAGAGAGGTTATGTCACTTTAGATCCCAAAGCTAGTTAATGACAGATCTGATACTGGTATCCCAGTCTGTCTCATTTCAAGTTATTGTTGATTACCCTGCAAACCAACACTCAGAGAATAACCTTCATGAGCAAAGAAATACAAATGTGAAGCTGAGAAAGGAAGTCACTTTATCTATGAGGTGAAATTTACGGCCCTGTTAACAATGGCACAGATAAAATTCCATAATAAATGGTCTAAGACAGACGGCATGAAATAAATAACAGTCCTTCCAACAGAAAAATTAAATTTCAAAGCTGAAGAGAGTCTGAAGTCTCCCTGCTCTACCGCCCTCCACACTTCCTGTTTCTTCTCCATCCCTTCCTATAATGCGTTCGCTCTCCGTCCGACCTACCTTCTTGCTAATCCAGACCTCTTCCCCAACCCCAGCAAAACTCGGGCCCTCTCCTCCTTCAGCAGCAGGTGGTGGTGTAATGTGCAGGGGGAGCTGGGTTCCAATCCCTCTCCTCCTCTGCTCTTCCCTGAACCATTGCCTTCCTACCCCCTCTACTCCCAAAGCAAAAATAAAAGGGATGATAATATTTTCTCATCTAACAGAATTTGCACTACAGACAGTGAGATAAAATAAAATATGTGCTTGGAAGTGCCATTAAAATAAAATGAATCAACTAGTTCATGGAGTCATTCAACAAGCATGTATTAAGCCCTGGGAGGAGCCAGGCACTGTTCTAGGCACCAGGGATGGAGCTGCCAACGAACCAGGGTCAGGAGTCGTAAGAGGCAGCTGGATCCCGGGTGGAGGCGACAAGACCTACTGATGGAGGGGATCTGAAGATAGATGGGTAGATGATAGATAGATAGATAGATAATAGATAGATCAATAGATAAGAAGAGGAGGAGGAGAGAACAGAAGTTAAGCCACTTTTTAGCTTTCTTTGCTCTACTGAATTTGCACAGAAAGCCAATGAGAAGCCAGCCGAATTGCACCCCAGAATCCTGGAAGGGCTGGCAGTGGGGACGGCAGGCACCTCCAGGGCGAGGGAGCAGGGCGAAGCGCATGAGCACTGACTGGCCCCTCCTCAGAAGCAGCGGGGCTGGTCTCTGGCCCCAGGCGGCACAGTCAAGGGACCACCGCTCCCCACCTGGCTGCGGGTGGAAGGTCCTTGGCTGGGGACCTCCATCTACTCCACCCACCCCTTCCCTCACCACTTCCCGTCCTTAAGGGAACTTGGGAGGAGATATTCCAAACTGTCTAAAAGGTCAAGCGCTAAAGAAAGAAACTGGCTGGCTCCTTTGAGGACTCAGTCGTTCTTTTCTGGATGTCTCTACTTAGATCCTCAGGGAGAAGCCAGAAACAAAGCCAGATTTCCAGGAGAGGAAGGAGCGTGCTCAGAGAGGCCATGGACACGCACAGTTCCCGACACCGACACTCCCGCCTCCAAGAACGACTCGTTTTGGCACCGGCTGTGTGCATCCACCCCTGACTCCACTTGAATTCCCTATCGTAAGTTTTGGTTTTGCCTAGAAATATTTTATGCCATTGTGAAGACATTCAAGGGACAGCCGAAGGGAACCAAAAGCTGCTGGGAGCCTCCTCTGTGATGAGCACTATTTTCGGGTGGCTGCTTCTGGTCTTGACCCCTGTCCTGCATGGGGTGTGCTAGGTCTGCTGTGAGAGGCAGGAGGCTGGATGCTGTCAGTTCTTCCTCCTCCTGCCATAGCAGAGGAGTGTGAGTCCCCGCCCCACTGATGTTCACGCGACTTACTGTGGCATGGAGCGGGCCTGAATCCCAGCCCTCTGCCTGAAGCAAAGCCTCCCAGCTGAGCCCAGCCTAGTCAGCCGAACCCTAGCCAAGCTGCAGACGAGAGAGTGAAAAAGAATGGCTGGGAGTCACTGAGTTTGGGCTGGTTTCTTACACAGTAATATTGCGGCTACAGTTGACTTACACAGAGAGGTTAAATGACTCACCTAGAGACACACAGCTATGAAGCAGCAGCCCCACAATCATCCCCACTGCCTTGAGTCCTTGTCCAGTACTAACCTGGCCTCAAGCTGGGCATGGGTGGAGTCACAGTAACTTCCTAAAGGAGGATCCAGGATGCAGGTGCTGGGACTATTTGGTGATAAAAGGTAGGACTCAGTGACAGCAGTATCTTAATCCTGCCAGTGAGCAGAGAGCACTGTCCCATCATCCCACGGCAGGACTGTTCTCAGGCCAGGTCCTGGGAGAGTGCCAGCCTCCTGAGTCTGGCAGGAGGGCGCATGGGGGCAGGTCCAGCCCCTCTGGCATTGTACAAGCTGGAGAGCCCTGCTGGGGGGCCTGGGGGACTCCAAGACCTGCCCACCACAGGCTGCTGACTCAGCACCACTAGATCTGAGTCAGCAAAAATCACTGTGCTGGGCCACACAGTGCCTTTGTACAGAATTGCAAAAAGATGCCCGTTCCAGGTGGACATAGGTGGCAAGGCTTGGCCAGGACGGCTGAGGCAGCCTCTGTAAAAGGCACTGTTTCCTCTAGACAGGCACAGCCCAAGGAAAGAGTACGGCTGGATTTCAGCCCCTTCTGCCCTTGGACCAAGTGCCTTGCTTAGGACACAACCTGAACAACCAGATGCAGTAGCTCTGGAAGAGCAGGGTCGATGCCTCTTTGGCTCCTGCTGCCTGACAGTGAGCCCCACTCAGCAGCCAAGCTAAGAGCTGGCTCTGCCTCCCTGGCTCCCAGGACAGCAGCAGCACACAGTAGGCCCACAGCAGTCAGTGTGTGTGCCATGGATGGACTATCAGTGACAACGGGGAATGGCTACTCTAGGCTCCTGTCTGCAGCCTCCCCTTGTGTGTGTCAGGCTGGGGGTGGGGTATTGATCTGGGGTCTGGTCCTGTGTCCAGCAAATACCAGGGACCCAGCCCCGGGGCTGGGCATGGGGAAGCAGCAGCAGCTGGGAGCCCAGCTCCCCCGACCCCTGCCCTCAGCCCTGCACCTGCTGCCCGATGCTAAATTACTCTCGGCCACTCAGACAGAGCCATGGCTGGAGGGCCCCAGGGAGCAATGGGCTGAGATTCTGTAGCAGATGAGGGAGGTGATGTGTGTTGGGAGGGAAAGGAGAGGAGAAAAGATGGACTGGGAGGATGGGGGAGGGGGGTCAGCTCCAGGCAGCAAAGCTGACCTCCATTCCCACCTAGGCCTCCACGGCAGGCAGCGCATGGAGAGGGGAGGGCTCTGGAGTGTGACGTGCCAGCCTGTATTCGATTCGTTCATTTTAAAAAGGGTCAAACCAAGTAAAAGATACTGGTCCAAGCAGCAGGGATGCAAATTCTTCCAGATAAACAAATGTGGACATTTAGGGAATGGAAGACGCCCAGCTCAGCCCACCTCCAGAAGGCCCAGACAAAACAACCCTCAAATCCAAGGGAAAGGCTGTTCCAGAAAAGACAGACCAGTGGAAAGGACCAGAGATGCTGGTTGGGAGAGACCTGAGAGAAGATTCAGCAGCCGCAGGCATTGAGCTCCTGTTACTTTCAGGATTAAAGCTGAGAAGGAAACCTCTGGACAGGCTCGTTACAACCCCTGCAGACCTCTGCTGACCTGCCCTGTGCACAGGCCTGAAACAGCAGCCTTGCTTCCCTCTGACCCCTGCTGTCTTCCTCCTGAGCTCTTCAGCTGTGAGCGTGTCTCCCTCTGAGCGCCCGCCCCTACCTCTCCTTCCCACCTGCACCTTAAGTGATTTGTTTTCATTCTGTTTTTTAAAAATGACAAGCATGGAGATAAAGCAGTGGCGGCACTTCCATAGCTCTAAGCATGTCGCAGGGCCCTCCTTGAGCGCTTCACAGATGCTAACCCACTCACACCTTACCACGGCCCTTGGAGGCAGGCAACCCCATTTTACAGATGAAATCACCGAGGCGGGGAGAGGTGGGGTAAGGGGAAGAGCTGGGGTCCAAAGCCAGGCGGGGGTGTGTGCTTGGCTCCTGGGTCACCTGCCTCCAGCGTTACAGGGGAAAGGACGAGGGGTGGTCACACACCTGGGCTGTGAATGCCACCGCCGGGCACTGGCCACGTGATACCTTTCAAGGCTCCATGAGATAAGATGATGTCACAGGGCTGTAATTTCCATTTTCCCAGGAGAAAGCCAAGCCTGAAGGGGTCTGGGCAGAGGGCCCACAGCTGCCGCGTGGTGGATGGGGATAGGAACGCAGGACCATATCAGCCTTCCTGGCTGAGCCCAAAGGCCACTTCTCAGCGCCTCACCAGCCTCCAAACTGCCCAGTGCTCTATCAGTCATCCCCGGCAGCCAGATCCCAGCCTCCCAGCTGAGGTCACTCCTGCTTGTGAGCACCTGCAGATGGAAACGCAGCTGGCCCCTCCGGTGGAGTCAGGAAGCAAACGCCTGCTTGCTAACTCCCACCTCCCCCACTCAGAAGCATCATTGTCAGTGCAGGGCCCTGTCTGTGATGCTAAATGGAATCCACACATCACAGGCGGGTGCTGGCAGGGTTGGGGGCCCCAGGCACCCCCAAGCTCTGCAAGTAGATTCAAAAACTGCTACAACTTCAAAGAGGGCGAGGAGTGGAGTTTGGCCAAGGCCAACAAAATGACAAATGTTAACCTCCTCTGACCCAGGATTTCCTCTTAGCAATTTACCCTCAGATACACAGTCACGCATATAACCACGGGGATAGGTTGTGAGAAGTGTGTGGTTAGGTGATTTCCTCATTGTGGGAACATCAGAAAGGGTCACACAGCAGGATCACAAAAAAGGCAATGTCTTCCTTCTGGAACCTTCCACTCCAGGATTACAGAAAGCCAGGTATCTCTACCACCATTTCCTACCCCAACCCTACCTGGGCTTTTGCTCATGATTTCTCCTAGCTTGGAGGCCTCCTCACCCAGGCTGATCCCTGCTCATCTCCAAGGCTCAACTCAGAGGGCACTTCCTCCAGGAAGCCCTCCCTGACTGCTCATTGGTCAGCCGCCCACTCCACGGCCCCTGGGCCTTGTGTTGTCCCTGTTCATGTCAGTCAGAGCAAACTCTGGAGGACAGGAACCTGGAGTGAGACTCCTGTGACCACACCCCAGCCCTTCACCTGTCCTGACAAGTGCTCGGAGAAGCATCTGCTGAGCAGAACTCCTTTGCAGCTCAAGCAGAAGGCCTCCCGGGAGCACAGGAAAACAAGCCAGGCAGCAGGGAGGGACGTTGCACTAAAGCTTCTGCTGCTTGGCCTCAGGCCAAGCCAACCCTCTCCTCTGATTTGCCTAAACGCCGAGGTGGGGCTCCTTTGTGCAGTGGCGGAGGGGTGCATTTACCTCGCAGGGTTTAGGGCTCCGCCTCCAGGGAAGTCCGCCATTGTTGTTTGCTGACAGTCCGTGTGACAAATTGTTTTCTGCTGCAGAGCCAGGCTGGACCGTCTGGCTGGTCTCCAGAGGCCTCAGGGTCACTCGTAGTCATTCCCTGCCTGTGGGGCAGCCTGAGACCAGCTCCTGTGTGCCAAGTTCCTGCCTGAACCTACTGGGTTGCCAGAGCAGGTCCTGCCCCTGGAGCATCTGATGGGTGGCAAGGAGCCACCATGTGCCCTTCCAAATGCTGGGGTCTACAGACCAGGCGAGGGGAGTCCGCCATCCTGTACTGTGCCCCAGGGAGCCACGGCACAAAGCTTGAGCCGACCCAAAGTGCTAGACCCAGACGGCAATTCATGGCCCGGGAGAATAAGTGGCTCTGCCTTGGAAACATGATTTATTAGGGAATCGTTGGGTTACGCTGCAAAGGTCGTCTTGGCTTGCTTTAATGGATTTCCTGGGTTGCCTTTCTGCCCAGGCCCAGCACGTGAGCGCGGCAGAGGGGAGCATGAAGTCACAAGACGACGGACGTCTGAGCTCCTGGGACTCCTGGAGACCAGATGTGGTGGCACCACGCTGCATCTCGCTGGCTCAGCAAGGGCTCAGCTGGCTGTCCTCGGCTGCACCGGGTTTCTGTCCTCTCTCTGTCATGTTCCTGATGCTCAAAGCTAATGACATTGTCCCAAAATACAGAGGGAGGCAGAAGGCGGATCACCAAACCAGTGCTGCAGGTCACTTCCTGCTTGGAAATTATAGGGAAGCCCTGGGGTGGTTGAACCAACAAAGGGATCACCGCAGTGGTTTCCAATCTGGGGATTCTTGAGGGGTGGTAACGGGGCCACAGGGTCTCCAGGGGGGTCCCTGAAAACCTAGGTGGACAGCATCATCTTCACTTCTTCCCCAGCAGCATCCAGCCAGACACTCGCACAGCAGTCACTAAATGCATATTGAATAAATAAATAAATAGACAGATCTGTGGGTAAATCAATCCAGGAATACATGGATGAATGTGCTAACCCATCAGAAAACCCCATAAACGAATTTAAAGGGTGGAACTCAATGTGCTGAGGCTGCCTTTCTTACGTCTCAATGGCTCCCCAATTTTCCTCGAAATAAAACCCACTAGTTTCTATAATTGTACAACATAAGTCACATGAGATGTTAACATCAAGGGAAGCCCGGGGAAGAGTCTACGGGAACTCTGTGTAATTTTCATTTCAAACAAAAAGCTAAACTACGTTAAAATAAATCTATACACTTTGACACTTCCTGGGGAGCCGTCAGTTCCTTGTCCTTGTCCTTGTTTGTCCTTCCATGAAGGGACAGTCACTTCCAGGAGAGGACAGAATTGGACAGGTAGCGGCTTTGGCCTTTCCCTTAAGCCCCTCCTCAGCCCCTTCCCAAAGAGAGAGGTGACATCTCTGGTGGGTGAGCCTGGGTCAGGGTCTGGTGTGTGTCGTCCAAGCCCCCTAGACTCTCTTTTTGGGGGGCTGCCCTCAGGATAGAAGTGCTCTTCTCCTGGGTCGCCCACCTGATTCGGGGCACGAGTCTCTGTTCTCGGTGGAAGGAAGGGGTGCTGGATGGGAACGATGCAGTGACTGCTTGCAGCTGGCTTGACAAGAGCATGCTTTGCCCACTTCCCCTCCAGGGGCACATCCACAGTTCAGTTTTATGCCTCAGGGCCTTTGCACATGCGTTCCCTCGTACAGCAGCACCCTTCCCACCTCACCCACCGGACACTGCCCAGCCATTCCTTTGTGGCTGACTTCCAGTTGTCCCAAGCCAAGTAGAACGGACCCTTACCTTCATCCCGTTGCTCAGGGCACATGTGACACTTGCGTGCGTGCTGATTTACTCACAGGAGTATCTCTCCCATTGTCCTGTGAGGTCCCCGGCGCCAGGATCAACATTGACTTGTCTCTTCTCCTTCATGCCACATTGCCTGGCATCCAGTGGATATCAACAGACGTTTTTGGAGTGGATGGACTGATTAGAAAGTTCTGGTTAGTTTTAATGTTTTTAAATGTAAAATATATGGTGACTTAGGCGTTTCACTTAGTAGACAAAAAATCTTTTAAAACATGGGAAGGACCCCGGGGGCAGAGAAAAAACAAAACAAAACAATTCTCCATGGCTGATCTTGTTGGGAGCTATGAGATCCGTCCTGGACTCTCGACCTCAGCACTGGCGACCCTCGGGCTGTAATTCTTTGCTGTAGGAGGCTGGCCTGGGTATTGTAGGACATTTCATAGCATCCCTGGCCTCTACCCACCAGATGCCAGTAGCAGTGTCCCAGCTGTGACAACCAAAAATGTCTCCAGACATGGCCAGATTTTCCCTGGGGGGCTAAAACTGTGCCCAGTTGAGAACCTCTGGACCAATCATTCAATAGGTTTTGGTACAGTAAATATTTCCTATGCTGCCTTGACATTGCCAAAGCCAAACTCCTCAGAATTTGCCAGGCACAGGCCAGCGTTTCTCTCAAGCTCTGACAATGAACACAAAATCCCAAAGCCGAAGGCAAAACCACTTGCCACTAAATGAGGGCTCTGATTGCTACCAATTTCTTAAAGCACTCTCTGAAGGTTCTGCTTCAAATATTTATGGAGTCTATGAAATGGCTCCGGAGAATGAGTGGCCCTATTACATTTCTAACTCCAGCGGTGATTTATGGACCTGGGAATTGCTGCAAATGCTTTGTCTAAGCTCTTGGTGAAAAGCCAGGATCCTTGCTGGGCTCAGGAGCTCAGAGGGTGCTGGGACGTTATCGACTTGGAGGGCAGGACAGGGCATTCCGCCTTTTTCTTGCAGACGTTGTGCGGGGAGACCTGGTTCCACAGTGACCGCTGCCAGGCACGTTCCAGGATCAAGCGTGGACACCAAGGACAGAGGGAGCTGCAGGCAAGAGGACAATGAAATGGTCTCTGCGTCCACATGTTTGTAAAAGCCCCTCCATTCACACATTTAATCAAAGGAAGAGATGACAGTGATAGCTAACGGTTTCGGGGCACTTTCTGTGCCTGGCACCAAATACTCCTCACACATTGGCTCACTTCCTTTGGTGACAGTTCAGTGAGACACATGCTGTCATCACTGCGTTCTGGGTCAGAAAATGAGATTGGGGCAGCGTGAGGCTCCCTCTCCACGTCATGTGGCAGGTGCCTGACAATACAGTCATGAGCGGGCGTTCCTGTAGAGTGGATATCCTCTATAAATTTTCTCCTTCCCGGTGATAAGAGAAAGTGACCTTCCCTTGAAAGGGGAAGTCATGTCTTGCTGGTTGCAAACCTCATGCCCAGCACATCTCAGGGCTTTCCCCAAATGTGCCATCTTACTTGCCTTCACTTAGTTCCTGCAACAAGCTATCATCAGGCCCACTTTATAGATGAAAACCCACTTAACAGTTTAAGAGATTCTAAATGCCTTCATTAAATGTATTAGCTCTGAAGTGGCTTCGACTTCAAAGCCAAGCCCATCTGATTTCAAACCTCCACTCTTTCTACGTCTCCTTTCCAGTCACTATTGTACCTGTGATCCCTTCACGACCAACATCTCACACCTCTCAGGCACCTTCCCGCAAATGACAGGCAGGACTGCCTCACCAGGTAACATGTGAGTCCTGCTAATGCCTCTTCTCCCTCCTCTAAAGGGTGTGGCAGGTGTGTCAGTGCCTTGCCAGACAGATGAGCAGAATGGAGCCGACTTCTCCACCAGTTCCAGGAGGCAAGAGCAGCCGCAGGTTTGCAATGAGCAGGGCCTTTTGCCTCACTGGTGGAAGACGGCTGAAAAAGAGGCTGGACAGCAGAGGCAGGGAATCGGCGATCACTATGTGCCAAGCCTGACCTTGTCCCTGCCCTCAGAGCACTTCCAATCCAGTGGGAGAGGCAGACACATAAACTCAATATTATGCTGCAGGGTTCAAGCCCGAAGAGAGACCCACACAGGTGCTGATGAAGCCTCCAGGACGGAAGTACTGACTGCACACTGAGGAGCTGGGAAGGCCTCATGGAGGCAGTGTCTGAGCTCGGCTTTTGGGGAGGAGCAGGGTTCTGTTATGTGTTTAAAACGCAAGGTCATTCTGGGCTGACTAATGTGCGCATCAGGAGTCTGGACTCCATCTTATAATAATAATAATGATAGTCGGCCTGGCTCATGCCTGTAATCCCAGCACTTTGGGAGGCTGAGGTGGGTGGCTCACCTGAGGTCAGGAGTTCGAGACCAGCCTGGCCAACATGGTAAAACCCTGTTTATACTAAAGCCGCTACCTGTCCAATTCTGTCCCCTCCTGGAAGTGGCTGTCTCTTCATGGAAGGACAAACAAGGACAAGGACAAGGAACTGAGGGCTCCCCAGGAAGTGTCACAATGCATAGATTTATTTTAACGTAGTTTAGCTTTTTGTTTTGAAATGAATGTCTCTACTAAAAATACAAAAATTAGCTAGGTGTGGTGGTGCACACCTGTAATCTCAGCTACTCAAAAGGCTGAGGCGGGAGAATCGCTCAAACCTGGGAGGCAGAGGTTGCAGTGAGCCGAGATCGTGCCTCTGCACGCCAGCCTGGGCAACAGAGGGAGACTCCATCTCAAAAACAACAACTATAATAATAATGATAAGGATAGTTTAAGCCATATGAAATTACTGTTTCTGAGGGAAAGAGTAGTATAATATTGGCAGTTTCCTAGGATTCAGTCTACAACAGTGAACATTTACTGAGCTCTTGCAATATGTCGTTCCAAGCACTTTCCACATATTGATTCATTGCATCTTTACAAAATCCAAGGAGATAAGTGCTATTATTATCATCCCATCATACAGATGAAGCAACAGAAGCCCAGAGAGGTGAAGTGCTGTGCCCAAGGCCACACAGCTAATAGGAGCCTGCTGCAAGATTTGAACCCAGGCCATACGGCTCTCAAGCCTGCCTGATTCCCCACCACAGTGACAGCTGAACCCAGGGATGTAGTGTTGGATCTTCAGTGGCCGAGTGATAGGATGAGGCTAATGATATAGAGGGCGAAACATCTCCTCATTCACTAAAGATTTGTCAGCCTTTTCAGGACATGTCTGTATACTCTAAAGCTCTCTTCTCCTTTTTTTTTGCTAAGCTCAACCGTACAGTAATAGATTTGTGTGACGTGACAAATTTAGTTACTGCCCTTCAAAACTCCATGACCTCATTTTCCTTGTAGGTCACTAATCCCCTGGTGTCATTATTTAACAAGTTTGTTTTCAGCATGGGAAGCTCTTCCCCAAAACCAGCCCAGATACATGGCTTGCTGTCTGTTTTTGCCCAGGGCAAGGAGCTCTGTTCCCAAATGCTCATGACGACTGGACAGAACCAAGACTGCAGCGAAAATGCAGTGCTGGGAACCAGGAGCAGGTGCCGTGTACCTTCCAGAGAAACAGCCTGATGGCCCCTGTCTCTGGCTAACTATTCACCCAACAAGTGCTTCTGAAGGCCTCCCATGGGCCAGGTACTGTGCAAAACATGGGAAAAACATTTAAATTGACATTCTGCCATCTTGCTGCAAAGAAACTGAAGTCCCCTATGGACTTGAAATGATTTCCAACAGAGGAAAGGTTTCCAGTCCAGTGACCTTCTGTGTTTTTAGTGATAACTTTGAAGAAAGCTGAAGAACACCTGACCAACTTGGAACCATAAGGGTATTAAGATGCATTTTTGGTTTATCCATTCATGCAACATATTACTCCAACTATTTCCTCAAAAGCTTTGCTACAGGTTTCTGGCCAGTGTCACTGACAGCAGACATTAGAGGGTTTGTTCTCACACTGAGCTCCAGATTGGAACTTTGAGGGAGGGAAGAGGGACTGCTCCTCTCCTCTCAACCCCGCCCCCATCCAGGCCACGCACCATCTGGCCACATAATGATCAGAGGGCCAGCTCCGGAGCCAGGTGCCCCTGGTTGGAAGCCCAGCTCTGCCGCTTATGAGCTGGGTGACCTTTGCCCCCTCTGTGCCTCATCTTTTCTCACAGGTTAAGTGGAGCTGATGCTGATATCTATTTGGTGGGCCCTTTGTGGGACTGGATGAGCCAATGCCGGCGCAGTAAGATTTGGGTGTGTTTTCTGTTTCGCTGCTGTTGCTATCACTGTCGTCATTATCCTCTTCTAGTCTCCGCTCTACCTCCTCATACTTTATGCTCCAGCGATGTTGCTTACCATTCCTCCAAATGCCTCATGGACACTCATCCTCCCATCTTTTTACAAGTACTCCCTTCGCCTAAAATATTTTCTTCTTTTTTTTCTTTTCTTTTTTTTTTTTTTTTTTTGAGATGGAGTCTCGCTCTGTTGCCCTGGCTGGAGTGCAGAGACACGATCTTGGCTCACTACAACCTCCGCCTCCCAGGTTCAAGCAATTCTGCCTCAGCCTCCCGAGTAGCTGAGACTACAGGCATGTACCACCATACCCAGCTAATTTTTATATTTTTAGTAGAGATGGGGTTTCACCATGTTGGCCAGCTAGTCTCAAACTCCTGACCTCAAGTGATCTGCCCTCAGCCCCTCGAAGTGCTGGGATTACAGGTGTGAGCCACTGCGCCCAGCCTGCCTAGAATATCTTCTACCTGCTGCTGATAAGGTAGATTAAAATAAAAAATCAGAGGTAATTATCCTAGGAATGATCAAAGCTTTGTTTTTATTACTAGATAAGAAGTCATTTAAAATGAAGTTTACCCATCAGAAAAAAAAGTTTAAGGTCAATAACAATAGCTATCTTTTTTTTAATACCTCCTCTATTTTTGATTCCAGGCACTATAATAAATACTTCATATGCATGATTTCATTGAATTGTCCCAACAAGCCTGAGAGGTAGATATTATTGTCTCTTTTATCTTTTAGATAAAATAAATTAATGTAATTATTGAGACAGGAAAGAATCCATGGGGATAAAAGAAGGGAGAAAAATTACAATCAGCTGAAATAAAATGAGTAAGAGCAGTTTTCCTTCTGAGCAATGGCTGCTTTCTCTTTTTTACTGTGAGCACCTCTGATGTGCCAGGCACACACTCAGCTCTGCCTGCCTGATTTCTCCTCCTAACAGTAGGAGGCAGGCAGCCGCATTTCACAGCTGACAGTTACGTGCAGGCAGATGAAGTACTTGCCCAACATCACAGGGAACTAAAATGGGGTAGGGCTGGGACTTGAACTCAGATCTGCCAGACCCCAAAGCTCATAAGTAAGTTTTCTCTGGGAAGACAGAGGGGAGTGCTGCTCTGGCAATGACTGATTAGGGTCTTTAGGACCAAACCTGCAGTATGTGCAACTAGAAAAGCTAGGGGGAAACGTTAACAGAACATTTGTCTGAAGCCATCTGAGAGCTACAAAGGCTGTGAGGACTTGTGGGACCAAAACTGAATACAGAAGAGAAGCCAAGAAAAGCGAGCAGGGCAATTGAGGACCTATTTTCCCTCGAGGTGAAGGCAGGGTCTGTGCAGGAAGGAGCCAGCTGAGAGGGTGAAAAGCTAAGGAGAGCTCTGAGCAGCCTCTTGGGGCCGACAGGGGAAAGGGCTCTCAAATACTCAACAGGCTTTTATGCCCTAGGAGTGAGTGTGAACCAGAAATGCAGCAGACCTCCTGAGCACTGGAACTCCTTGTCGACTCAGCCTTGATGTGAGGAAGATGACCTGCCCTGAGCAGAACAAAGGAAGTCCTCTGTGGATGGAGATACTGTCAGGCCTCAAATTGTGTCATCAAGGTTTTCATACATGATGTCCAGCATCCACTAAAAGTCACCAGACCAGCTGGGTATGGTGGCTCATGCCTGTAATCCCAGCACTTTGGGAGGTCGAGGTGGGTGGATCATGAGGTCAGGAGTTCGAGACCAGCCTGGCCAACAGAGTGAAACCCCATCTCTACTAAAAATACAAAAATTAGCCGGGCATGGTGGTGGGCGCCTGTAATCCCAGATACTTGGGAGGCTGAGGCAGGAGAATCGCTTGAAACCAGGAGGCAGAGGTTGCAGTGAGCCGAGATCGCGCCACTGCACTCCAGCCTGGGTAACAGAGCAAGACTCTGTCTCAAAAAAAAAAAAAAAAAAAAAAATGTCACCAGACCTAGGACACATGATTTGACCAGAAACAAACATTAAAATTAGATCATAGAAGGAGACTGAGGGTGAAACCAGGGGGCTGTTCGGGAGTCGATTGTGTTCTATTTCTTGACCTGGTGGTGGCTTTCTGGGTGTATATCGCTTGGATAATTTGCTAAGCTGTAAATGTGTTGTACTTTCAATAACAAAGTTCATTTAGGAAATGAGGTGACAGGTGCCTTCTCACCTTCAGAGAATCCAGTTGGGCTGTCTGTGCTGGCCACTCCGGCTCGGGAATAGGCCAGGACTCTGAAGACAATGAGCTTTGGAGGACACTGTCCATTTCAGGATTCAAGAGGTATGTCTGAGCTGGAAGGGAAAATTCTCAGTCAAGCCTCCACCCAGGAACCTAGGTGAAAAGTCTACAAGTGTCTGAGCCTTGTCATAACCTTCTTCACTCTCTAGCCATTCCCAGATCATTCCCAGTTTCCATGCCCCGGGGCAGAGGTCCTCTCAGATGCCTTTGAGCTCTCCAAGGACCTCACCCATACGCCTCTGATGGTGCTGTCATGATCTTGGGGCATCCCAGAAAACTGCCTGCCTGCCTGCCTCACCTTCCCCTACCTGGCTGCAAGCTCATTCCATGCAGGGACCACTGCCTTTGCAAGCCGGCTTAGCTTCGTAAGTGCAGCAACACCTATGTGGGATCTGGCATGTGGCGGCCCTCCAGAAATGTCCAACAAAAAAATAACTCAATCGGTCTAGCGCGTTTCCTTCTTTGAAACGGGATGAAGCTGAGCAAGAGAGGGAAGAAGACTTGCCTGGGGCCACAGAGAGAAAATTAGTGACAGAAGCAGACCAGCTAGGATCTGTGCCTCTCCAACTGTGAGAACAGGCACCAAGTCAGGCTGTAGGTACAGAAGGCCAAGGCAGAGAAGGACAGGCCCATCCTGAGGCGTCAAAGACTGAGAACACGTTTCTCTGCTCATGTACTGACATCCTGCTATGTGCCAGGGTCCAGACACTCCAGAGGAAGGTCATATTATCCTCCTCTTAAAAGAGTGTATGGCTCAGAGAGGTTAATGAACTCATCTAAGACCACACAGCTGGCAAGAAGAGAATCTAGTAATAAGAACCACTAGATGAACAGATCTCAATAGCAGCTTGGTCTTAAAGGTAACACCATCCAGACGTTCTACACGTTTTATCGTGCACCTGATCCAAACACAACACTAAACAGATCCTTGGGAGCCCCATCCCGCCCCCACGCTGAGGGTAGTAAGCTGCGCTTAAACAAGGCCCAATCAAATACCACCTGTTCCCCCAAAACTATTGAAATAAAAAAGAGTAAAACAAGGTCCAGGAAAATTCTGTCTGGTCAGATAGGGGCTTCATTTTCTTTTTAATAATAAAAGTAGGCCGGGTGCAGTGGCTCATGCCTGTAATCCCAGCACTTTGGGAGGGCAAGGCAGGTGGATCACATGAGGTCAGGAGTTCAAGACCAGACTGGCCAACATGGAGAAACCCTGTCTCTACAAAAATACAAAAATTAGCCAGGCATGATAGTGGGCGCCTGCAATCTCAGCTACTCGGGAGGCTGAGGCAAGAGAATTGCTTGCACTGAGGAGACGGAGGTTGCAGTGAGCCGAGATCACACCTTTGCACTCCAGCGTGGGCGACAGAGGGAGACTCCCTCTCAAAAATAAATAAATAAATAATAAAAATAGCAGAATTAAAAAAAAAAAGCACTCATGTTACCAACTCTCTGAGTAACCACGGCAAATGTTTTAGGTGCTGTCCTAGCCTAAGTTGCAGATCAGATCCAGATGTGCACATCGAATTATACAGTTATAATTATATGAAACATTCCATATCTTAAGAGGTTTTTTTTTTTTTCGGAGTCTTGCTTTTTCACTAGGCTGGAGTACAGTGGTGTTATCTCGGTTCACTGCAACCTCCGTCTCCCAGGTTCCAGCCATTCTCCTGCCTCAGCCTCCCGAGTAGCTGGGACTACAAGCATGCGCCACCATACCCAGCTAATTTTTGTATTTTTAGTAGAGATGGGGTTTCACCATGTTGGCCAGGATGGTCTCCATCTCTTGACCTCGTGATCCGCCTGCCTCGGCCCCCCAAAGTGCTGGGATTACAGGCGTGAGCCACTGCGCCTGGCCCATATCCTAACAGTTTCAAACTTAGTAGAACATGGTAATTCCCATGCTGTTGCATGGTGTTTCTCAGAACCATTTTAATGACCATGTTGTATTTCACTGATTATATGGGTTCATTAACAATACTGAGGGTTCCTCCCAGTTTTTGGCTATTATAGATGCACTGGCAGGAACATGCCTGTCCACAGAATCCTTCCACATACAGAATTATCTACTTAGGATGAGTTTCCAGGAGTGAAACTCTGGCACTGAGGAATTTGAACGTTTCTGTTTTTCCAGTGTGTTCTCTCATTGTGAAATAGGAAGGCAATGCCACATAGGAAAGCGGGAGGGAGAGGTGGGTCCTGTTCCTTTTAGTAGCATGAATGCGACAGTGGGCATCTCCCCTCTGGCCCACCTCTCACAGCGTCCTGCCGGCCTGGACTTTTTCTGAGCACACAGGCTTTTCCTGATCAAAAATCACACTGACCTCTTAAAGCTGCCGTCATCTCAGACTTGACGTCCAGGTGGTGGCTTGTCTGCAAGAAAAGACATCTTGGCGGTTATTCTGCATGGCACTGGAGAGACAGCCTTGCACAGAAGACTGCAATTGGACCAAGCAGGGCCATCACCCCTCCCCGCAAAAAACCGCTTTCTGTGTAGGACCAACCCTGCCTGTGTGCATGAAGACCTCCCTCCTCTTCTCTCCAGGATGCTCAAAGGAAAACGGAATTGGTTTTGCTCTTAGGAAACATGGGCACAAAAAAACGATTCCATTTCCTTTTCTCAAATTAAATCTCCAAATGGAGACAGTAATAAAAGTGCTTTAGAAACTGCTATTAAAAAACATTTTAATGAGGACATCCAGTGCTCTGATGTCTCCCCTGGGGCCCCTGATTCAATCACCCAGGAATTCAGGTCAGGCTTGAATCTGAGTGCACCACCTGCACCACCGCACAGACCAGTGTCCTCCTGGTTCCGCATTGCACGGGGCAGGTGAGAAGTGAGATGGCAATGATCACTCAACTGGTTGGCCGACGGCCCCCAAGTGGTTGAGCAAGAGCAACTGCTGGATCTTCGAGGCAGGTTAGAGTTGTTTCCAGACTGGCAGCCTGGATCTCACTTCCTCTTGGGTGTTTCTGATGGGGCAGGGTCCTGTGTGCAGTGCTGCTGTGATAACTCTTTCCTGTCTCCACTTCCAACATCCTGGTCATGCTCTTCCTCCAGGTATAGGAGGCCATCTCCCTGTCTGAAAGGGCTCTGCTCTCTCTCTGTCTCTGGTGAACTTCTACGTAGATGTCAAGGCCCAATTCAAATGTTGCCTCCTCTGTGAAGTCTTCCCTGACTCCACCTGGCAGAGTTCAGCCACTTGCCTCTCGCACAGCGCCTTCTCTGCTGCAGTGACACCTGGGGTCTATGAGGGTCCCCTCTAACCTGGATTGACTGGTGGAGGGCTTAATACTCTGCGGCATGGGTTATGGCTCAGCCGTCTTCTGGTAGTGACCGGATCACACCAGCACTCCTGGGAGGCTTCGGTACCAGGCACAATGCCTGCTCCTGAACGGTGCTCTTAGAGCACTTTGCTGTCACCCTTTCGACACTGTTGTGTCTTCAAGTACCCTGGACTCTCCCACCCCGGTGCCTGTGTCCACTCAGGTCCCGCAGCCTTGAGACCTTCACTCTATCCTTCCAGCTGTTAAATCCTGCTTTCTGTCCTTCAAGGCCTGGTCTGAGTGCTTCCTACTCCAGAAAGCATATCCTCCAATCCGTCACTCTCTCCTCTCTGCTTATTTCCAGTGCTTTGAATGAATGCCCTTTATTGCCCCTGGGTTTAGAGTCAGGTGTCTCCTCATTAGACAGAGGCTCCTTCAACGCGAGACTGGGGTTTTGTTCGCCTTCGTAGAGGATACACCGACAGAGTAGCCTCAAGCGCACTCAACTGACTTCTGGGTGGCCCTGCATTCGGTATGTGGTTGGGGTGCAAGGACCCTTGTCTGCTTCCAGCTCCTCCACTACCACATTGGTCTGGAGTGGCTGCAGAGCCAGGCTTTCTCAAGTTGAGTCCTGCCTCTGCCACTCACTGATTCCATGATCCTGGCCAAGTCCGTTGAATTCTCTGAGCCTCACCCTCTCCATCTGCGGAACAGAAATACGGTACCAATATGTTCTTTGTAGGGATCCACCAGAATGAGATGAGAAGGAACGTCCACTAAATGCCAGTGATACCGAGTAGGGGACAGATGAAGACTTGTGCTACACTCTCCCGAGCCCTGCCTCTCTCCCCACGAAAACTTTTAGGGGAATATTCTAAGTTTCATAAAAGGCAGGAGTTAAAGAGAAAATAATTGCCTGGATCCTTGGAGGCCCAGGCTTAGGGATTGCTGATTTAATGAACTGGGGGAGTTCAGGGCTTTGAGGGATAATTCTTCAATCGTCTGAGTATGACCGCTCCTTTTTTAGACCAGATTCCATTTCCAAAAGCCCGCAACTAGATCTCATTGACAAATACCCAGAGGAAAGCAGGAGGTGGCAGGAGGAGGAAACAGCAGGGCGAGAGGAGGTAAAATGAGCATCTTCCTTACTAGGTCACCTACCTCTTTGCCCCGACTGGATGACTCTCCCCTGCTAGTATGCCCAAGGCCCCTGGCTGCTCCCAGGGGAGCAAAACTGATGTTTTGCTTGAAGGTGCCCCAAAAGCTGTTGGGTGCCTGTGTGTGACAGGTGCTGTGCCAGGCATTTGACATGGGGTCTTTAGTCTAATTCAAACCTCACAAAGCCCCATAGGGTACAGCAGCCCCCACCTGGCCTAAGATAACAGGTGGCTTAGGTACGTGAAGGGCAAGTGCCAAGTTCATGACATGGGTCATTATTTAGAATCAGGATGTCATCATCTGCAGGTGAATCTCCCAGGGAGAGGACAGGAAACTACCCAGCTAGGAGCACAGGAAGCTCAGGAGTTCTCTGTTCTCTGACGGGACCTTCCATCTGTGGAGTGGACCCCAGGCCAGACCCTAGGGGTGGGCAGGAGAGCCAGCTGCCATCTTAGCCAGTGCTGTGTCCCAGGTGAGCCCCGGCAACCCTCTTCTCCTCTCCTTTGGTACCCGGGCCTCTGCCTCCAAGGTCTCAGGGACGGGGAAAGGGGACGATGTAACTGAATACAAACAGCAAAGGTGTCTCATTTCATGCTTGTGAATATCAACAGCGTAGGTCCAGGCAAAACACAGGAAAAAAAAAAAAAGGCCCACTGGGGCTAGGGGTCGGGGGGCATAGAGAGGAAGCAAAACAGGCCCAGGAAGGTGCCCTGAGCCCTGCTCACTCAAGGCGTCCAGGGGACAAGGCGGAATTAAGAACTCTAGAGAGGTTTTAGGAATCCGAGAACAGCCTTCCCTGAGGGACCATCTCCAGCTAACATCAGGGAGGCGGCAAGACCCGTGTTCCCAGCAGAAGGAAAAGTGACCTCTGCCATGCCAGGCTGACCTCGTGGGATTTCCCCATCCCCAAAACAGGCACCTGAGCTGGACAGAATCAGCAGAGTAGGAGGAGGGAAGCCAGGGCGGATACAAGGGTGACCCATGGACGCTAGTGACCCGGATGGCACAACAGCAGATGCCAGCACAGACAGCGGTGCTGGGACCCGTGGCCCCCAGCCCAACACCACATGCCTGCAGAAAGGGCACTGGGGCCAAACCGACTCTGAGGCTCAATTTCCACCACGCACCCAAACCAGGACAAGAAAAGAAAATGGAAATACAAAGACTCAGTCACGTGCAGGGAGGGGAGGTGGTCACCGACTGCTGCTTGCATGGGCACCAGGCCACGCCACCTCCTCCTGAAAGGGTAGAGCTTAGTGGCCTCAGCCCAAGGCCCAGCCCCCACCCCCTCAACAGCCCTGGGACATGCTGAGGCTCAGGGTCCCCCGTGGAGCCTAGCAGCAGGATGCTGGGAGGGTGGAGTAAGCAGATCCATGGAGAGCGTGCGAGGGGGAGGGCAGCATGAGTCTTGGCCACCATGACTTGGCTGGATAAATGAAGGCAGCCTGTCCAGTTGGGACCCTAGCCAGCCCACGCCCCCTACCCAAAGGCAGGGGCCAGAGAATGGGAGCGTCTCAGGACACTGTGAGCAACAGGAGCCCAGGGCCCTCCAGGGGTATTCCTGGAAGGTACATCAGCCCTCCACCGCCTGGCTGAAGTTCCCAGGACCTGTCCCTTGCTGCTCTGGCACTTCTCACCTCCAGCCCATCAGAGTCTCCCCAGCCATCCTGGCAGTCCTCCTGGGCTCCTAGCCAGAGCCCAAAGGCCCCCATCGGGAATTCCATCTGTGTCCTCTGAATTGACTGCCCATCAAGCAAGCAGCACTGGACCCGCTTCCTGCCTGGCTACCAGTAGGAGGAGTGGCCAGCGCCACGCCCACCCTGCTGTCCACTAGGAATCAAGATGCAGACACCCTGCCGGGGCACAGGTGCCTGTGGCCTCCCATCAGCCCAGCCTCCCCCGACTCCTCCCCTGGGGACCACACTGCAGCCAGCCTGGAGCTCTCTGAATTTCTGAAACACATCACAATTTTTTTTTTTCACTTTCAAAAGGCCTGGCAGGGACATCCTGGTCCACGGAAGCGTGTCCAGGCCCAGAAGCACATCCTTATAGGAAATGAATGAATCCGTCCGATGACATTATTAAAATAACTTTCCCTGCTCTCGTTCTGGGCTCTCAAGTGACAGATGAAGAAATGACTGAAAAAATTTGATTTTCCAGATAACTCAACTATAGGGAGAGAATACGCTGACAATTTTTCATCCATTCATCAGATACTTCAACCTGTGTAATAGTTCTCTTTCTCATAGGATATTTAAAAATTAATAGTCCAGTGTATACATCATTCTCTGTAAGTTTGGTCATTGTAAGTCAGCCGATCCAACCCCAGTGAACATTTCAATTCTAGTTCCAGGGCCTGTGAGAGTGAGGAGCAGCCCTTGGAAGGTGGGCTGCTGCTATGATGTCCCCACAGCAGCCAGCCAGCCGGCCTTCCAGGGTGACACCTGCTGCATTTGCAATTTGATACTTTCACAACCTGGAACTCTGCTTTCGATTTTTTTTTTTTTTTTTGACACAGTCTTGCTCTGTCACCAGGCTGGAGTGCAGTGGTGTGATCTCGGCTCACTGCAACCTCCACTTCCCGGGTTCAAGAGATTCTCCTGCCTCAGCCTCCTGAGTAGCTGGGACTACAGACACATGCCACCACGCCTAGCTAATTTTTGTATTTTTAGTAGAGACGGGGTTTCACCATGTTGGCCAGCATGGTCTCGATCTCTTGACCTTGTGATCTGTCCGCCCCGGCCTCCCAAAGTGCTGGGATTACAGGCACGAGCCACCGCGCCCGGCCTGCTTTCAATTTTATCTCACTTAACCCCCAGATATCAGGCCCCTAGTGGATCCCAAGGACTATGCAGGCACTTGGACAAAATTCTGCTCTCTTTTCTCACCCTTATTCTAGTTCTGAAGGAGTCTTGTACCCCTTGGGCAAAGAGAAGAGCAACAGACTGGGAGTCTGGGGCTCTGGATTCAAGTTCTGCCTATGAATTGAGTCAAAAAATGGCCCTGAACATGCCTCTTGGCCTCCAAGCCTCCATCTCTGCTGTGCAATGATTTGGACCAGAGGGGACCTCTCAAGGCTGTGAGGAAAAGGAAGGGTCAGAGGAGGTTGGCCTTGCAGAGACCAGGCTGGGCAGAGCTGCAGAGAGAGACTCAGACCTGGTGCCAAGGGGCTGAGAGCAAGCCCCACAGGCAGAGCCTGGAGGGACCATGGAAAACAGCCCCGGCTGTGTTTACCGTGGGAGCTGGTCTCACCCGCGCACATAAGGAGCGGAGCTAGTCTGGCGGGGGCGTTGCTGGCTTGTCCCCAGGAACGGGGCTGCATGTATATGTGTGGGCAGGCACGGCTGGGCACCCGTGGGTGCTGACTGTAGTCAGGAGAGCTGGCATTTGTCCCTGTGTGCACTGCCTGTGTGACCCGGAGCACATCTCCTAACCTCTCTGGCCTCAGCTTCCTCTTCTGTTGACCACTGGGAGAGGAGATTCTCATTCATTTGGTTCATTATTTCATTCATTCAACCAACATTCTTCCAGGTTTGTGGCAGATTCTCAGAGCCAGGCACTGGGAAGACAAAGATGGCTATGGAGCGGCTCTGGGCCCATCGGAGATGGGCCCACAAACTCCTGCAACAGCCAGGAGAGCTCCCTGCTCATGCCCCGTCACGCGGGGCCACGTGCAATGGAGCACAGAGGAAGCTGTGGCTAACTCTCTGGTCTGCGGGGCTCAGAGCAGGCTGCCTGGGCAAGGTCACACCTCTACCTTGAAGGATGGACAGGAGGTCATGGGGTGACCAAAGCAGCCTGCTAGAGGAAGTGGCCAGTGCACAGGTCCCGGCACAAAAGACCCATCCTGTGACACACACCCAATGAAGCTTGTATGACGCTGAATTACAATCACTGTTTACGTCTGTGCCTTGCACCATTTCCTGAGCACCATAAAGGGTAAGGATTGCCAGATGCATCTTCCCATGCCCACCCAGGGCATGGGCATGGGCACAGAGGAAAAGCCAGGGGGTGTCTTCTTGGGTAGTGTCCGCGGTGGGAGGGAGGGAGGAAAGGAGGGGCTGCTCCAGTCAGGCAGGGGCATGCAAGGGACGCGCCCACACTCCCATAGGAAGCACAGACAGGGCCATCTCTGGGACTCTACCTCTGGGACTCCCGGAGCCAGGAAGGTGGCCGTGTACTCAGCCAGTGCCACGTCGTTGAGCATGTTCTGCGCCAGCTCGGAGAGCAGGAGGTTCCCCAGCCCATGTCTGTGCAGCTCCTGCAGCAGGTGGGTGATCAGGCGGTTCCTCTCCCGGCACTTCCGGACGAGGGAAGCTATCTTGGCCTGAAAGGGAGGGAGGCCATGGATGCAGAGCTCCCACCAGGGCTGCATGGCTGAGCTGGAGGGCTGGGGGCCGGAGGGTCAGCTGAGGCCCCTACTCACCATCCCCAGCCCTGCCTCAGCTCAGCGGAGCAGCCTCCTCCCTGCGAAGCCTCCCTGCCCCCAGAAGCCAGGCTGCTTTCGGAGCAGACGGCCACACACCCCCAGGGGCTCCGCACTGCCCTTTCCATGGGGTCTAGGCTCAAGGCAGCAGGGGTCAAGAGCGTGGATTTGGGCCCCACCACGGACCAGCTCTGTGAGCAAGCTCCCCTCTGCACCTCGACTTGCCCATCTGTACAATGGGCTTTGTCATGGACACCAGGATAAAAGGAGACGGCGCAGGCAGGCACCTACCGAGTGTCATGTTTCTATCCTTATCTCACATTTCGATAGCACTTTATAAGGGATTATGGCCTCCATTTAAAGAAATGCTCCACAGCAAATGATGGTGATGAGAGCGGTGGGGAGGGAAGCCTCACACTGCCGGAGCCTCACCGTCCGCTCTGCACCTTTCCAGCTACCACGTCTGCAGGGGCGCGGCAGGAATTATGACGATTTTTATTTTACGGGCGCCAACTCGAGGCTCAGACAGACACGGAAATGTGGGGTGGAAAATAACTTTAGGAACTGTCTGGCTCATGTTTCTGATTTGACGGCTGACGACACTGAGGCCCCAGAGGGAGGATGACTCTGCAGGTCAGCGGGAGTCCAGGGCATAACCAGGTTCTGCTGATGCCCAGCCCAGGGCACCTCCCTCTCCACTCTGCCCTGAGGCCAGAGAGAAAGAGCAGAGCCCCCAGCTTCTCCTCAGATCCAGGCCCATGTTCAAGATGAAATGTGTTACCTTGACCAAATTCTGTGTCCTGCTAGCAAAGAATATATTAAACCCCATGGGTGAGTAATGACATTTCTGGGAATTGATCTTAAACATAAATGTCTAGATACGTGGAGAAAACCTTTCTGAGAAAACCTGTACATTGGCCGGGTACGGTGGCTCATGCCTGTAATCCCAGCACTTTGGGAGGCCAAGAGGGGGTGGATCACCTGAGGTCAGGAGTTCGAGACCACCCTGGCCAACATGGTGAAACCCTGTCTCTACTAAAAATACAAAAATTAGCCAAGTGTGGTGGCACATGCCTGTAATCCCAGCTACTTGGGAGGCTGAGACAGGAGAATCACTTGAACCTGGGAGGCAGAGGTTGCAGTGAGCCAAAATCGTACCATTGCACTCCAGCCTGGGCGACAGAGTGACACTCCATCTCAAAAAAAAAAAAAAAAAAAAAAAAAAAAAAAAAAAAAAACTACATCACAGTGTTTGCACACAATTAATGATACAAAAGAGAGAGTGATAGAAAGGAAGGGGCTTGAGCACAGAGCGCAGGGGTGGTGATTTTATGGACCAAGGCCTCTCGTGCTTCACCCCAGCATGAAAAGTGCAGCCTCAAAGGCTGGGACCCACCTCCTAGGTCACCCCATCGAGTGGGAACAGCAGGAGGCAAACGTATACGCATCGTAGGCTCTCAAACACATGGGAAACGTACTGGAGGAAAAGACATGGAAATGCCATGTGCAAGCAGGGGCTGCTGCTTTCTGTCTCCTTCATTCTTCTTTGCGGTTTTTTTGTTTTGTTTTGTTTTGTTTTGTTTTGTTTTGAGTCAGGGTCTCACTCTGTTGCCCAAGCTGGAGAGCAGTGACGTGATCTCGGCTCACTGCAGCCTTGACCTCCTGGGTTCAAGCAATCTTCCCCCCTCAGCCCTCCCAAGTAACTGGGACTATAGACGCATGCCATCACGCCTGTATGGGATTTGGCCATGTTGCCCAGGCCGGTCTCAAACTCCTGAGCTCAAGCAATCCACCCGCCTCAGCCTCCCAAAGTGCTGGGATTACAGGTGTGAGCCACCGTGCCTGGCCCTACCCAGACTTTTATACAATAGAGGTGGATTACATGTCTAACAGGAAAACTACTAAACTCTCTTTTGTTTTGAAAGAGGCATTTCATGTTGATTTTATGAACATATTACCTTCAGGGGAGTCACTGCCAACTTTGCTTCATGTTGCTTTTTCTGAAGTTCTTCAAGCTGAAATAAAAGCGACATTTTTGACAACACTGCACTGTCACTTACCACTGTCCAGAGCTTCCCCAGGCAAGCTGGGCTCAGAACAGCTGGCAGTTGCCTGCCCTCTTTACCCTCATGGGGACTCAGTGCCAGGAACAGGGGCCTTTCCCACCACCTGCCTGGCAGGATCAGGGGAGGACAGATATTCTGAATACTCAAGAATCAGCTTGGCCGGGCGCAGTGACCCACGCCTGTAATCCCAGCACTTTGGGAGGCCGAGGTGGGCGGATCACGAGGTCAGGAGATCGAGACCATCCTGGCTAACACAGTGAAACCCCATCTCTACTAAAAAAAAAAATACAAAAAAAAAAATTAGCCAGGTGTGGTGGTGGGCACCTGTAGTCCCAGCTACTCAGGAGGCTGAGGCAGGAGAACGGCGTAAACCCAGGAGGCGGAGCTTGCAGTGAGCCGAGATTGCGCCACTGCGCTCCAGCCTGGGCGAGAGAGCGAGGCTCTGTCTCGGAAAAAAAAAAAAAAAAAAAAAAAAAGAATCAGCTCTGCCCAGCTGCAGTGGCTGGGGCCAGCTCCAAGCCCTCTTCTGAGTCTCCAGGCAGCCTGGCAGTTTTCTGGTCTTGTGGTAAACATACAAGTTCCTGAGCCAGACAGCAGGGGTCCTAATCCCGGCTCAGCCAGTCGCTGGAACTGAGATCTTGTGCAAGACACTCTCTGCCTCAGTCTTCTCATCTGTGAAGGGGGCTCATAGGAGTGCCCACCCACTGGTGAGAACTGTAGTGAGGATTCAGTGAACCTATCCATGTAAAGTGCTTAGAACAAGCCCTGGCACCTGTCAGTGATCAATAAACTAATGTTACTATTAGGCGCAGATGAAAGCTGGACACAGATTCTTTGAGACTGCTCCCCATGGAGGGGGTTCCTATCACCTTCCCTCAGATCTGGGCTGGCCTGAGATGCCTTGACTCATAGAATGCAGTGGAAGTGGCCCTGAGGCCTTTGTGGGCCTGGCACTGAATAGGACTGGCAGCTTCCACTTTGGGTCTCTTCTGTTTCTGAGCCAGGATTTAAGAATTCCAGGTGCCCTCTGGGGAGACCGTGAGACATGACAGAAAAAAGGGAAGGCACCAGCGGGAGCTGCCTTCCGCCACCCTGCAGAGGGGGCAGGATGTGAGTGAGGCCGCCGGGGACCCCCCAGCCGAGACTGGCATCCAGCCGGATGCCACTGAGTCATGCCCACTGATCCCCTGGAGGGCGGAACAGCCTAGCCGAGTCCTATCTGAATTCTGGACCCATAAGATACAACAAAACAGGTGTTGTGTGAGTTCTTCTAACTCTCTCAGTCCCTTTGCAGTCAGTTAAAAAAATCAAATAAAAAGCCGCAAGCCTCTTCCTCACCCCCAAACTCTTCGGACCAACATACCTATATGGATCAGAATGTGTGTATATGAAATTATACTGTGCAAAAGGTCTTGCATCTTGCTTCATAATTAAATAATATGCAAGATTTTAAAAGAATGAGATCACTTTGTATGTGATACAAAAATTTTGATGGTATTTTCATATTAACACATAGAAACTGACCTCATTCTTTTAAAAGCTTGCATGTTATTTAATTACAAAGTCAAAACAAAATTGATTTAACCAGTTCCTTGTTTATGGAAATTTATCTTAGTTCTGTTTCTTTGTTTTACAAAGAAGATTTCAATGCATATTTCCATATATCTGTTTTGGCACAGCATTCCTAACGTATTCAAAGAGTAAAATTCCAGCCTTAAGCAGACTGTCTTACATTCAAAAAGCACTCAATCATATTTGCAGCCTTGGATTAAACCTTCTGTCTGCTTCAGTTTAGGAAATAACATAAATATGCCACAGTGAGATAAGTATTGGGCATTTGCAATCAAAAAGTGAACAAGAAGAAATTAAAAAGATAACCTACAGAATTGGAGGAAATATTTGCAAATCATATATCTAATAAAGGACTTCTATCTAGAACATAAAAGGAACTCTCACAACTCAACAAAAAGAGAGTCAATTAACCCTATTAGAAAAATGGGAAGAATCTGAATAAACTCTTCTTCAAATACGACATACAAATGACCCACAAGCACGTGAAAAGATGTTCCACATTATTAGCCATCAGAAAATACAGCTCAAAACCAATGAGAGACAATCTCCCACTAACTAGGATGTCTATGATAGAAAAGACAGCTAGTAGCAAATGTTAGTGAGAATGAGAAGTTGGAACCTTCCTACACTGCTGGTGAGAACATAAAATGAAGTTATCAGAGACACTCTTCCTCTTTAAAGCAACTGCGATAGAGATGTTCAGGAATTACATTACAAAAATTTCATCATAAAACTGAGAACTATAAAAAAAAGAATCATAGGGAAATTCTCCACCTGCAAAATAGACTAACTGAAATTAAGAACTAAAGTGAGTTTAGGAGCAAATTAGATTCATCCAAAGAGTACTATTTAGCTGGAAGAGAGATTCAAAGGAAATATTGAAACTGAGCAGAAAGAAAAAAGAATGAAAATAATTTCAAATATACTTAAAGTCTAATTCATGTGTAACTGAAGTTTCCACACACACCCCCTCCCCACAGGCCAGTGACAGATAAGAGAAAAAAGCAATACTAGCTCTTGTGTTGGTTGAAGACACGGTGAACGAGACACACTCATTTATTGTTGGTGGCATGGAAGTGGATACCACTACTTTGGAAAGCAATTTGTGATATATAGCTAAGAATCAACAATATTGCCACCTTTGGAGCCAGTAGTCCCAGCTCTCTGAACTGTTATATATAAACAGTTATGTGTAAGTTCATAGAAATGCTCTAGATGCAACAATTGGGGAATAGTTAAGGAAACCACATCCACCCAATAGATTACTACACAAACAATCATAGATTACCACACAGTCAAATAATCATATGTATGAGGACTATGCAGCCACATGGGCAAATGAACATAAAACTCTACATATAACATGCTTTGATCTTACAAAGAACACATGGGAGAAGAGCTGGAAATTATACCGTAATGCTGAGGCTGTATTTTTCATCCATTGACTTGTCCAACAATTGTAAAGTTGCTAACATTCAGGATAACGAGTTATGGGCAAATGAGTAGACTTGTTTCTTCTTAGTGGGAGTATAAATGATGCTATCATTTTGGAGGGTTACTTGCCATTACCTATCACAGTTAATGATTTATATATCCTTTCTTTTGCTAGAAATTTGCCATTTAGATATACAGCAGAAGTATATGCCGAGAGAGAAATAAAAATGTTCATTGGAGCTGTGTTTGTAATGCAAAGAAATGGAAACAACTTGAATTTCCACAAACAGAAAAATTGATTAAATAAGTTATGATTTGGCCTCATGATGACATAATACACACGATTTTAAAGGAATGAGTTCACTTTGCATGTGTTGATATGAAAATGCCACAAGATTCTTAATTAAATGACAAAATGAAGATGCAGCATGGTTTTGTACAGTATAATTTCAAACATGTACACATACACACACATTCAGAAAGTGGGTGGTAGAGTTGAAAAAATATTGGAAGTCAGAAAATGTTAAGGTTGAGGAGAAGGAAAGCTTTTATATTTTAGATGATTAAGATTTGCAGACAGTTGTAAGAAATAATACAGAGCCCTCTTGTACATGTTTTTTAGAGACAGGGTCTTGCTCTGTCACCTGGGCTGGAGTGTACCTTGAACATTTTGCCCGGTTTCCCCCAGTGGGAATATTTTGCAAAACTATAGTGTCATGTCACAACCAGGAATTGAAATGGCCACAATTCACTGATCTTTTTCAGATCTCTCCAGTTTTAAACGTGTGTGTCTGCGTGTTAAGTCCCGTGCAATTCTGGTACCTGTATAGGTTTGCACCTGCACCACTGTATCATAGTCACGCCTACTTCCCTCTGACAGAGGAAAGGCTTTGACTTTTATTTATATGACACTGTAAGCCTGCTTGACTTTTTAAAGAAACCACATATGTGCATTTTTTAAATTTAACAGGGAAGCAATCATAGAGCCTGTGGTTTTTTGTTGTTTTTTTTTTCCTGGTACTGCCTTATACTTTAAAAATCCAGTACCTGCTCCCAACTGGCTGGGTCAAGAAGACCTCAGCAAATCTTTGTTCACTCCCAAAACGCCCCGGGGTGTGGGAGCCCTGGCTGACAAGAGGGGAAAGAAAGCACTTCCCACACCTTGGCCTGGAGCTCCTCCTGGAGGCGGGTGGCCTCGTCCAGAGACGCCTGGTGGGCAGCGCCCTGGTCCCTGAGCTGGCACTGCAGGGTCAGCACCCGGTGATGGAGCTGCTGGGCCCGCAGCCTGGGATCCTCCTCAGTAACCTCGGCCTCTGAGTCCCGGAGCTGCGGAAATCACAGATTTGAATGAAATGTTTAGGTTATCCTTCAAGCAATTTGCCTTAGCCAACAAACGGTACCCGTTTCCCCACTCCGTAGTTTTTTTTTTTGTTGTTGTTGTTTTCCTGCTTATATTTCTCTTACAGTAAGTTTTAGAAGATAAGGTAGCAGAAATCACTCCCAATCTGATTATCCTGTAGAATCTTTATTATCCATAGATTTTCTGCAGATTTCCTGCTAAGTCCCTAGACACGTGCATGTATAGGAGTGGGTGGTTCTGCTTGGTTTCCGGAGGTGGGTGTTGGGGAGGGCCTGGAGAGTCCCAGAATAACAGCCTGGAATATTAGCTTCAAAAATATGTGCAGTGGGGTGGCATTCCAGAATCTGCTGTAATAGATGCCAGTCACTGTTATACTGAAACAGTGTGATGAGTGAAATTGAATGTTCCAATCAAATTATGAGATGCCTATTATGCTAAAGCATAATATATTTATATGAAACAGAAGATACTGTGTCTCCCACAGGCACTTTTCTTAAATGAATACACAATTGCCTGTCACTCTTCTTGGATCTAACATGAGATTAGCGGGTTTCATTCAGATGCCAAAGGGAATTTCTGGGAGGAAGGACAGTGAGAGGGAACAGGCTGGCTTTGCATTGTGGGAAGTGTGGCAAAATGGGAGAGGTGCTACTGCCCCCAAATGGTTTTGAAGTCTAAATTCTTATTTTTTTAAATAACTCACATACATATATACACACAAGCACACATAAACATACATACTAACACAGATTTTCTATATAAAATTTAAAATATGATATATTTGTTTTCTGCTTTTCTCCCTTAACACCGTGTTCTGGGCGTTTTTCCATATTACCAAATAATGTTGAAAATGCTGTTATTAGTATATACGCAGCCTCCTGTGGCCGTGCTGAACACTCGGATTATTCTAACATCTTGCTGTTATAATTGGAACTGTGACAAAGGCCCTTGTACATAAATACTTAGACATACCTCTGATGCTTTCCCTGAGATCATCAGGGGGTATTTCCAGGTGAACAAAGTGAGTATCTTTTTTTTTTTTTTTTTTTGAGATGGAGTTTCGCTTTTGTTGTCCAGGCTGGAGTGCAATGGCATGACCTCGGCTCACCGCAACCTCCGCCTCCCAGGTTCAAGCGATTCTCCTGCCTCAGCCTCCCGAGTAGCTGGGATTGCAGATATGTGCCACCACACCCGGCTAATTTTGTACTTTTAGTAGAGACGGGGTTTCTCCATGTTGGTCAGGCTAGTCTCGAACTCCAGACCTCAGGTGATCCACCCGCCTCAGCCTCCCAAAGTGCTGAGGTTACAGGCATGAGCCACCATGCTCGGCCCGACATGAGCATCTTTAAGCTCTTGGTTCATGCTGCTGAGGCGGCCTTAGAAGAAACAGCACTGCTAAAAGTTCCGTTTGTGAAGATTTAGGAGCCCAGAAACTCAAACGCTTCTCAAACTCCCTTCCCCTTGTGATGGCAGTTCCCTTTTCCTGTAAGGCAGCTTCCCTGGGAATTGTAAGGCCCCCAAAACTCATCCCGACCTAGCAGGGGTAGGTAGGAGGGGGATCCCAAGCTACCCTGCTTGGGAAAAAGAGACGAGGGAGAAGAGGAGGAGAAGGAAGAATTCAGGTGACTCCAGGGCTGCTGGGGCATCTCTCATAATAAAATATACAATAGCAGAAGATTTTTTTTTTAATTAATAGAAATATACACGACATGGGCCTGAGATGCACGGGCTGGGCCGTGTTAAGAACAGATGGGTGCTCTGAATGGTCCCGTAAAATTCAGCTTCAAGACGTCAAAACAACTTGGCCTTTCTGGGAAGTACATTGCCTCCTCTACCTCCCTCCTCTGGCAGTGACTTGGACCAGAGCTTCGTCTCATGGGTCCTCAGAGAGCACCAAGGTATCCTCTAAAGAGAATGGCTGTGCGGTGGGGGGTGGGCAGCCTGCTGTCCCATGGGATCACCCCACACAGCAGCCCTGTGAGCTGCCCAGAGAGTCTCCTGCTGTCTAGCAGACATCATGAGCACATGGGCAGGGTGTACGCTGGCCTGAGATGGGCGGTGGTGACGCTGCCCTCCAGGAGCTCAGGCGGGTGTGGAGAATGACAGGCAGGTAGTTCAACATTCAATACAGCCTGATAAAGGGAAGCCAGGAGGCTGTGATGACCTGAAGGGGGCACTGAACAGAGACATCATCCAGTTGGGGGGTGGCAACTGTACAACAACCACATCTGGGTTGGGGGGACAGTACCAATTTGTAGCATTTGCCAGTTTCCATGGCGTGAATATTCCCACCATGACTGACTGCAAGCTACCAAAATGGTATCATTGAAGGCAGAGTTGGGAGGAGACACACATGAGCTGGGAGGAGACACACATGAGTAGGCTCTGACTCATCTCTGCACAGAACCAGCCTGGGGGTGGGGGGAAGCTTTCTGGAGGAGAGGCCCCCCAGCAGGAGACCTAGAGGAGAAAGCTGGGTGCAGGGAGAGGTGGATGAAGAAGGTGAAGAATGAGGGCAGAGGTGGCAGCATGGAGTGTGGAGGCTGGGGGTATAAGCAGCAACAGTGGAAGCTCCCGAGAGTCTCAGGGGCCAGAGCACTGCTCACTGTAGGAAATTTGGATCTCATGCCCAGTGCAGTAGGAAGCCACAGAGGGTTTTCGGTCAAAGAGTAATACATCAGGTGTTGGTGACTTCTGCTCTATCACCAAGTCCCGTGGACTCCAGCTCCACTTTTCACTGCAAATTCCTCAACCCCAGTGTCACCTCTTGGCTATCCAGCCACCGACTCCTCTCAGCTGTTCTCCTTCAATCCACCCGAACCATTGTTCTTAGAGCAGACAGATCTTTTCACGGTATAAACTGGGTCACATCATTCTGCTCAAAACCCTCTGTTGGCTTCCTACCACATCTAGAAAAGATCCAAACAAGGGCCTGCAAGCCTTCTGCAACCTGCCTTGTGACAGCTTCTCCAACCTCATCTCACACCACACCCTTCCTTGCCCATTGGAATCCAGCCACGCTGACTACTTTCTGTTTTTCCAATGAGCCAGCCTCTGTCCTGCCTCAAGGCCTGGCCGCTCGCTTTTCCCTCTACCTGGAATGCTCTTCCTCGCTGCTCTTTTCTAACCTTCGAAGTCTCAGCTCAACATTCAACTCCTCAGATTTCCACACTCCTACTCACTGGTATTGGACAACTATAGAATCTGGGGAGAATATATACAAGTAATGCTTTGCAGGCATTGGAAGATGACTAGTACAGGGTCACAATCCTTAAGAAAAAGCCTGCACAACAAGGCAGGCTCCACATTTTCCCTGGGTTTCTCTCTGAAATATTTTCCAAACAATGGTCTCGAAAATAGAGCCCAAGCTGAAAGTGTTGGTCCTGCTAGATGGAGAAATAGAGCTTGGAGTTTAAGGATGCTAAGACTGCTGGTGTTTGTGGGACAAAGTAACAGGGAAGAGATAGCTGCAGAGAATGAAAGTCCAAATACTGTCCTAGAAATGCCCCTTGGGTCCTTGGCTGAATCACAAGCTATGTGACACAGTAGAAGACTCTAAGCCTTGCAAAGAACAGCAGCTTGGAGGTTAATTGGTGAAGAGATGTCACAGGTCACACACTTCTGAGAAGATTGCAGAGTTCTGGCAAAGCCAAAATGGAGAGCACTTGGTGAATGCTGTGGAACTCAGCTGATATCACTGAGAGGCCATGCCCTAAGAGCAAGGGCCTCACCTTAGGAGTAATATCAAGCCCTACTAGGTCTGAGGGCAAAACTTAAATAGGCCTACACAAGAATAAGATGATCTGCTGATCACGCAACTATCTGCCAGAATAAAATTCACTCAACATTCTTTGGAGAAAGACAATAATCAGGAATCTTCATAAAATATTATACACAATGTCCAACATAAAAGTTTTTGAAATTCCTAGACATGAAGAAGCAGAAAAATGTGACTGTTCACCATTAAACAAAATAGTCAATAGGAGCAGGCAAAGAGATGATCCAAATATTGGTGTTAGCAGCAAAAACAAAACAAAACCAAACCCCTCAAGGTCTTCAAAATAATTATGATCTATGTATTTTTTAAAACATAGGAAAAATAAAGAAAATGGATGTACAGATGGACTATTTCAACGGAGAACCAGAATCTCTTTTTAAAAGAATAAAATTGATATTCTAGAACTGCAAAATACAATAAATGAAATTAAGAACTCATTGAATAGATTTAACAGAAGGTGGGACATGGTAGAATACAGGATTAGTGAACTAAAAGAGAGGTCAATAGAAAATGCAAACAGAAACACACATTTTTTAAAACTGATACAGGATTTTTGAAAGATGTGAAATAAAGCCAAAAAGTCTGAATTTCTAGAAGGAGAGGAAAGAAAAATAGAACAGAATGAAATATTTGAAGAAATAATGATCAAGAATTTTCTAAGTCTGACAGAAAAGACAAAAATACACAAGTTCAAGAAGCTAAAAAAAAAAACCAAACAAAAAAATTAAAACAAGCAGGACAAAAACAAATAAAACCATATCTAGGCACATTATAGTGAAGCTGCCAAAACTCAAAGATAAATAGGAAATTATAAAAGCAGTCAGAGATAAAACAACACATTTATTTTAGGGGGAGTGAGGGAGAAAAACAATGACAATTATGACTGATTTCTGGACAGAAACTATGAGAGGCAGAAGACAATGGAATGAGATCTTTAAAGAGCCAAAAGAGTGAAATACCTGGCTACCTAAAATTCAGAATCCAATGGGAAGAAAAAAAATTTAATGAAGGTTAAAAAATTGTTTTCATAAAAAGAAATATGAGAAAATTAATCACCAGAAAATTATCACTACAAAAAATCCCACAGTTCTTAGGGCAAAAGGAAATCAGAGCCACAGAAGAGTAAGAAAGAAAGAACAGAATAAGAACATGTAAAGATACGGGTAAATGAAAAATATATGATTGTTTAAAATAACAGTGGCTTATAAGATTTATTCTACATAGGAGTAATATATAACAAAAATAAATAATAAAAAGTAAAAAGATTAAATGAAGTTAAACTATTGAAAAATTTTTATATTAATTGGGACATGGTAAAGAAAACTAATTTAAAGTAAATTTAAATAGTTACTAGATACATTTTTGAAATGCCAAGGGTAACCACTAAAAGAATAATACTAAAACATAAGCTAATGGAGAAAAAAAATAAATAACAAAATATAATTAATACCAAAAACAAAGGGAGGAAAGAAAGAATAAAAGAAAACAGAACAGATGAGACAAATAGAAAAAATAGTAAATAAATAAAATAAATTGTCTGGGCACAGTGGCTCACACCTATAATCCCAGCACTTTGGGAGGCTGAGGCCAGTGGATCACCTGAGGTCAGGAGTTTGAGACCAGCCTGGCCAACATGGTGAAACCACATTTCTACTAAAAAACACAAAAATTAGCTGGGCGTGATGGTGGGTGCCAGTAGTCTCAGCTACTTGGGAGGTTGAGGCAGGAGAATCACTTGAACCCAGGAGGCAAAGGTTGCAGTGGGCTGAGATCATACTACTGCACTCCAGCCTGGGTGACAGAGCGAGACAGCGTCTCAAAAATAAATAAATACATAAAAATTAAAGAACATTATAACATATAGATTTTAAATAACATAACTAAAAAGAGAAATACACAAATGCACACTCAGAGTGGAAGATTTTAAAACATGTCTTGGTTAATGACAAAACAAATAGACAACATATCAGCAAAGATAGAAGAGATTTTGTTAGGACAATTAACCAGCTTGGCCTAATTGATATACAACAATCAAACAATGTTCATTCTTTACAAGGGTATGTGGGATATACTGTTGGCCATAGACCACAACCTGGTCAATAAAACAAGTCTCAACAAATTTTGGAAGACTAAAATAATATACTGTATATTTTCTGACAGCAATGAAATAAAACTAGAAATCAAGGACAAATGTATAACTGAAAAACTCCAGAGATGCTTAGAAATCAAGCAACATATTTCTAAATAACCCAATGGGTCAAAGAAGAAATCATAATAGAAATTAGAAGCTATTTTAGGTTTTTTGTTGTTGTTGTTGCTTGTTTTTATTTCATCCTTTTGGACTTTAATTTCTAAATCAATACAACAGGGCTAGCTATAACAACGTCATTTTTTTTTTTTTTTTTTGAGACAGAGTCTTGCTCTGTTGCCCAGGCTGGAGTGCAGTGGCACAATCTCGGCTCACTGCAACCTCCGCCTCCCAGGTTCAAGCAATTCTCCTGCCTCAGCCTCCCAAGCAGCTGGGACTACAGGTGCATGCCACCACACCCAGCTAATTTTTGTATTTTTAGTAGAGATGGGGTTTCACCATATTGGCCAGGCAGGTCTCGAACTCCTGACCTCATGATCCGCCCTCCTTGGCCTCTCAAAGTGCTGGGATTACAGGCATGAGCCACCATGCCTGGCCCTAACAATGTCATTTTGAGGCAATTTTGAGGAATAAATGATAGTATATAAATTTCCTGGCACATAGTAGATAGGCAGTACATATTCCTTACCTCTAATCCTTAGAAACTATTTTGAACTGAACAGACTTCATCTCAAAATGTGTGGGATGCTTAGAGAGAAATTTATAGCTTTAATTGCATAGATTGCAAAAGAAGAACAGCTGAAAATCAATGACCTAAGTTTTCAACACAAGCAGCAAGAAAAAGAACAGCAAATTAAATCAAAAGAAAGTGGGAGAAAGAATATAATAAGGCCTCGTACGGTGGCGCATGCCTGTAATCCTAGCACTTTGGGAGGCCTAGGTGGGCAGATCGCCTGAGCTCAGGAGTTCGAGACCAGCCTGGGCAACATGGGGAAACCCCGTCTCTACTAAAATACAAAAAACTAGCCGGGCATGGCGGCATGTGCCTGTGGCCCCAGCTACTTGGGAGGCTGAGGCAGGAGAACTGCTTGAACCTGGGAGGTGGAGGTTACAGTGAGCCGAGATCCCACCACTGCACTCCAGCCTGGGTGACAGAGCGAGACTCTGTCTCACAAAAAAAAAAAAAAAAAAAAAAAGAATACAATAAAGGTCTAAGAAGAAACCAATAAATCAAATACAAACAATAAATAAAATCAATAAAAGTAAAAACAGATTCTTTGAAATGACTGATAACATTGTTGGGGGTGGGGAGGAAAGAGAGAAAGGAAAGAAGGAAGAGAGAGACAAAGAGAGAAAGAGGGAAAGGAAGGCAGGAGGGGGAGAGCAAGAGACAGAAAGATGGAGAAGGAGACACAGAGACAGGAAAGGAGGGAGAGAGGGTGGAGCGAGATGGGAGAGAGAAATAGAGATAGAAAATGGAATGAATGAATGCCAGGGTCTCAACGCTAAATATCCTACACATGGTGAAGGCCACCGTAGGAACATTATGAGTGTTTTATCCCAAGACTCCCAACAGTCAAGAACTGTCCACAGATGAGGAGAGTGACTCAAGCGAAGTCTGCATGTGGCCTAAAAGTCACAGCTCTGAAAGCACAGAGCCGGGTTGGAACCTGGTTTTATCATGCTCTACAGTCCATTGTTCTTTTCATTGCAACTTTCAAGACCCAATGTACAGAATTAGTACTTGGAGCACTTGAAAAACCCCAGGGTTGGAAAATGCAAGGGCTGATCTTAAAGTGTGAACACCCCGTGGGTGCCCTGCTGGAGTCTAAGAAGAGGGGCAGGCTTGAATCTCCCATAGCAGGTGGGAACAGAGATCCCGGGATCAGAGCACCCAGGTGTGAGTCCCTGCTCCATCCCTCACTGGCTATGTGACTGCAGTGACTGCATTTCTCTGTTTTCTTTGTACCAACCTCCTCTCATCTGGTAAGTGGGGAGGATGATTGTACCTCCCTCACAGGACTCTGGTGAATTGCATAAGTGAATGGGGTGGCCCCCGGAACAGAGTCATGCGTGATGAGTAAGCAGATATGCAGACCCAACCTACCATGGGGCCATTGCTCAGGGAGCTCAGAGCTTGCCCCTGAGCCACAGAACACCTGGGCCTCTTCTCCTCTTTCTCCAAATGTGCTTCTTTCACTTCTGCTCCACTGACATTTCCTTGCAGGGCATTGGCTACACCAGTGTTTCTCCAGACCAGCGATGGAGGGGGAGAATCAGCACCGCGTCTGGAATTCCCGGTGCCTGTGGAAGGTCCTGTCTGCCCTGCAGCCAGACTCATTTCCTCCTCCAAGGGTGGCCCACAGGCTCTTGAAAGCAGCTGTCCTGTGAGTGGAGTCACCTGCACCTCTTTGTCTAGAGCGTGCATCTTGGCTTTTCCCTGGAGGTGCTCCCTTCCCCTCACCAAACGCCCCTGATCCGTGCTCCTCTGCAAGGTGACTTCCCTCTCCAGGACATGGACCCTGCGTAGAAGGTGCTCGTTCTCCCCACTTAAGGCCCGGATCATGTCTTCTATTCCTAGCACGATATCCTTTATCAGCTCTTTATAACTGACGCCAAGCTCCGAGATCAGTGTCTGGAGCTTCCAGTTTTCCAGGGTGACTTGCTCCATCGTGTCTTTGGATTTCCTGACACTCTCAGACGTGGCTTTCTGGAGTTGGCCCAGATTCCCTTTCAGTGTTTCATTTTCCTCTTCAAGCTCCAAAATTTTGCAGTAACTCTTCCCATTGCAGTCTTCAAGGTCAGAGATTGCCTGTAAATATTGATCCAGTTCTTTCTTTAACTGAGAGATGTCCCCTACCAGCCTGTGGTTATCCCGCTCGAGCCTGGATATTTTTGTCACCTCTCTCTCTCTCTCTCTTTCAAGGGCGCACACTCTTTCATGGAACCTCTCTTGGTCTCCGTGAAGTTTGGTGTTGTCATGTAAAATCTGGCTTCTCTGTTTCTTCAATCCAGAAATGAGCTGATGAAACCTGCTCCTCACTCTCTCGAGGGCACCCCAGGGCTCAGCAGGCCCCTGTGGAGGGTTTGGGCTGGCTTCATCCCAATGAGGCAGTGTCCCTGGGTTACCAGGAACTTCGCTGGTGCCCAGGGCCGTGGTCTTTCCCGGCTTATCACCTTCACCACTCTCTTTAGACTTCGCTTCTTCATTAGAACAAATACCCCAATTTCCCCAAACCTGCTGAGAGTGAGCTCTCTCCCAGCCACTGTGCCACTTCTGAGCAAAGCTCCAGTTCTCTCCCCTACATGCAGAGGCTGAGCACTGCCAGCCCCTGCTGCCCGGCTGCAGGGTGGACAGCTGCTGGAAACAAGCCTCCACGTCCTGTGCAAGCTCATCGATTGTGAGTGCACACCTGTTGTGTCCTTTGCTCACAGCCTGTGGATGACCATGATCAGTGGGTTCGGCCCCTTCAACTGATAAGGCAAATCTGGGAAACAGTGGCAAACCTGTCTCTCCTGCAAAGAAAAGCATTTCCTTGCTCTCATGTTCCTGGGAGTCAGGCTCCTCGGGGGCACCCCTGCACCCCAGACCGGATGCTTCTTGATGCGGCATCTCATCCTCTTCCTCTAGCCCTTTGTCCTCCAGGCTTCCTCCTTGCAGAAGCAGAGCATTTCCAAGCCACACTTGGTTTTCCTCCTTGCCCCTAGCTGTCCTCCCAGTGGCTCTGACTTTCCCTGCGAGGAGCTGACTGTCTGTTGGCCATGGCTCTTTGGTCTCATGAGCCCTGGAGAAGGTGGCTGGGGGTGCCACTTCCTCATTCTCTGATGACAGTCCTCCTCGGAGACCCCAGACGTATCCTTCCACCCTTTCCCTCCTGCTCAGGGATTCGGGACCCTCCTTTGATACTGAGGCCTCCCCCTGTAGAAGAGGCATCAAAAACTCCTGCCAGGACCCAGGGCGGCAGGTGGCGGCCTTAGTCTCTGAAGCCCCATTCTGATCCTGCACGTCCTCTGCAGCTCCAGCCCCATTCTCCAAGCTCAGGTTCTGATGGCTTTCCTGACTTAGCTGGTACTTGTCACCAAGGTTTTTCCCCTTCCTGCCCAAAGTCCCCCTTGCCTTCCCCTCTTCAGTTCTCCCCGCAAGGCTTCCTCCTCCATTGTTCCAAGTGTCTTTCAGATCCTTGGGGTGTTTTTTCAGAAATGGGTGATTTGAAATGTAGGGGGCCTCGTGGAAGAGGGAGGCACCGCGGCCTCTTGTCTGGTGACAATCCCAGCCTGGGTGTCCTGTGGCTTTGGGAGGAGGCGGGGACCTGGTGGCCAACTCTTCTTGGATTTTTTGTCCATCTGAGGGAACCTCCTGGAGCAGCAGTGGTCGCCAAGAAGCGGAGTCCCCAGCCGGCCCCCAGAGAGGGAGTGCGGATGTCTGCACCAGGAGAAAGGCTTCTGCAGCTGGGTCAGCTGCTAGATTCTCTGAAATCCAGGCCAGGTCCATGCGGAGGAGTGACTCGTCCAAGCACTCCTCTGGTGGGCAGCCACAGACCAGGAGAAGAATCTGTTCATCCAAGCTGGGCTCTGCCAGAGTAAGCTACAAATGGAGAGAGAAGATGAGGTGTGAAACAGCCCCTTCCTCCATTTAGCACCCCCACCTCCACTCACCTCCTGGGGTTCTCCGTGTTTCCTCACCAGCTGCACAGGGGACAAGCTCTTTCCCACACAGGACACAGCTGGTACCGCCCCAGGGCCTTTGCACGTGCTCTTCGCTCTGCCCAGAATGTCCTTCCCCTAGATGCCCTCATGGCTCACTCCCTGGCTCCATTCACATCTCAATGCAAATGTGACTTCCTTGAAAAGGCCCTCCCTGACCGCTCTCCCTCACTCTCGGGCCATCCACCCTATGTCATCTTCTCCCACAGCACCCTCCATGCCCTCACACCATATTATATATTTCTGTCTATATCATCTAACTCCCCCTATAGCCCTGCCCTGTCCAATCCACTAGTCATAGGCCACATGGAGCTCCTAAAATGTAAAGTAATTAAATCAAGGTTAACATTCAGTTCTACGGTGGCAATAGCCCCATGTGGCTCGTGGCTACTGTCTTGGGCAGTGCAGATGCAGACTGTGAGCAGCGCTGCAGAAGGCTCTCATGGATGGGGCTGGTGCAGGTGGTCCACTCCCTGAGGACAGGACTTCATCTTTGTTCAACTCCTGGGCCTAGAACAGTGCTGGGCACACAGGAGGTGTTTCCTCCATATTTTTAATGTATTTTTATCTTCACTTATGTGATGTGTTTATCCAGAGAGGAGGAGCCCAGCTCACAGCAGAGGCCCCAGCTGGGCTGAAGGAGGCCTGAGGATGAAATTTGCCTTGAGCTAGGCTCACTGTGAGTCCGCAGGGGCTCCTCCCAGACCTGGCAGGCTGCAGGCAGTTCTCAGTGGAGCCCCTAGAATAGCTGGGAGAGGCTGAGCAGGTCTAAGACACAGAAGAGAAGGACAGAGGGAGCATCTCAAAGGACAGAGGGGGTCTGAGCCTTTGGAGGGTGACATACCAGCAGCAGAGCCCCCTCAGGCAGAGGGGGCTTGAAGGCCAGGAGTGCTGCCCCTGCCTGGAGGGGCCACCGCATCCCTGCTCCCTGGAGCTGCCAGTGGGCAGCACCTCGTCCTCTGTTGTCTTTGCCTTTGTCTGCAATGTCCTTCCATCCAGACACCAAGGCACTGTCCCAGCTGCCCACAGAGAAAAGAGCACTTGCCCCAGAAAGGTACAGACCTAGAGACCTGGCTTCAATCCTGGGTGTGACCTTGAGCAAGTTCCTTAACCTGCTGGAGCCTCAGCCACCTCACCTGTCAAATGGGGCACCTCCGTGTTCTAAGACATTGCCCTGGGCTTCAAGGGAAGGGGGCGGTGAGGAGCGAGGCATATAGGGATGTGACATCCAACAACAAAAATAAGAGATACATCGTGAGCAGGATGTGAATGAATGAAGAGATGATGGAGGGCCTCTCTATTTACAACCACACAACCACAGCCGGGCTCGCGGGTCCCAGCACAGCTCTGTTCCTCAGGGATGAGAAAATGGAAGTGGAGAAAGGTTACGACTGCCTCAGCCTCAGAGCGAGCCATGGGAGGTGAGTTGGGACGCAGGCTCCTGACCCTCAGGGCCAGCATGGGGCAGTGTGGGCCGTCGAGCCTGGATCTCGGGGTCCACCTCCAAGCTGGGGACCTTGGGGAGTCACAGCAGCCCTTGGAGTCTCATCTCCTCTCCAGAGCAGAGGTGGCAGCAACACCTCGTGGGTGTCAGGAGGTGTCAACGAGATGAAGCCTGTTCCGTGGAAGCCCAGGCCTGGCACCCAGTTAACCCCCTTCCTCCCCACCCCCCATCCAGGTCTCAGGATGTTTCATTTCCTCTCCTCAAATCTCTCTCTCAACTACTTCCAGAATGTTCTCCCAGACCTGGAGCTTCTTTACCCCTCCCACATCCTGCGTGTGGCCACATAGCCTGCATGAGGCAGGGCTGAGGGGAACCAGTGGCACTGCACACACACGCAGAAAGCCTCTGGCCTCACCTGTTCACGGTTGGATCCGGCCAGGTCTCTGGGGAGCTCGCTTGTGGTCTCCGGGCCTGGAGCCAAAACAGAAGAGGCCCGTCCAGGCCTGATGCGGCTCCAGGTGCAGGGCCCCTCTGGGGACTGGCCTGGAAAGCAACAAGACCCTGGGGGTTACAAAGATGCTCCCAGGGGCTCTGCCATGATCGCCTCTAGGGACCACGTCCCCCAGGCTTGGGTAAGATGGCACCCCCCCCACCCCCGACTGTGAGCCTCCCAAGGGCAGCCTGATGACCACCAGCACCTTGGTCAGGGGAGGAAGCTGAGGCTCAGAGACGTGAAATAGCCAACAGCAGGTGGGCAGAGACCCCAGGGCTCCATGCCACCTCTGCGGCCCACAGACTCCTGCACGGGACAAAATCCACCAAACCTTTCTAAGCCTCAGCATCCTCATCTGTCAAACAGGGTATGAGCCTCACCCCAGCTCTGCACAGCTGGCATGAGGACACATCTGACCTGAGTCGACATGGCAGCTCTGCTCCCCAGAAATGAGATAAAGGGAAAACGCTGGTTGCATCAGTCAGCAGCACCACTGTGCTACACATATGGAGGATAATACCATCCCTAACAGCCCTTGAGGTTGGAGGGCTGGAAATAAACCACAGATGCCCAGTTGGCCGCCGTGGCTGTCAGGCTCCCTGAGTGCAGGGGCTCTGGAAGCCACGGCTGAGGCTGTTATGAGATATGGGCTCAAGCCGGGTGTGGTGGCTCATGCCTGTAATCCCAGCACTCTGGGAGTCTGAGGTGGGCGGATCACATAAGGCCAGGAGTTCACGACCAGCCTGGCCAACATGGCAAAACCCCATCTTTACTAAAAATACAAAAGTTAGCCGGGCATGGTGGTGGGAGCCTGTAATCCCAGCTACTTGGGAGGCTGAGACAGGAGAATAGCTTGAACCCGGGAGCTTGAGGTTGCAGTGAGCCGAGATCACACAACTGTACTCCAGCCTAGGTGACAGAGTGAGACTCCATCTCAAAAAAATAAAATAAAAAAATAAAAATAAATAAAAATAAATAAAAAAAAAAAAGAGAGAGAGAGATATTGGTTCACATCAGGGACAAGAGGCTTCTAAGCCCCAGCAGCTTCCAGACCTGCCAAGTGCGATTTTCACTGCCTCACACTGGAGGTGTCACCTGGGAAGTGGGGGGACAGGACGGCTCCTGGCCATCATACGGACTTCTGTGAAAGCATGTCCCTGCTGCCAACCTGCTGGCCTATGAGGCCCCCTGGCTGGCACCCTCCCGAGGGCCAAGGGTGTGAGCCTGTGTTCAGCTGAGCCCGAGCCAAAGGCCCCTGGTGGGAGTTGCATACTCTGATCCCACCTGCAGCAGCTGTGTGACCCTGATAGAGGGACCCTACCTCTCTGAGCCTCGATTCTTGTCTGTAGGGAGGGGGGACCACCCCCTCTCCCTGCGTCATCGGGACATGATAAGGAGGAAGTGAGCTAGCCATTCAGTGGGTGCTGCCCGCGACTCGTCCTCCACGCACCGCGGTACCCGCGCACCTGCTGGGGCCCTTTGTCTGGGTGCATCATTGGACCGCAGGGAGTTCCGCCAGTCTTGGCTTCTGCAGGGGTCCAGGGCCTCCTCCCTGGGCAGGGGCAGTGAGTCACCCTGAACACAGCCCAGAGCATCCTGGAGGAAGACAGAGGAAGTCAGGAGCCGTCAGTGTCCTGGCTGAAGTGTGTACTCCAAGCCCATCCCCAGGGGCCCCTCCCCAGAAGGGAGCTTGAGTCTCTTCCACAGGTGAGGAAACTGAGGCTCAGAGGGCAGAGAGCTCACAGCCTGGCAGCCCAGCCCCGGCCTTGTGCTTTTGGTTCACCAGGCCAAACTGCCCTCTCTTAGCACTTAGACTCCTGTCCACAGACAACGAGGGCAGCGTTCAGTCCTCAGAGGAGTATGTCTGTCCAGCCAAGAAGCACCCAGATCCCCTAAAGCAGGGTCATGGACCAGACTGGTACAGTCCGTGGCCTGTTAGGACCTGGGCCGTACAGCAGGAGGTGAGCAGCAGGCGAGCAGGCATTACCGCCTGAGCTCCGCCTCCTGTCAGGTCAGCAACGGCATTTGATTCTCATAGAAGCGTGAACCCTATTGTGAACTGCGTAAGCGAGAGATCTAGGTTGGGTGCTCCTTATGAAAATCTAACTAATGCCTGATGATCTGAGATGGAACAGTTTCACCATGAAACTATCCCCCTCACCCCCTGCCCATGGAAAAAATGTCTTCCATGAAACCAGTCCCTGGTGCCAAAAAAGTGGACTGCTGCCCTAAAGGGCACCAAAGGCTCCCAGCTCCACCCTTCCTGTGCAGAGGTCCAGGGCCTCCTCCCTGGGTGGGGGCAGTGAGTCACCCCGAACACAGCCCAGGGCACCCTGGAAGAAGGTACCCTTCCTGTGCAGAGGTTCTTTCCATGTCCCACCCAGGGAGGAGGGTGTCTGCCCAGGGGGTTTGGACCGTCCTGTCCTTCAACTGTCAATAAGCTCCAAATGCGACTGCCCGGTACCTTGGCAGCGCCCTGTCCCCTGGACTTCTCCACAGTGTGGAGCTTCCCCAGCTGCCGCCCTGCTGCAGGTCAGGATAATTCAGAGGCAGCTCCTTCCTCCCTGCCACAGGGGAGAGGCTTGGGACTGGAAACACACACACACACACACACACACACACACACACACACACACACTCAGCTGTCACCCACCACTCACGAGGGGCTGGGCACAGGTCTCCTCTGGGTTCCCACAGCCCTGGCTGCTTCCACTGCAGTGCTCCAGCCCGGTGCTGTTGGCTGCCTCACATACCTACTACTCCACTGGACTGTGAGCTCCTTTAGGAAGAGAACTTGGCTTCATTCTGTCTGCACCCTCATCCTAGCCTGTATACGGTAGGTGCTTAATAAATGTTTCATCATTGGGTGGACAGATAGAACCTGGGAAAAGTAGATGTTTTAGATTGACGAGTGCATTCATTCAGAAAACATTTATTAGGCTCCTGCTGTGTGCCAGGTGTGGCTCTAGGCCAGGAGAAAACAGAAGTGAACAGGGAAGTGCCCTGTCCCCTTCTCACTTGCTCCCCAGGTCCTCACCTTCTCTCAGCAGACCCAGCATCGGACTCCTGGCTGGTCCTCCTACCTCCTTCAGGTTCTTCTTGCAGCTACCAGGGAGACCCGCTGATCACCCAGGCTTCCCTTGGCTTCCCTCTGGCTACAGGGTCAGCACGAATGCTGAAATTAGGTGCTGGTGCCCATCTATGGGCTGTCATTGCTGCCTGGGCACCTTGTTCCCACCTCTGCAGCTTTGCGCCAGCTTCCCCTCACAGCAACCTGCTTGCCTGTCCCAGCGCGTCCGTGCTCTCCCCGGCCTCTGCACCTTCCCATATGCTGTTCCTGACACCTGGCTGTCACATCCTTCTTGGGAGGGGCCTGGATCGCTTGCCTGCTGCAGGCAAAGCCTTCTCTGCTTGTTGCTCCAGGCCCCTCCCTTCCACGCACTGCTCAGCCCCCAGCGATGGCACTAAAATGGAAACTGGATCTGGTTGCTCCCTGCTTCTCACCCTTCGACGCTTCCTGTTACACTGAAAGAGAAACCCCCGCCGGCCTCACTGCCCCCACCTCCACCCCGCTACCACCACCCACGTCTGTGCTCCTGGAAGGAACTCTTCTCCCCGCACCTCAGAGCCTTTGCACACTGTCTGGACCTCTCTTCCCACCCTCTGCCTGGTCAACCTCCTCCCCTTCTGGGACCTGCTTAAAGGCCGATCTTTAATGAGGCCTTCTTTGGCCTTCATCTCCTCCCACTCTGGGTTGGTGGCCTCCTGTTGATCTGTATGATGGTTTGGGTCTTGTCCATTTCTTCTCAAAGGCCAGGGGCCTCAGCATGGGCCACATCATGGAGTCACCCAGAAGCTTTAAACAAGAACCAGTGCAGGAGCCTCAACCCAAACCTATTAACCCTGAGGGCCTGGGCAGCGACATCCTGTCCTGACAGCCACCTGCCTGCACCCAGAGGGCCTTGCTGGCTGCTGCAGCTGTCCCACGTTCTCACGGTCCCATTCAGCTGCCTCTTGTCTTTATCCATTTGGTTCCCACTCAACCAGAATTGCACACTTTGTCAGCTGCTTAAAATCATCATTGGAGTGTGAGAGGGAAAAGAGAAAATGAGAGAGAAAGAAGGCATCAAAGAAACGAAGTGAAAGAAGGTGAATGACAAAGGAAAAGGAGAGGGAATAGGATAGGGAAAGGAAGAGACAGAAATTCAAAGTGAAAGCAGGAAGAGAGAGAAGTCGAAGGAAGAGGAAGGACTAGATAAATAGAAAAAGGGAGAGGCTGGGTAGGCAGCGTGGAGACCACTCCGTAGCGCAGAAGGTAGAAATGGTTACTGGTGGTATATTTTTTGGATTGTTATCATACCCAGGCTGACTTCAATGCAATTCAAAAAATGCTCGCTGAGCATCTACTATGTGGCAGGCCCTGTTCTGGAGCTGGTGACACGGCCACGTATAAACATACCTAGATCCCTGCCTCGAGGAAGTGACATCCAGCGGACACAACCTAGAAGACAACGCTGTACTGAAACATTGCCCATTGTCTAGTTTACCCCTTCATGTCACAACCGATGAAGGCAGTACTCAGAGAGGGTGAGTCACTTGTCCAAGGTCACACAGTAAGTCGACAGGAGCACAGGAGCAGAGCTCAGGTTTCTAAACCTGATCTGGAACTTTCTGCCTCCCTGCCTGCTCTATCAGTCCATCCTACATTTCAACCCTCAAGAAAACATTTGCCTGTAACTTAATCTGGACTCAGCTTTCATGTGCAATTATAAGCAAAAAGAAGAAAATGAGAAATATCAGGATATCCGGGCATAAACATGAATGTGTTAGAGGCCCTTCTGGGCTTTTTTCTATGCCTAGACATTTTCCTATGCATAGACATTGCGAAAGTTCTATTTATACAAAATGTAAATTTTTACTTTGTGAATTTTGCATTTAATGATATAGAAGGATCATTTCTCTACAGGATCTTCTGCAGTGTGGTTTTTATAGCTAACTAATATTCTCTGCTATAAGGGAGAGGAAAAAAGGGAGATAGTTCCAGATCAAATCAATTCCCTCTTATTGGACAGTTGGGTTGTTACGAATTTTTACCAACTATAAGCAGAGCTGAGATAAACATGACTGTACATGACTCTTCTGCACCTCCAATCACTTTTTGGATATATTTGTGGAAGTCAAATGGCTGAGACTCAGGCATAAACCTTTTTTAAAGGCATTTAATACTTACTGCTTGACAGCCCTTCCAAAGGGATATGTTCATTTATACTCCTGATAGCTCAAACACCACACGGCTGCAGGCCCTTTTAACCTTTGACAGATGTACAGAAGAAAACGGGATCCTGAGATTTTTCTCACTGGCGTTATTTTTTAACTAATGGAGCTGTCCATATTTTTTTATTAAGACCACTGGCCATTTTGTACTTCCTTTTACATTATTTGCATGTTCATCCCTTTTGCCTATTTTATTTTTCGACATTATTGACACTGCTTTTTTTTTAAAAGCTCTTGCTTGCTGCTGGAGAGAGAAACAAATGTGTAATACCCTGCTCTGCACAAAAGCAAGCAGTGAGCAAGGCTGCCTGCAATTCACCCAGCAACAAAGAGATTCACGTAGCTGCCACCAGGGGTCACTCTACGCACACTGCCAGGGCATAGAGGCTGGCGGGATCATCCAGTCACTCCTGAAGCCCCTGACGTGGGATCGTGATCTCAGCTCTGGGATGACAGTGGACAAGGACTTTTTAAGAGCCTGGCTTTTCATCTCTCTGCACGAGCATCTCTGGGACCCTCCAGGCCAGGCACAGCCCTGTGCTGCCCTCTGCCGTAGCATCACTGTAGTGTCATGGTTTGCACCTGTGTCTGTCTCCTCTATAAGCTTTTGGAGGGCAAGGTTCATGCCTGGCTCACTGCACCTGGGACATGGCAGGTGCCCAGTGCACACTCATGGGAAAGCATTCAGACCCATCTGCAGATAAACCACGTTTGTCTTGCCAAATATGAATGGTTCTTACTTCCTTTTACCCTGAGCAGAAACCCTGTCCCCAAACTCCTCCCCACATCAGGGTTTGTCCTTGCAGTGGTCCGTTCCTCTGGGGATCAAGGTTCCAAGTAACTTGCTCTAAAACATGTGACCTCGGGAGGAAGCATATGACCCCAGGCAAGTTACGGGAATCCTCCAGACTACAGGTTTGTGGATAGGGCACTGCCCCGGCTACCTTGCAGAGTTCATGAGTTCCTGTTTAGGAAAGTGCTTTGTGAATATGAAGCAAAGGAAACACACTTTTATAATGACTGCCTTTGCCATAGTTCACACCATGGCTCCCAGAGCACATCAGACATAGCCAAGGGGTCACTGCAGGTGGGGCCAAGCCTGTGCCTCCTTTCAGATACTGCTGCTTCCACTTCCTTGGGCAAGTGACTTTACCTCCCTTCCTCAGTGTTCTCCTCTGCAAAATGAGAATCCATAACTCTACCACCTCATAAGCTTGTTGTGGGGAACGCAACACATTACCACGCTGGGCAGGCAATAAGCACTCCAAAAGTTGATGAAAGTCGGCTTTCGTGATGATTTTCTATCTGTGGTACACATCTCTGGGACTAGACCCTCCCCACCATTTCCCCATTTCTATGCCTCACTTCCCAGCATTGCCACTGTGAAGCAGTCCCTTCAGCCAGAAGCTTCCTTTTCCCGTGGGCAGTGGAGCAAATAACTTCACCGATGCCTCAAGGCACTCACTCATCAAGCATTTCACAGCTGGTGGCCAGGGACTGGGAATAGAGCTAAAGTGAACCAGTTTTTGATGATGAGGGGCACACAGCTGAGGGAGTGGGCATCTGGGCACAGTGAACATCAGGGCCACCAGAGGTGGCTCATGTCACCTCGGGGGCACTGAGCTGACGTGAGATCAGGGAAGTCTTCCAGAGAAAGCAACATTCCCAACAAATAAAGAGAAAGTAGCAAGGCTTTCCAACAGCCTGAGTGGGGGTGGGCACTAGAAGCTTCCAGACACAGGCAAGGCTTACAAGGCAGAAGAGCCTGGCACACTCAGGGACCTGCAGCTCAGTGTGACTAAGGTGGCATATGGGGGACTGAGCTTGAAGGAGCAGAACACCGGGGGCCTTGAATGCCGTGGATAGGAGGTTGAACTTGATCCTGAGGCCGTGGGCAGCCATGGTGGGGTGCTTATGGAGGGAGATCCTTTGACAGTCACCACTGTTGTCCAGAGCAAGGTGCTGAAGACCTGCGTGTGGCTCTCGGTCCTCCTGGGTCACTCCCAGTCCTTTGAAGATGCACTGGCAGCCTTGGGCAGTCACACAGCATGCGATGCTCTCTGGACTCTGCGACTTCACAGATGTGCAGAGGCCTGGAAGCCACAGCCATGGCCACTGAGGCTCATGCAATTTCCACCAAGACATGAAGAGCCGCATCTGGCTTTGCAGTTCCTTATCGATGGGTTCTAACACTTTAATTTATAAATTCCAGGCTGCATTCAACCTGAGAGCTGGTGGCTGGCTAGCTCTTCACATTTCCCAGTGGCCCTCTCAGGAGGAATTCTTCCTTTCCAGGCAGCCCTTTTTGACCTCAAGATGCTGTTTGTGGGCCATCAGCTTCCTTCTGAGAGATGGACAGAGACTGGCAGCCTTGTCACATGCTGCAGCCTGGGTCCAGCCCCCACTGCAACACCAGGGTCCTCCCCCAGTGACCCACGGACTCCACAGGGCTCATTTCCTTGCCTTTCCTCTGCCCCTACCTCCTTCACCCAATCTGTTTTGTCATCCTGTGGGGCAGGGTCTTGTCTCACTCCCCAGCCCCTGTACTGAGCTCAGACTGGAGCCAAGCACACGCACCAAGTGGGTACCATCAAATCCTGACTGTTGACCTGTTGACCAGTATTTACTGAAGAAACAGGGCGTGCGACACAGCTATGGGATCAGCTCACCAAAGGGCAAATCCTGGTCCCACCATATTACCGTCTGAATTTTCATGTCCCCCCAAAACTCATCCGTTAAAACCCATATCCCCAAAGGGATGTTATTAGGAAGCGGTGCTGAGTCCCCTCCAAGGGCAACCCATCGGTAAGTGGCAGGAGAGCCCACCTCCACCGGAAGTTAGAGCAAGTGATACCAGAAACACAAAAGCCATGATAAAATGGATACACACACACAGCCAAAGCAAGCCTCTTGCTAGTCGAAATTCTCCTAACCTGGTTTTTCAAGGGCCATGGTTTTAGACTGCTGGAAGGCAGAATCAGTGATTACCCAATGACATTTTTTTCTTTTATTTTTTGAGACAGAGTCTCGTTCTGCCAGGCTGGAGTGCAATGGCGCGATCTCAGCTCACTGCAACCTCTGCCCCCAAGAGTTCAAGCGATTCTCCTGCCTCAGCCTCCCGAGTAGCTGGGATTACAGGCGCATGCCACCATGCCCAGATAATTTTTGTATTTTTAGTAGAGACAGGGTTTCACCATGTTGGACAGGCTGGTCACTTTAGGTCAGGAGTTCGTGTTCCATGATATTTTATGCTGAGAATGTTATCCAGCGTTTGTTCAGCGGGTTCCTGCAATCACGGTCTCTTGGGTTCTTCCCTCTGACACCACCAGGGAGACAATTACCGCTATTTCTCATCCAGTAGAAATCCACAGGGGAGATGGCATGTCCCAAGAAACTAGTGTCCTAAACGAGCCAAGAAGCCAGATCATCTGCTTGCCGCCTCACAGGGCTGAAAAGGGGCCTCAACCCACACAGGCTCTGATAACAGAGAGTCAGTGCTATCTTCCCTCCTTCCTCCTTTTACTTAATAAATATTCACCCAGCACCTCTTCTGTGCCAAGGACTGTGCTAGTGCTGGGAATGCAGCAGAAAATAAAGAGGACAGTGCCTGTCTTGCAAGATGCATGTTTTGGCTGAAGTAAATGAATGAATAAATAAATGTATAGCATGTCAGTGTGCCTGCGGCACTCAGCAAACACCGGGAAGGCAGAGCACACCCAGCCCCAGCCCTGCCCTTGGGAGGCTCAGCCCAGCACTGACAGCCATGCATGTGAGGGCCCTGGGAGGACAAAAGAGGCTCCTGGGGTCAGGGAATACCTGGAGGAGGAGAAGAGACCATAAGCCGTCATCTGCCACATAACTTTGTGGAGTGGGTTGAATTGTGCCTTCCCAAAAGAAATAGTACCTGAGAGTGTGGCCTTAGTTGAAAATAGTGTTTTTGCAGATGTGATCAAATTAAGGTGAGGCCATACTGGATTAGGCTGGGTCCTAATCCAATAAAGATCTGGTGTCCAGATAAGAAGAGAAGAGACACAGAAACAGACACACAGAGGAAAGAGGCCAAGAGAAAATGGAGGCAGAAATCAGAGTGATGCGTCTGCAAGTCAAAGATTGCCAGGAGCCACCAGAAGCTGGGTGTGGCAAGGAGCAGACTGTCCCCTAGAGCCTCAGGAGGAAGCATGGCCCCACTGCCACCTTGATTTCCGACTTCTGGCTCCCAGACCTAGGAGAGAATAAATGTCTGCCGTTTTAAGTCAGCAGGTTTGAGGTACTTTGTTACAGCAGCCCCAGGAAAATAACATGCTGTGCCTTGCCTGTTTCCTCAAGGCCCAACCTGCAGCCCCGGGAATACCCCAGGTGATCTGGCCCTTACCTGCAGCAGCTAGCTCCAAACCAGCTGGGAACACCTTGCCTGCTGCTGTCACTCTGTCCCTAGGCCTGTGGCTGGCTGGGGCCCCTCCTGCCCACTCAGACAATGCTCTCCTGCCCCAGAGCTTCCCCCCACCAGGTGGGCTCAGATCCCTGGCAGCCTGACTCAGGGTCGCTGCTGGTGCCATCCTCATGTCCTTGGAGGGCGGCTCTCAGCTGCATGAGCACCCACCGCTGCCTCTGGGAAACTCCCAGCCCAAGAGGCTGGGTGGATATGAAAGGAAAGGCAGGGAATGGGAATTACATCGGGGCCTCACTCCTTGGTTGTGTGACCCTGGACAGGACACTGCATCTCTGAGCCTTCTGCCTCCTCTATGAAGCAGACAGGAGGACACCTACCTGGCCATGTCGCTTGAGGATTAAGTGAGTAACAGATGGGCAGCTCCCAAGATGAAAGCCAGCCCCTTCCCCTCACCTCCTCTCACATCCCAGGTCTTCTGCCAGACAGGGGGCTTCACCCACCTGCTCTGCCCTGCAGCAGACCTAGGTAAAGGCTCTCAGCTCCTTGGCCCAGACAGCCGTCCCCAGATGGCCCTTTGCACAAGGCCACTGCAGTTCTCTGAGTCTCCCCAGCCCATCCACAGGCTGCTGGGACACAGGAGCTGGTAACCGCAGGCCCCATCCACCCTAGGGACATGTTGGCCTGAGCTCCCACCAGCCATTCAGGCAGCTCAATGGTGACAAATTACACTCACATCTAAACTGTTCCAGTCCAGGATAAGCCCTCAGGAAAAATAAATAAAAAGTCAAGAGAGAGAAAATTACAGTGTAGGTAGTGAGGGTGATTTACCCAACATCCTACTAGATGAGCACAAGCCCAGGAAGAGATGAGGAGGAGGGTGGCAATGGTGATGGTGATAGTGATGAGGGTGGTAATGGTGATGATGGTGATGGTGGTCATGGTGATGGTGATGTTGGTGATGATGGTGATGGTGATGATGATGTGGTGGTGATGGTGATGGTGACTGTGATGGTGATGGTGATTATGGTGATGATGTGATGGTGATGTTGATGGTGGTGATGGTGATGATGGTGATGGTGGTGATGACGGTGATGATGTGATAGTGATGATGGTGATGATGGTGATGGTGATGATAGTGATGATGGTGATGATAGTGATGGTGATGATGTGATGGTGATGATGGTGATGGTGATGATAGTGGTGATGGTGATGATGTGATAGTGATGATGGTGATGATGGTGATGGTGATGATGGTGATGGTGATGATGGTGATGATGGTGATGGTGATGATGTGATAGTGATGATGGTGATGATGGTGATGGTGATGATGGTGATGGTGATTATGGTGATGATGTGATGGTGATGTTGATGATGGTGGTGATGGTGATGATGGTGATGGTGATGATGGTGATGGTGATGATGTGATGGCGATGATAGTGATGATGGTGATGATGGTGATGGTGATGATGTGATGGTGATAATGTGATAGTGATGATGGTGATGGTGATGATGGTGATGATGGTGATGGTGATGATGTGATAGTGATGATGGTGATGATGGTGATGGTGATGATGGTGATAGTGATGATGGTGATGGTGATGATGGTGATGGTGATGATAGTGATGATGGTGATGATGGTGATGGTGATGATGGTGATGGTGATGATGGTGATGGTGATGATGTGATGGTGATGATGATGGTGATGATGGTGATGGTGATGGTGGTGATGGTGATGGTGATGTTGGTGATGATGGTGATGGTGGTGATGATGTGATCGTAATGGTGATGATGGTGATGGTGATGATGACGGTGATGGTGATGATGGTGATGGTGATGATGGTGATGGTGGTGATGGTGATGGAGATGTTGGTGATGATGGTGATGGTGGTGATGATGTGATGGTAATGGTGATGATGGTGATGGTGATGAGATGAGCACAAGCCCAGGAAGAGATGAGGAGGAGGGTGGCAATGGTGATGGTGATAGTGATGAGGGTGGTAATGGTGATGATGGTGATGGTGGTCATGGTGATGGTGATGTTGGTGATGATGGTGATGGTGATGATGTGGTGGTGATGGTGATGGTGACTGTGATGGTGATGGTGATTATGGTGATGATGTGATGGTGATGTTGATGGTGGTGGTGATGGTGATAATGGTGATGGTGGTGATGATGTGATGGTGATGATAGTGATGATGGTGATGATGGTGATGGTGATGACAGTGATGACGGCGATGGTGATGGTGGTGATGGTGATGGTGATGTTGGTGATGATGGTGATAGTGATGATGTGATGGTGATGGTGATGGTGGTGATGATGCTGACAGTGAAAGAAGCTAGATTTGACTGATCACTCAAAATATACCGGGCACTGAGCTAAGAGCTTTCCCTGTACTTTCTCATTTCATCCTCACAACCACACCAGGATGCACTAGTATCATCATCATCCCAGTATTAGTCCCATTTCACACTTGGGAACCTGAGGTACAGAGAATTTAGGAACCTGCCTGAAAGCATCTCCTCTGGTAGGAGGCAGAGCTGTGCTGGAATCCTCCATCATCTCCACTTGCATTCCTGCCTGCAACTCTGAGTATGAGCATCTTGCTCCACTCCAATGTTGAAGGCTCAGCATTCTACACTCCACAGGTTCCTGGGCTACAACCCTGCTTTCTCAGCTACTCTGCTGATGAGAGACCGAGGCAGAAGTGGCTGGGGACCACACTTGATGGGCAATTTAGGGAGCTTTCAAGAGAAGTGTGACTGTGCAGGCCAGCCTAGAGTGCAGCCTTGAGAACTGAGCCCCACATGAGGTGCAGTTCCCCTGGGCCACTGGGACTTTTATAAGAGGAAGCATGAAACCTTGAGAAGGTCACAGACACACATTGACAAGGAGCCAGGGAGCTTATGGCATAGAATCTACTAAATACAGCCACTGCTGCTGCCCTAGGCTCCTCAATAACAAACTCCGATCCCAGGATCTCGAGGTCTGGGCAGCAGGCAGAAGTCACGGCTCTGCTCTGGCCATGTCCTCTTGCTGGCCATGATACTTAACAGCTGGTGCCTGTGATGATGTCACTTAAACTCCCTGGGTCTCAGCTTCTCTATCTGTTCAGTGGGTAAACAGCACCTGTCTCACAAGGCTGTCCTAAGGATTACATGAGAAAACAGAATGGCCAAGACATGAGCAGTACTTCCTAAATACATAGGTACTCGTGCTATCTCCCAGATAACCATCTTCAAGAAATAGCAGGTAGCTATTTCTGAGAAGTGCGACTGTACACAGCAGCCTGCAGTGCAGCCTTGAAAGCCAAGCCCCATGAGAGGTGCAGTTCCCCGGGGCCACTGGGACTTTTACAAGAGGAAGATAGGATGAATGGAGAGATTGGGGGAAGAAGGACTTAAGCCAACAGCCTAAAGTCTTACGTTTAGGAAAATTACAGAGAGAATTTTAAATGACAATTTCCATCTGTGCACACTTGTTTTCCAAAATTACAACAAGTTGCCAATGTTATACACTTTGTTTTCCTTTTATCTGATGAACATAAGGAGGAAGAACAAACAGGAAATGTACAACAGCGAGAATAGGAGGATAAAGCAGTAAGAAGGTCAACTAAGACCACCGATGAAGCCGTTAATACATTACTACAATCCTGAGAAAATTCAGATCATTTAAGGTTCCAGGTAATTTTAAATGGATTGTCCAGGTTTAAAGATAAATTTTATTTCCAAAAAATGAGCACTCCTCTTTGGGCTAAGGTTGCTCACTCATTTTTCCTTAAATGCAAATTGAGCCACAGCGGGGAGGCAGGCTGTAGATGTTTTGTGGGAGCTGAGTTAGTGCTTCCATTGCAGAAGGCAGGCTGCTACAGTAGAAACAATAAACTTTGGACTCTCATCAAATTTTGATCACATTCCAGTTCAGTCCCTTAATAGCTGTGTGACAACAGTTAAAAGATGCTGTCCTCTGAGCCTCAGCTTCTTCAAATGCAAAAGGAAGATGCGAATATCACCTGCCTTCATAAGCATTACATGAAATAATGTCTTTGCAAACACCCAGTATGGAGCCGAGCACACAGTAGGAATACATAAAATGTAAGCTTTTACCCTCCCCTCAATCAAATGAATCAACACATGTCCAGCCTGCCCTCCAGAGTTTAAGAAGCTTGCCCAAGGTCACACAGCGAGTAAATATGCAAACCAGGAAGGGACCCTACCCTGTGTGCTCTCTACTCCACAGTGCTGGGGCCCTCCTGTGTGCTGCTATGGGGACTGAGGCTGCAAAGACCATCATGTCTGGACCCTGACCTCAAGGAGCTCACAGTCTAAAGAGGGAGAACTGAAGATGCAAGCACAGAATTGCCACCAGGGTACTGTTGTCACCTTTGGTGCTACAGGTAAAGTGGGAGAAGAGATGACTGCTTCCAGAGGAGAGGGACTGGACTTCACAAGCACATATGAGTCCCATGGCACAGCATGTTGAAGATTTTGTCTAGCGCAGGGCCTGGCTGTCAGCAGGAACTCATTGGATGTTGGACAGATGGATGGACAAGAGTGAGTGGACAATAAGGGATACAAGGTGGCTGGTTGGCTGCCTGACCAGTGGCCAGAGGGGTAGATAGATGAACACATGGTGTGGTGAATGAGAAGATAATGGAACGTGGCTAGACAAGTGGGTGGGTGAGTGCTGGGGTCTGAATGGCTGTGTTCCCCACCACCACCAAATTTATGTGGAAATCCTAATCCTCAATGTGAGGGTGTCAGGTGGTGGAGTCTTTGGGAGGTAATTAGGTCCTGAGGGTGGAGGCTTCATGAATGGTATTAGTACCCTTACTAATTAGTACCCCAGAAGGCTCCCTCTCCCTCCTGCCCTGTGAGGACCTAGTGAGAAGGCACCATCTGTGAACCAGGAAGCAGGCCCTCCCCCAACACCAAATCTGCTGGTGCCTTGATCTTGGACCTCCAGCCTCCAAAAGTGTGAAAAATAAGTTTCTGTTATTTATAAGCCACCATCTATGGTATTTTTTATAAAAGCCCAAACAGATTTCAACAATGGGAAAACAAGTGGTTTAGTAAGTGGGCTCATAAGTGGCTGCGTGGACAAACAGGTGTTAGGATGAATGGCAAAATGATGGTGGGTAGGTGGGCGAGTGGTTGGATAGGTAGATGGATGGATGATGGGCAAGTGTGTGCATCTGAGGATGGACAGGTGAGTGGACACGGTTGGTGGATGGGTAATGAGGTGGGCGTGCACTGAATGAGTATGTGAGGTTAGATGGGAGGGTGGGTGGGGAGGTGAGTAGATGCAGTGAAGGACGATGGACAGGGCTGGCAGGGTTAAACGGCTGTAGGAAGAGGAGCCCGGGGAATGGATGGGCCAATGACTTCACCAAGTGGCTGGAGGAGAAGGAGAAAGGCAAAAGATCATTCCTACCCTGAGTTCCCGCCACTTACCAGGCTGCAGTGACCAATAGGGGCCTGGGCTCCCAGCTCCTCTCGCAGGCACTGGTTTTGCTGGGCGAGGTCCTCCACCTGGCCCTGCAGGCCAATCTCTGACAGCTTCAGCCCATAGATGCAGCAGCGCAGCTCCTCCAGCTGCCCGCGGAGCTGGCGCTCGGTGGCCCGGTGCTCCTGCAGGCTGCGCGCCGCCTCTTCCCGCTCGCGCTCGCTGCGCTCTGCCCTCGCCTGCAGGGCGCGCAGTTCCGCAGCCGCCTCGGTGGCGCCCTGGGAGCCTGGGGCCGCGGTGTCCCACTGGGCCAGCAGGAGGCCCGCGGCGCGGCAGAGGCGCCGCACGTTGCGCTCCAGCCGCTGCACCTGCTCCCGCAGGACGCGCTCCTGCTCCCGCACCAGGCCCAGCTGGCGCCGCTGGGTCCGCCGGCAGCGCTCCAGGGCCGCCGCCTGCTGCCCCAGTGCCTCGTCCTTGCGCCGCAACCGCTCCTGCAACCGCCGCAGCCGCCACTGCTGCCGCCTGGCCACGCTCTCCTCCCGGATCTACAAGTTGGCGGTGGATGAGGGCGTCAGCAAGCCCAAAGGACACACCATGGTTCACATTGGTCCTGTCTTGACTTAACATTTCTGTATTTTGTGCATGGTGCGTTTTTGCATTTTGTGCATTGTAATAGTGCATCAAAGTATTATCTCTTTGACTGTTTTGGCATCCTCTTAAATTTTGCACGGAGGCAAGTGTCTCCCTCACTTCATCCACCCTAGTCTGGGCCCTGCACCTTCAACAGCTCCCTGAGTCCTGGAAGGGAGCTGTGCAGGTGGCAGGATGGCCATCAGCGAGTACACACCCTGAGGGCCGCTGGAGATGTCCGGATACTGAATACGTCCGCACCTGAGTGCACACAGCTGCTCCAGAGCCTCCCAGGTGTCCCCACTTCCACCACAGAACTGCCCAGAGATCCCCACTTCCTACCTACAGGGTCAATGCTTGGCCCACCCAGGGTCAGCTGGCCCCAGCAGGTGAGTCGCAATACCAGTGCCACAGCAGCTGTCATTACTGTGGATACTCCACCTGGAGGGAGGTACGTTACTAGCCTGAGAGACACTCAGGAGTGACTTGCATATCACGCAGCTAAAATTCACTGCGGCCAGGATGCCAAGCGCCTTGTATCTGACTCAGGCCTTTTCTTCTTTCATCTGCCCACCTGCCTGGCCTGGGAACACATCTGCCTCCTCCCACCCACGGGCCGTGAGCTGGACTGGGGTGCACAACCCACTGCGAAAATTAGAGCCGTTGCCTACTTTTCAGAATTAATTCAAGCAAAGGGATAGAACTACGTCTACGTTAATCTTTCAACTACTGTCACCTGCCGCTGCTCTTCTGCCGGGGAGCTTCCGGAAAACAAAAACAAACAAACTAAGAGCAAACGTGAAAGAGGAAACCTGGAAACAGCTCAGACAAGCTTTGTTTGATAGTTTTGGGGAACGTGGGGCAGATAAAAGTCAGGGTCAGATTCCCTGGGAGGACAATTCTCCTGGTCTTCCTGAAGGCGTGTATTCTGTAATGATCTTTGCATGGTGCCCGGTGGAGGGATTTCAGAGCCTAGATGGTCTGCCTTTGACAGCTTTCAGAATGACCGCAGGTCACTACAGAAACGAGGCATCTTCATATGCAAATGCTTACTGGAAACATTGGCAGCAACAAAGCAAAACTGCCATTTGGTACATACAGGTGCAAAGGGCATGGAAAACTCGCTCAAGCACTCCTGCAAAACTCGCTTCAAAATACAGATGTTTGCAGCGAGAGATTTAGGGTTAGAGGGTTGGGGGCTGGGTGGCAGCTGGGCCAAGGGGCAACTGAGAGACCCTAAGCAATTTCCCTATCACTTTGAACATCTGCCGCCTGTCTGGAAATGGGGTTTTGTGATGAGTCTTTCCCGGGAGCATACACAGCACATGAGACAGATTTAATAAGACGACGCGTGTAGAAAAGGGCTTAGTGTTCCCCTGCAGAAACTGCTGGTCCCTGCAGTACCTTTCACTCCCTAACAGCATGTCACTTGCTGTCACCCTCATCTTTTGCCCCTCATCACACTGTGAACATCATTACAGGGCTGGGTCCAATTCACCTCGGAAATCCTACATTCACATAGGGCATGGCTCGAAAAGTATTTGTGACAATATTTTCCACGGAGACATCACATCAGTGGCAGAGGAGTCCCACTCAACGCCGCTCTACCTATGATAAAACTCCCCTCAGGATGGTAATGATGAGGTACTATGAGCCAGGGAGAAGTAACTCGATTTTCTGCACCTGAAGTTCAGTATAAAGGGGAAAAAAATTCCACTAGGATATCTCCCTGGCATCTCAAGGACTATTTTCAATTTAATTGGAATCCTTATCTTTCCACTTCCACTTCTATTTCAGCTAATAGCTATGTCAAGTGCTTTTCCAGCTTTTCTGAGTTTCCCACTATAAGAAACACCTGTGAACATCATGCTCATTATACACACACCTGTGTACAGCTGAAACAAGTTTCTCAAAACAGCACTCCCTCTAGCACGTGCGATGTGCTTGCATATTTCTTAGTCTATATTGATCTGATTTTAAGTGCTAGTTGTAAGCCCCTGAATCGATCTCACATCCCACAGATGGGTTGCAACCTGCAGTTTGAAAATCCCTGGCTGCATCCTAAATAGCAGCAGACTAGAACAGGATGCCTCCAGGGACAGTTGGGTGGTGCATGCAGCTACCGTGAAGTTTTGTGGGTTTTGCCTCTGCAGCCTTTCCTAAAAGTGGCCTGCCCTCCAGCCCCATCGTCCTTCCCCTGGAAAATTTTAGTAATGGCTAATAATTATAAAAGCAGATAGTGTCATTTAAATACCTACTGTTGGGAGTCTTTTACATGTATCAACTTAGCCCACACAACAATCTGAGGGGATTGGTACTATATCATTCCCACTTCACAGATGAGGAAACTGAGGCCCAGAGAGGTTAAGTCACTTGCCCAAGGTCACACAGCTATCGAGTGGCAGAGCCAGGGTTTGGCTCCAGGCCTCTGCCTCCAGAGCCCCCCACCCTTAACTGCCCACTGCTTCTCCAGAGAGCTCTCGAACTTCTCCCCCTGCCTCCATCATCTCTCTCTCCCATGCAGGGAGAATGGCATTCCCCAAATGACCATCTGACCCTGAGGCTTCCCTACTTAAGTCCCCTAAAGCTTGTTCCCCATTGTATTCAGAATTGGGCCATGCAGCGGAGTTGGCCACCTGGCCCCTCTGGAACTTTCCGACTCACCCACTCCGTCCCCAGCACGGTGATATCCTCTGTGTTCTCCCACACCTCTGTGCTACGGCCCCGTGCTGTCAGCCACGCCTCACATGCCCTTCCCAACAAGGCCCAGCTCACATGGCCTCAGCTCTCTGTAGCTCTCCTCAACTCCCCTAGCCCCCTGAACACACGCCATGGGGGATCGCACACTCCCCCATGGCACCCCACATCCGGGTTTAGAGTTATTTGTTTCTTATCAGTCTCCCCCATCTGCATAAGAGCTCCGGACCCCAGGAGCCCTGCATCAGCCAACTCCTGTCCTCAGTCTGTGGCCTGGCGCTGAGGTCCTCAGGCACAAGAGCTTCCAGCAAGTGTACAGCCCCCACCCCCACATCCCTGCATGCCCCAGGCCCCGCAGTCACGCCATGCACCATGAACGTAGGATCTCTCTAACCCTCCTGACTGGGCTCTCCCAGGCCCACCCTGTACTGTCTTTGCCCAACTGCAGCTGCTGCTGAGTTCCCACGGCTCTGCTGGACAGGAAACAGGGCCTGGAAAGGAGAAGGAAACGGTACCTGGCTGGCCAGCTCCCCCTGCAGCGCCGCCAGCTTCTCCTGGGCCTGGAGCCAGGCGCTTCTCTCCTGGGCCACGTGGGTGCTCAGCTGGTCCACCTTCCGGAGGAGTTTCCTTTCTGACAGCTCCAGCTCCTGAATTCTGCAGCATGAAAAGCAGGGAGGCACTTGCTCAGGGTGCAGTCAACATGGCCTAGGGCTTTTGCAGACACCAGGGCCAAATTATTATTATTATTGTTTTTGTCACTGGGCCAATGTGATGTTCTGACAAAATTACGTTTTGCATAATATTCATGTATATAGTTCTAAAGATCATCTATAGTACTTCAAAGACGTTATTTGAACAATTAGGTACCATGCATCAGAAATCTTCAACGTCCTCACACCGAAGCCAGTAATTGCAGATTCAGGTAATGCCAACTCAGAGCACCTGAGCTTGAGTCATTTAGGCTAAGAGCTTTAACTTGGTGGTTTCAATGAATCCTCACATTAACAGCCTGCAGGTGGGTTCTGCTACCCTTACTTCACACATGAGGAAATAGGATCAGAGGGGGCAGACTTTTGCTCAAAGCCACACAGCATTATAGAATCTAGTCAGTCTTACTTCCGGACTCAGCATTGTCAGCCTCTGCTCTGCTGTCTCCCGTTTTAGCTACATTCTTATAAACCTAAGGAAATGATTGAAATTCAGAAAAACGTTTCTGCAACTGAAAAAAATTAATCTCTGCATTACTTAGTCTTCCAGATGAGAAGCTGGAAGTGGCTTAACTGTCTATTAGGAATGGCTAAGTCACAGGAAGACTTTGCATGGTCTTGCAAACACACTGGGGCTATGTCACAAGCAGGCATAGACATAGAACCCAGACTGGATGTGAACCCTGATTGCAGCTCTGTGGGAGGGAGACACACGCAGGGTCGGGGGAGAAAGTCCGAAAAGAAAGCCCAGGCTCCCAGACCCACGGGGAGAGGAGGCACTGCAAAGACTGGCCTGTCTCCCACTGTGCCTAGTTTCCAAGTCCCCTTAATGTGTCAGTCTTGCCTGTATAATAGAAACCATGATACACGTGAAGGTGCATTCACAGCCTCCATGCCTAAGCTCTACATATCCTCACTCCTTCCCAAGTCCACGCTGGGCACCTGCACATCCAGGACAGATACTGATGCCCTGGGTGAAGAACTAGCTTTGCCTGCTGGCTCTGCCATTCACCAGCCATGGGGTCTTAACAGGGCTAGTTCAGCACTATGACCCTCAGTAACTTTATCTATAAAATAGAGGTCATTAACCTTGTTCAGTAGGTTTTCATGAAGATTAAATTATATGATGCATTATTATTAATGATAAGGCCAAGAGTCCCTCTCCTATTCCAGTTATCATGCCCTGAGGAAAGGTCTCAAGGGTGGCAGACCAGAGTGTGCTCTCTCGTGAGGATCATAACCAAGATCCTTCCAAACTGGACCACAGGAGCAGCTCCAGTTAGCCAGAGTCAGGCTGAGCACTTTCCGATGAGTTATACAATATGGGGAGATTTGCTAGGAAAAACAAAAGCCTTTCTTTCTAGTTTTGAGACCAATCTGTAACAATAAATATGAGAACAGTATTTAATTCTGATACGATTCCTAATCTTAAACGGAGCAGAAAATGACGAATTTCACTTTGGCAGGGTGAATTTTGGCCCCAAGTTCATCCAGGCCCTAATCCCTGGAACCTATGAATGTTACCTTAAAATGCAAGAGAGACTGCAGATAGGATTAAGTCAAGGATGGTGAGATGGGGATATGGATCCGGATTCACCTGCTGGTCTCTAAGACCAATCACAAGTGTCCTTGAGAGAGGGTTGAACTTAGGGACGGCCCTGTGGACACCAACACGCGATTGCATGCAGCTGGGTCCAAAGATGGAGGCGGGACCAGGAACCCAGGAATGCAGCTCTAGACCTGGAGAAGACCAGGAAATGGATTTCCCCTCCAGCCTCGGAGAGGGCTTGGCTCCACCGACAGCTCGACTAGCTCAGGAAGACTGATTCCGACTTCTGGCCACCAAGCTTGTGGTGACGTGTTACAGCAACCACGGGAAGCTAATACACTCACGAATATGACATAGACAGTGAAGGAACACTGTTCCCTGATTAAACCAGTGACAAGTGTGGATGATACTTTTACTGTGTTTTTAAGTTGTGTGTTTTTTTTTTTTTTGAGATGGAGTTTTGCGTTTGTTGCCCAGGCTGGAGTGCAATGGCGTGATCTCGGCTCACCACAACCTCTGCTTCTGGGGTTCAAGCGATTCTCCTGCCTCAGCCTCCCGAGTAGCTGGGATTACAGGCATGTGCCACCACGCCTGGCTAATTTTGTATTTTTAGTAGAGACAGGGTTTCTCCATGTTGGTCAGGCTGGTCTTGAACTCCCGACCTCAGGTGATCAGCCCGCCTGGGCCTCCCAAAGTGCTGGGATTACAGACGCGAGCAACCGGGCCGGCCTAGTATTGTTTTAAGGGTTAATTATGTTAATACTTGTCAAGCCTGTGAACAGTGGCTTGGTACTGAACAAGTACTCGGTAAGTGCTTAGCTGTTATTAATTTTACTGCATTTAGATGGGGAATAAATATGCAAAATGATAGTGTTATGAAGATGGGAGTGGGATTTTCTTCCTCACATTTCTAGCAAAGCTGTTATATTATTTTGAGAAGAAATACTTTTGTGCTTCAACTCTTTAATTAATGTGAACCCAAGACATACTATCCAGCCTTTCCCCTGCCCCAGCTAGACCCAAACACATTGCAACATTCACCTGAAATCTGTGCTCAGAATTGTGCTTTCAGACCCTGGCCTCAGCTTTTAGCAGCCCTGGATCACTTAGTATTTCATCCCTCAGCCTCAGTTTACTCATCTGTCAAAGGAGATGATGTCACCCCATGCATCACAGGGTCCAAAGGAGCCAAGATGGGGCAAGTATGGGAGGGCCCAGCCCTGTGCCAGCTCCCTTTTCTCCTCCCCTGACCCCTCTTCTGCAAGATGGTGTACCCCATCTTTAAAGAGAACAGAGGACTCGAGCCCACATCCCCCCACAGGCCCAGTCACAGAGGCCCCTCCTCCCTATGGCTCATGGTGTCCCCCTGGGAATCTCTGTCTTTCCCTCCCCCATGGAGGGGTCTCCTTTGGTTGGAGTTCCCTGCCTGTCTTCCTGGGGTCCATTGATCTTCTGGTTTCCACCACCAACCTTTCTAGAAGATTTGAATGTACAACCCTGTATGGGCCTACGCTGCTAGTCTCTCAGCCCAGGGCCCTGCCTTCCCCAACTCTCAGCACCCAGGACTTCTGTTATGGGCTCAACACATCCCTGCATCCTGTGTTGAAGGCCTAACCCCCAAGTTCCTTAGAATGTGATTATATTTGGAGATAAGCCCTTTCAAAGAGGCAATTAAGTTGAAAGAAAGTCATGAGCGTGGGCCCAGATCCAATCCGACTGGGGTCCTTGTAAGAGGAGGAGAGGAGGACACAGACACACACAGAGGGATGACCATGTGACGACACAGGGAGAAGGTGGAGTCCACAAGCCAAGGAGTGAGGCCTCAGGAGAAACCAATCCTGCCGACCCCCCGAGCTTGGGCTTTTGGGATCCAGAAATGTGAGAAAATAAGTTTTTGTTAAGTCACCCAGGTCTGCAAATAATGCCATTTCATTATAATGTTGATGAGAAAAAAAAAGATTCCCAGCCAGGGCCACTGTCTATGTGGAGTTTGCCCATTCTCCCCATGTCTGTGTGGGCTTTCTCGGGGTACCCTGGTCTCCTCCTGCAGCTGTAACACGTCACCACAAGCTTGGCGGCCAGAAGTCGGAATCAGTCTTCCTGAGCTAGTCGAGCTGTCAGTGGAGCCAAGCCCTCTCCGAGGCTGAAGGGGAAATCCAATTCCTGGTCTTCTCCAGGTCTAGAGCTGCATTCCTGGGCTCCTGGCCCTGCCTTCATCTTTGGAGCCAGCTGCATGCAATCCCACACTGGCGGCCACACTGCCATCCCTAGACTCAACCCTCTCTGTCTCCCTCTCGCAAGGATACTTGTGATTGGTCTTAGAGACCAGCCGGCGAATCTGGGTCCATATCCCCATGTCACCATCCTTGACATGTCGACATAGTCCCAGCCTGCGTGAGTGTGCGCGTGGGTGTGAGTGTCCTGTTCAGGCCTTGCACCCTGAGCTGCCGGGAGAGGCCTCAGCCACCTGTGACCCTGAACTGGAACAATTGGGTAAATAATCATCTTACTTGTGTTTTTTTGAGTCTTTCTTAAATCTAAATTTGTTTGAGCCTTTCACATTTATTTCAATGTTTAACATTAGAAGTGTTTGGGGTCTTTATCTCAAAGTTTGGTGATGTTTTTGTGACCTGAAATATGCTGTAGGAACTTAACTCTTATTTGTATCAATTAGCCTATGGTCAAATTAGTTTTGTGGCCAGGTGTGGTGGCTCACGTCTATAATCCCAACACTTTGGGAGGCCAAGGCAGGCAGATCGCTTGAGGTCAGACGTTCGAGACCTGCATGGCCAACATGGTGAAACACTGTCTCTACTAAAAATACAAAAACTAGCTAGGCGTGGTGATGGGCGCCTATAGTCCCAGCTACTCGGGAGGCTGAGGCAGGAGAATCGCTTAAACCCAGGAGGTGGGGTTTGCAGTGAGCCAAGATTATGTCACTTCACTCCAGCCTGGGTGACAGAGTAAGACTCCATCTCAAAACAAAGCAAAATAAAAAACAAAAACAAATTGGTTTTGTTGTAGGTTGCTTCACTTAGTCACAGTTTCCAAGGGCCTATAGACAACGTTCAGTGAGGACTTACTGTGCTTTGTCATGGCAACCCAGGCAAACTAACATAACTTTGTATATGACTCTCGGAGGGTAAGTGCGTTGCAGAATGAATGAAAGAATGGGCAATCACATAGAGTAACAGAAGAATTTTTCTGATTTGTGAATTTCTTCATGCATAAAACTTTACCAAAAGGAAGAAAAGTAAATCACATGTGCATACACGTTCAATGGTCTGCCTTTACTAAATCAAAGGCAAGTACAAGAAAATGGGGAAGTCCCGCAAAAATCCAAGGCACGTGGCTGCTGGGATATGAGTAACGTGTCAGAATCAATCCCCGCTGTCACTGCATTGTGCTTCCATGCTGGGTTTCGCTGATCTATATACAAGGCCCAACCTCGTTCTGCCAGTCTGGGTGTCAAGACATCGTCAGGAAAGAAGATGGGCTTTAGAGAAAGACCTGGATTCAAACGCCCCACCTTGAGGCCAGGTCAGCTCCATCAGGCAAACAGTGCCCACAGCAGGAAGTTCTACAGAGAGAAACGAATGCGGAGAACCTATTTCAAAGATGACAGCAGAGTCCAAAGGCCAGACAGAGACAGGCAGCCTGGATTAGCAACTGCCGGAAGCCACTTCTGCCCCTGGGGCTGGACAGCCACACAGGGAAGAGACGATGTTACCAGGGCAGGGCAGAGCAGCCAGGCCACCCAGCGGGAGCTGGGACCGCAGAGGAAGCCGAGAGCACATCTGAGTTACAGCCACAGTGGGAGATGTCACTGTGGGAACAAGAGTGACTTTATTTTAAACGCTAATCCAGCAGGTGACTCTTGACTAACCCTGAGTCCACGAATGCCTCCAAGATGTGGAGTTGATATAGTTCTGTTTACGTAGAAACACCTATTCATTGTGAGTTTCCTCCAAAACAACCCTTGTCATTGCAGAAACCATAGGCTGTGATGCCTGTAGCCACCTATGCAAGCCTTCCAGAGCACACATGCTTTTTCCCCAGGATATAAGCCCTGGGTTGGGGATGGAAGGTTTGCTGTGTGGACATCTACTTGTCTGGCGGCTGCCTAAAACCATGCTTCTGTCTGCCAGTTCCCCTAAAAAAATCACCCCAAACCGACCAACTGGATTTGTCTGCCTCTGTCCTTGGTTTCTCAGTTCCTTCTACACTTCCCTGTCACTTTGAACATAGGGCCCTTTCATGGAACAGTCACCCAGAGAAGAAGAGAGGGAGAACACCTGGCTTCTCCCTGCCTCCCTCCGTTTCAGGGCCTCCCATTGGCTGCACCTAAATGGAAGCCTTTGAGCAGAGGAGCCCGGGCAGCCTCATCTGCAGGTACAGAGCAGAAGAAGGAGGGCGGGAGGAGCAGAAGGCAAGTGACTGCGTGGGCAGGTTACGTGTCTTTGGTGAGCCAGTTTCCCCAGCTGTGTGGTGTGATTCAACACACCATGGTGACACACTCTGATGGCCCCGCGGTTTGTGAAATACACACAGAGAGATCAAAATGGCATCGCTACCTGCTTCTCAGCCCGGACTCCGATGTCACGTACTTGTCCTCTGCTGCTGACAGCTTCTGCTCGGAGGACTCCAGCTGCCTCCTGAGCGCACCCATATCCATGTCTGGGCGGCCAGCTGCTTCTTCCTGAAGACATTCCCGCTCCTCAGCACTATCTTCCATGTCCTGGAATATCCAGGATGTGTCAATCTTCACATCAACGTTCATTATGTCGAACCCCTCACTGCTGGGGGCTCTGATGACGTAGCTGAAACTCTCCTCAGTCCGTCCCTTGGCTGTTGGCTCCATCTCAGAAATATTTCATGGGGCAAGACTTAATAATAAAATTAAGTGAGTTTGCAACATTGACTTCCCGGAGATTTCAAGGTGGTGTTTGTGACTTCAGATTGTTCAGGAAAATATCCTTTGAGAAGGGCAAGAACAGGTGGATTATTCATGAGTGGGTGACTTGGGTTTCATCTGCACAAGCGTCATACAATATGAATGAAAGCCTCTCGTTTTACAAGTCAGCATGCCAGAACTCACGCAAAGCAAGAAAAAGTTGCAGAAAAATCACTTGAGATGAAATGCCTAGTGATGAACACAGAGAGGAAAAATAAGACCTCCAGGTAAGGCCATCAGATGTTACAGACTCCCAGTAGTCAATGAAGCTTATCTTTTTACCACATAATGAATAAGGTTCCACACCTCCTCTTTGAGCACAGCACATATTTTTCAAGGACCTAGAGTTTGCTAGGGGAAGAGGATGGGAAATTTATGCTGCCCTGGGTGCCGTCTGCATCCAGGGCAGGGGCCTCTCATGCCTTACCTAGTCCAATTCTCCCGGTGACCTTATGAGGTGGGCGTTAACATGACCATTATACAGATGGTCAGACGGAGGCTCTGGAAGGTGAAGGAGCTTATCCGGGTCCCACAGGTGGGATGGGAAGTAGCAGAATCAGGATTCAAATATGGATCTGACTCCCAAACTGGAGTGTGTGTGTTCTGACACAGGAGATACAGTAATAGGTGAGCAACAAGACCCCAGAAAAGGAGCAAACGCATCCTTTGGGCACCCTGAGGAGGGGGAGCGAGCATGAGGCTGAAGAGATCGTAGGAGGAATGGGGAATTACAGCAGAGAGAGGTGGGGAGGAGACTCCCCCAGGTGGGGAGCATCCTCAGGCCACAGACCCGCACAGACAGGCAGGACAAGTGAAGGGAACAGGAGGACCAGACAAAGCTGGCCCCGTGGACACACAGAAGGAGGAAGTGAGGAGTGAGGACAGAGGAGGCTGGGTGCCATCTTCTCTCAGGCACTCAAGGACTCCGGCGTTTCTGTGGGCCCCTGGGAGAAGGGAGGTGCCTGGTCAAATGTCATTTTGAGGATCGAGCACTCTGGGGTTTGCAGGAGCGAGATGGAGGCAGCTGCACCTGTAGGAGGAGGCAGCGCCACAGGCCAGGCCTGGTGCAAAGAGGCGTCAGGACCAAGACAAATAGAAAATGAGAGGCTTCCGTCTCCCTGTTAAAAATAAGAGACGTCCTCCCTCCCTTTTCTTAAAGCATCTACTTTAGAAAATGTGTAAGTTCTTTCTTTGTCTCTTTGAAATATGTGTAAATCCTTTTTACAGCGAAATAAGCCTTTTCCAGCATTACGACTCAGGAATGTTTCCCTGAAGGACCTGGGCACCGCCTCTTTGAGATGTAAATTCGAAGGAAAACAGCGCCCCTAGTGTTCAGTGGGAGGAAGGAGCCGAATTGGGCAGGCGCCTGGCTCCGAGATGCAAAACCTGTCACAGTAAGTGACAGAAGGGTGGAACCCAGGTGCAGGAGAAGCTTTTTTTTCCTTTGTATAAAACAAATTAATGAACACAGAGGGTTGCCCTCGTTGTCAGGTGAGTTTAGGATGAACCATGTGAAACAATGACGCTATCGAGTCCTTTTCCGCAGGGATGAGAGAGGATGTGTGCATGGATTGTGCCTGCCTGGCCATATAAAAGGGTGAAACTTCTTACTGTCTTTGCAATCTCTCAGTGGGTTACCTGTAATGCACCTCATATCTTGGTTTAATGCTTATTCAATAATAAACCTTTTTTAAATTTTCTTTGTGATGAGGTTTTCTGTGCTGGGAGAAGCTTTTGTCTTTAATCATATTTTCCCAACAGTGGCCAATGTCTTGTTGGCCACAAGGGGTTTCCGTGGACCTGGGGCAGTTGGAGGCGGGGGATGGGGGTGCAGTGGAGCCACTCAGATCCCAGGCGCTGGGGCCAGGCTGCCTGGGTTCCAGGCCTGTCTCCATCGCTTCTCAGATGTGATTTTGGACAAATTACTTAACTTCTCAAAAAAAAGAGGGTAAAGATCATGCCTAAGTGAAGAGCTGTTGAGGAATAAATGAGTCGATTCCTGCAAAGCCCTCAGCAGAGCACCTGGCACACACTAAATACAGCATGCTGTCTGCTGGGTAGGGGGCAGACGCAACACTGTCCAGCTGTGTCCAGTTTTCACGCCTACTTGCCGCATGATCCTAGGAAAATGACTCGGCCCCTTGCAAAATGAAACTGACAGCAGTCCCCGCTCCCCACTGTGGTGATGACTGACTGAGCTCTGGGGCGGTGGTGGGGGGTGGTGGCTGGTCCTGTACCTGCACCGCACCGTGAGCTCCCAGGAACATCAGCCAAGAGGAGCCAGTGCAGAGTGGGAGGACTGAGTGACAGCTGAAGGCAATAGCAACAGACTGAAAAATTACCCCAGGGCCACCAAGGAGGAGGAGCTGTTCCAGCCCTTCCTTGGGAGCAGCCCTGAGGGAGGGCACGTCCTTCCTTCTTGCCTAAGGACAGGGAAGCAGGCAGGGCCTCTCCTGGGGAAGTGTTCTCAGGCTTTTTAGGTAAGTGACGGAGGCTCTTGGGGGAAGAAGAAGGTCAAACAGAGAAAATCGTGGCCTGCCCATGGTTTACCAACATCTGTGGTAGCCTGGGGTGGAGATCTGAGCCTGCAGGCCCCTCAGAAGTGGTAGGGCCTGGGCAGGAGAAGGGGACAGATTGATGTGCAGATGTAAGGATGGGGTTCTGCCCCCTTGGGATCCTCAGGGAGGTTCCCTGAGACTGAGGGTGGTGACAGGGAGGACACAGGCCATGGAAGAAATTAAGAGTCCCCGTTTCTGCTGGAACAACAGCCCCTGAGAGCTGGGGGGAGGCTGGGAGGAACGGAGGGAGGTCTGGCCGTGTGAAGACCTGGGCTCCACCCTACTTCAGAGCGGGAATCTGGGGCATAGAGAAGGGCCCTACAGAAAGCCCCAAGAGTCCAGACAACTGGGCTGGGGGGAAAAGGACCCCCCAATGGCACATTCGCTATTTCCCACCCAATTTGGCACATCCCTGGCAAACCCTGTTTAAATGTGAGAACATAACCAAATATCAAACTGGCCATTGTTTGTCCTGGGAGTATCAGGCAGGATTGCTACTGGTTACAGAGGGGTTATGGCAGGTGAGGGAGAAGCAGGGGCCACAGTCCTGGATGCTCCCGGCAGATAGAGGAGCAGCGGATGGGGGCAGATGTTGAATTTACTTGGGAAGGATGGGGAAGCTGGAGCTGAAGTGGGGGGTACAACCAGCCAGGGTAAGCCTTGCCCCTGACCAGGGAAGGGGTCCACCCGCCCACATGTTTGTATTCCTCCCCTCCCCTCAGGGCCCAGCACCAAACTGGGGGCAGGCTGCATAGGATCTCACACCCTTGAGCGTGAGCTGACTCTCGGGGCATCCGTGTGAAGCACAAAGCCCATTTCACCTAAGGTGCTCGGCACAGGCACTGCGTGCTTCAGCCAAAACACCTGCGACCAGCTGGAGACCTGGAAGGGAAGTGGGGTTCAGCGAGAAAAGCCTTGCACCCATGGGGGAACGCCCTCCCAGTTTGCCCAGAGCCTCCTCCATTTTAAAACAGGAAGTCCTCTGTTCCCGGAATCCCCGCTGTCCTGGACAAATCAGCCTGGCTTATCCCTGCACAGCCGATCTCCTGGCCCCAGCCCCGGCCTCCACTCCTCAGCCCCCAGGAGGCTGCCAGAGTGGCGGGACAGAACGCTGTCTGATCCCTCGACTTCTACGCCCCAGCTCCTCCCTGGTTGCCTTTGGCCTACAGAGGATTGAGGTGTAAGAGAGAGAAGTGGAAACCTATGTTTGTACCACGGACATCTCTGTGCCAGGAACATTCAGGGCTGGCTCTCTGCTAAACCTCCCAGCTGACCTGTGGGCAGGGCTGCGCTAAAGGGTGGAGCCACACTTCTCCTTTCTACCTGAGGAAGTGACCTGGGGTTCCCCAGACTTTGTAACTCTGCTGCCCTGGAAACCACATATGTGTTACTAGGCAACAACATCCAAAGCCGTGGCAGATGTGCCTGACCTGGGCACAGGGCTGTGGATGAGGGGTGAGTGCACCGGGGTGCAGCACAGCTCTGAGGCTCCCTGCATACTGGGGTCCTTGCAACCAGGACTGTGCCTAGCAGGGAGCCGGGAAGCCACGGCTGGGACTGTGACAAGAAATGCTGGTTCCTAACAGGGACTTTGGATTTCTATGCAGGGAAACCCCCGTACCTGCCAGTGTGAGCCTCATGCTTCCTCCTGCGCCGCCTCCCGGAGGGCAAAAGAGAACGGGTCCTGGGCCCGGGCCGGCCACATGGACTCCTCCGAGGACAGCTCCCAAGGAGAGAACAGCAGATGCTATGTCTCCCACCAGCAGCCACGGTGGCCTGTGGGAGCCTGCGGGTCTAACCGTCCAGCTCAGACCTCTCCCAAGGCCACACATGGGAACTATCACTACCATTCCTCAGAGCGGCAAGGACATTGCCAGTGCAATACAGCAGGAAGAGGCCGGGCTGGCAGGGACAAATGGGTCTGACCTCAAAGCCAAGGCCATTTTGGTCGCATGATCTGAGTGGGAGAGCCCAGCAGACACAGACACTGCCCTTCACCCGCTGAAGGACGGGGACAAGCAGGTATGAGGACCGCACTCCTGCAGCGGCTGCAAGGGTGCTGGACCGACATTCCAGAGACCCATGGGTGCCCCTAGACTTCTGCCCGCAGAAGCGAGCACAGCGACGCCTCCTGTGCTTCCCGGCCGGAAAGAGTAAGCGTGCCTTTGTTTTCACTCACTGTGCGACCCCACACTCCCATCGCCCCTGGGCTGCTAAGATGCCTGTGTTTTCAACCGACATCAGTTTGTTCATATTTCATCACCAGGTGTTGGTAAGTCACAGAGGCTGAGCCAGTGGGTGCTTTGGGGTTTTGATTTCAAAAGAGAATGGGTAATACTGGGCCATCCCGGTGCATGTCTGCTTAGAGATGGATCCTGGGATGTGGTGTGAGCAGCCCTCCCTGGCTGGCAGGGCCCCTTCTGTGCAGGGCACCGTGTCCTTCTCCATCCATGGATCTGGCCTTCTGAGAACTTCTAGCTCCTCTGTTGCCCTCACCCCATGAGTTCCCTCAACTGCCTACATTTCAGTCCTTTCCCTTTTGTCCAAAGGTCCTCCTCACCAGAGACCACAGAACCGTTCCTTCTACCTGATGAGCAGGGCCTGAGCCCGTCCACCTGCAGCCAGCTGAGGATGGCCCGGCCTGGCCTTCAGCCGGCTCTTCCCATGCAGACACAGCCAGCCTCCTCGTCACATTCAGTCTTCTATTTCACTTCATCCATTCTAATTCCAAACGTCTTCCCGCGCAGAAGTTTGGGAGAGGCATCCTGTGAGCAGGTGGCTTCTTCTGGAGATGCCTCCACCCCACCCAGCCTAGAATAACAACAGGAACATCATCAGAAAGGAACTTGGGGAATTTCCTCCTGGGCTGACCATCCCCAGCTGGCGTCCAGCTCTCTGTGGCTGCTCCACTCCACCCACTCTCCAGCGAGGCCTCCAACACCCTGACAGCTCTCCCAGCTCCATCCAGGGGTGGCCTCCCAAGGCAGGAAGATCTCACTTCCTCCCCGCGGTGGTGAGAGCAGGACCTGGTCTCGGGACCACTATGGAAATAACCTAGTTCCTGCAGGTGCTTCAGCATCTCTTCCTCGGCAGCCCCTTGCAAATTACGATCAAGGTGCAACGCAGGCCCAAGTGTGGCCTGGTTGGTGGTCATGTCTGCTCTATCAGTCCTCAGTCCACCTGGTCCCAGGGACAGTCATGCTCTGGGACTTTTGCCGTGTCACACCTACAAGAGTGACAGAGCCCTCGGCCTCCCTTCAGAAATCTGGGGTCCCTGAGGTCGGCTTCTCCATGATGGGCAAGGCTCCAGCCACTCATCAGGGTCCTGCCCTCTCTCTCTGGCTGCCAGCTGCTACATCCAGCTGTGCACAGATTCAGAGGTTTTGCTGACCAGGACTTGAACTGGGGTTCACATTACAAGGACACTTGCAAGTCGCTCCGGCAGACAAACTCCAGGACGAACACAGCACGGTTCGTGGAGATTTATGTACATAGGGCAGAGACGGCACCCAGCCGGGTCCAGCTGGACATGCACACTGCGGACTGGGGAGGCATCTGGCGTGGGGACGAGGACTCGGGCCTGTCCCCAGACAGTGCGGTGGCTGCCGATCCCTTGGTTTCTGGTAATTGCACTTAGTTTCCTGGCATTCAGGTCTCTGCCCCCTTGGGCCTTCAAAGTGCCAGAGCTGGGACATGGATGTGGTTCCAAGTTTGACAAAATCCCCATCGTCCCTGCAGAGTCCTTACGGCTTGGGCTGGCCAGGACCCAGCCGTGCGTCCAAAGGCTTCCCCTTAAAGCTATTGTCAAATATACATAAATTCTGTTTGCAGTCTCTGGACTTTGAGTAGCTTGTTTCGCTGTTGAATTTGGTTTGAGTGGGGTTGGGGTTGCCGTAGGGACTCAGTTTATTCCATAAATTCTTTTTCTATCCTGTAAGATTAAAACATAATTTGAAATGACACAGGAACCAAGGGTTAAAATGGCCGGAGGATCCCTTGGCTTTATCTGCCCCTTGCCCCCACTGCTGTCATAAACACCCCAGCTGAGCCCTGAGGGACCTTCCCCCCACAATCCAGGAGAAGCAGCAGCAGCAGGATCAGATCCCCCATCCCCCAACACCCACCCACCCCTGTGGCCACCCCCACCTCTGCTCAGATGGGACTGAGTGTCAGCTGTCCTCTAAGACCTGAGATCCTTCCTTTACTCAGTCCATAAACATTGAATGAATATCGACCATGTGTCCAGCACTGTCCCAGACACTTGGGTACAGAAGGTACCAGACCAAAGCCCTTGTGGACTGGGGTCAGCCTCAGGGACGCCTATGAGGACATCAGGCAGGGCCCTGGCCTGGGAGCTCAGCCTAAGGGGTCCAGGTAGCTAGTGGGTGCTGCAGGCATCCCCAGAATCCAGGGGGCCCTCAGCCTGGGCTGGATTCAAAGACAGAACTCTAGAGTCTAGGGGTCCTGGCAGCCCCCTGCTCTGAAATGGTCACTCTCAGGGAGAATGTGCAAGTGTCCAGGTGTCTAAGGTGGGAGCTGGGTCCTGGGGACACACAGGGCTCAGTGGTCAGAGGAGGACCAGACGCTGACATGGCCTTGTTCCAGAGGTCCCTGAGCATGGCACAGGAGTCAAAACCCAGCACAGGACAGGGGTGTGACGGGGAGGGAGCTGAGTGGCTTCTTACACAGGCTCCCTGGGCACTTTGCACGTAAGTGGTAGTCTAGGCTCAGGAGCCGTTTCTCCAGCAACCTCCTGCTCCTGTAGCCCTCGGCCCTGGAAGCCAAAGACCCTGGACCCTACAGAGGACTTACTGGTCCACACAGCAACAGAGAGCACCAGGGACTGAAGCCAGACTGGAGAGAACCTTTGGAATAAAACACAGTCCCCCTTTGTGGATGAAACTCCACAGAGGAGTTTCTTATTCACAGTGAGCGTCCCTGATCCCCCTCCTCAGGGCGGGTCTCCCCCCATGACCCAGACCCATGAGTTAAAGCATCCAGCACAAGGCCACCTTCCACGGTGCCTCATCTCTCAAGGAACTTGACAGTCAGGGACTGGGAGGACTCCTCCTGTTTTAGAAAATCATCATTTTCATCTGCGAAAAGGAAAGGATACCAACCCGAGTTCTTGGCTCACTGAAGTCATCAAGGCCACAGAATGAATGCTAGTGAGAAAAACAAAAAAAGGAACAAAAACTATAAAATAATACCAAAAGAAAATGAGGAAAAGAGAAGAAAAAGAAAAGAAAACAGATGTAAGATATGTAGTATGGAACTCAATGACAGCATTTTACAAGAACTAGGACACTGAGTTGTTGGGTTCGGAAAGAGAAATGGGAAGTAAACAGGCTTTAGGAAGTGATCTCCCCTGGGAAACGCATCCTGGGGTCTTCCACACTCAGGGTGGGTTATCCCGACCCACTCTCCAAACATGCAGCTAACTCATTCAGGGGAGATTGACACTCTGGACCGGGACAGGACTTTTTGGTGCTGTGATGTGGCCTTCATGCAGAACTTGGGCAGGCCGGTATAAATAGAGGAAGGCCCAGCCGATGGTCATGGTCAGCGGCTCCCACCAAGAGACGGGGGCGTGATGTGTGCACCGAAGATCAGGGTAAATTCCACTCAAGGTCACCCAGTCCAACTTGCAGACAAGTAGAGCCCTTCTGCCTACACCACGCTTGCCCAACCCTCTACCCACAGGCCCCATGTGGCCCACGGCAGCTTTGAATGTGGCCCGACACAAATGTAAACTTTCTTAAAACATTATGGAATTTCTTTGCATTTTTTTTTTTTTTTTTTTTTAGCTCACCAGCTATTGTTAGTGTTAGTGTAATTTATGTGTGGCCCAAGACAATTCTTCCAATGTGGCCCAGGGAAGTCAAAGGATTGGGCACCCCAGCCCTACACCATCTTTACCAGGGTTCTTTCTTCCAAGAGAGTCGCTATTTAAAATCTTTTGTGCCATTTGATTAGTCTACTTATACAGAGAAAAAAAAAATCAGGGAAAGACGGTCTTAACGGGAGGAAAAATTAAACACACCGACTCAAAAGTAGAATTTTTTTCTTACCCTTCTCAGGACTTGCTTTGTTCAAAAGGAGTTGCAAGTCATTAGGGGAAACATATCTGAACATCAACTGGGGCTTTTGAAAATAATCCTTGAGTTCTTCTCCCCCCCAAAACAAGGTAATATCTCCCTATATTATTTATTGGAAAAGTCCAAACTAACAGCCATCAACTTCTAAACGAGGTGTAGGATCATTGGAAGTCAGAGCTAGAAGGGGCCTTGAAAGTCACCCAGCCCTTCATCTTCCACATGGGGAAACTGAGGCCTGGGAAGAGGGAAGGATTCGTTAAGACCATCCAGTGGGGGTGTGGCAGGAAAGAGTTTCTGGCAATGACGAAGGGACCAAGGGGCCAGGGATAGTGGTGGCTGGAGCTATTTCCACGGTCACAGGCCCCGATGCCTGTAAGGAAATGAAGGTGGCATGAGGCATCTTGGAAGGTTTCCAGCCCTACAGGCCTCGTCAGGCATCCATCCTGGCCAGTTCCTCCTGCTCTGCATGCCAGCTTCCGCAACTCCCTTCTGTGGCAAAAGGAGACAGACCAGTCCCCAAACATAGGCTTTGAGAAAAGAGTCGAAAAAAGAGCCAGAAAGACGATTCCAACATTTCCCAGGTATTCTCACTGCCGAGGACATAGTGAGTGTTATTTTAAGTGTGCGCTCATTCCACCTGACTTTTAACATTTTAATCAGCAAGGATGACCTTGGGCATGTTTTAAGCCTTTCTTTTATCATATCTGGCTCTGTGACTCATTTTACCAACACAAGTGGTAGAGCTACCTGGGAGATGGGAAGAACCGGTGCTGCCAGTCCACACGCCTTGCCTGGGCCCTGGGCTGCGAACTTTCATATCCCCAACCTCATTTTATCCCTACATCCACCCTCAGAGACAGAGCACCATTCCTAGCAGCACATGAGAACACCAAGGCCTGAGGCAGAGGGGTGAATTCCGTGGGGCAGAGGGGTGAATTTCCCAGGCTCTCTGGGCCTACCTGGGCAAGGCCAGAGGAGAGCCCAGGCTCATCTATCTGCGAAACCAGCTCATCCCTCAAGCAATTCTTAAATCCAATTATACTTGAGACCCCCTTGGGTTCTCAGAATATCCTTGGGAGGCTGGTAGGCGTGGGCATCTGGCAGACGGGGACTCTAGGAATCAGCTAAAACTGGGGTTCCCATGAGAGCAACAAGGGAACTGGCAGGCAAGCCCTGCCCCCGCCCCTGCGCACAGATCCTCGGTCCACTTGCGACCCGGCAGGGCCCTACACCTCCAGCAGAGATGGGAAGGTGATTTCATCTGCATGGAGCCGACTGTCATGAGAGAAGGGAGAGGAAGCATCTGAAACGGAGGTGGAATCTTAAGTGCTGTCCCATCTCTCTGGGCACATGGTTTGATTCCCTACTGGACTGGAAAGGCTGTCATCCCATTTTTGGACAGCCCTGGAATCTGCCTTCCAGAGATTTCTGCCCTGGTTTGTCCCTGAAATAAGTCAGCTTCCTCTCTCACAAGACCGGCCTCAGACACATAAAGCCCAGAGATGCCCCTTCTACCTCCTCTTCCCAGGGCTGATCCCACAGTGTCCTTTGAGATTCAGGTGGGACCCCCTCTTCGAGCACAGGCATGCCGGCCACGGACCTCCTGGATGGGTTCAGCGGCTCTCCATCTTGTTGCCACACTTGAACTTACCTCTGTGACATTAAATAGGCAATTATTGTTTTTCTGTACTCATCTAGAATCATTTGCGTACTCATCCACAAACATTTGATGATACCCTATCCTGTGGCAAGAACTGTCTTGAATGAAGAGATGCACACCACGTGGTCCCTGTCCTCAAGGACTCACAGCCATCCGGTGGAAGAAGATGAAGGGCAATACCATGATAAAACTGCTTTGTGTGTGTCCTGAGCCAGACTCATGTGTCTGCCTGGACCAATGTCATATGGAGGGGCAGGATGGGATGGCTATGACATCCATGGAGAACCCAGCCATCCCTTCCTAGCTGTGGGACCATGGACAGGTGTCCTAATCTATCTCTGCCTCACTTTCCTCACTCATAAAATGGGCATCATGGTAAATGGGCTGGTGGAACATACCCAAAGCCCATTGAGAGGCCAGCCTCACGTCTTCTGGGATGGGAGAGGCTGCGTCTTCCAGGAACATGCGACTGGTCTGGGGCTCATAGAAGGTATTTAAAAAGTGAATGAGTCCATGGAGGAGAACCTGTGTCTGTGGTTAGGGGGATGCCACTGACCTCATCGGGCTAATGTGCTTCACCTCTTTCCTAGTGAGACAGCAGGGGAGGGATTCAGGGGAAAGTCTTTTGTGAAAAAGACACACAGAGTTGGCCCCGGCCTGAAGAATTTTTGACAGCCATTGAGAAGGAAATGCCTTTACCAGAAAGGAATTTTGAGGAACTAGCGATTTCCATGAGATGCTGATTTAGGGGAAGAAGGGCAGAGAAAGGAGGGCTGGAGACAGAGTCTATGCTTTGGACCTTATGAAATAAAATGATTCCGCACTAACATTTCATGGAAAGAAACCTGGGGACAGTCTGAGCTGCAGTCACCTACCTTTTCCTCCAGTTCTTTCAGGTGCCGCTTCTGAAACTCCAGTTTGTCCTCCAGTTCTCGGATTCTCTGAAATACACCAGGTTACGTGTCAGAAAAAGTAAGTTTTCCAGGTTTAAAAACTCTGTTTTTATTTTTTATTGTGGTCTAGCACAGAAGCTGTAAAGGATACCAACACTGTGGGCAGCCTGATGAGCTCTGATACATGCACAAGCCCATGTCACCACCGCCCAAAGCAAGACAGAGAGCATCCCAGCTCCCAGGAGGCCTTGGTCCCCCGGCTCAATTCCAGCTCTGCAAAGGAATTCTGTTCTGACTTCTATCACTAATAATGGATCGTGCCTGTTCTAGAAGTTTCTGGAAATAGAATTACACAGTACACATTCTTAAGAGGGGATCTTTTAAAAACAAAACATCGAGACTGGACCAAAACATGTAGGCACCCTGAGCAGCTAATAAAGGTCATGGGTGGGATGTGACACCACATCACGTACTTGTCTAAGATTTGTTTAACTGCAGCCTGGGGGATGGGGGGAGGGAGGGAGAAGGGCAGAGGAGGTCAATGCTGGTGGGAGCCACTGCACCAGCATCCGCCCTGCCCTCTTAGAACCCCACTCAGCACGTGGTACCAGGGTGACCGACAGACCCGGTTTGCCCAGGACTTTCCTGGTGTGAGCCTCAGGAAACCCCTCAGTCCTGGGCAAACCCAGACTCTTAGTTACCCTCCTTGGCACCGCACCTGCAGAATTAATTCCCTGGGTGGTTTACCGATCATTCCTTCCCATCCCACACAGCGTCTCCACCGAGGGAATCTGGTGAACTCCCCCGTTTCCAGATCTTCATGTGCTCACAGGGCTTCCGCCCCATCAAGGGCCCCACCAAGGTGGGTACCCCTGGGGCAACTCTGCCCAGCGGGCTGCTGGCCCTTGTCTGCCCTGAACGGGATAGAGACCTCATACAATGAGACAATGCTGGGAGGCGGAAGGGTGGACGATTTCAGCCAGCAAAAATTAAACATGGGGTCACCATAGGCCTTTATTCAGGCCCAGAGAAGCCATCTCACATTCCGTAGGGCAGTGATTCTCCAGCCTGTGTCAGCATCACCCAGAGAGCCTACTCAAATGCAGATTGCCAGGCCCTGCCCACAGAGCTTCTGCCTCAGCCCAGCTGGGGTGGGACCTGAGTGAAAGTTGCACTCCAGCATGCTCCCAGGTGATGAGGACGCAGACGGTCCGGGGCCCCTGCTTTGAGAACCACCACTGTGGGCACATTTAGTCACTCAGTAAATAGGACTCCATATGCCTGGGCCTGTTCCAGTCCTGGAGAGAAAGACAAAGTCCCTCCCCTTATAGTTCAATTACCGTTCAGACAATAGCAGCATACACATAAATAGAAGGGGCATCAGATGAATACAAACACCATCAAGAAAACCAAGAGGGGCTGGGCACGGTGGCTCAAGCCTGTAATCCCAGCACTTTTGGAGGCCGAGGCAGGTGGATCACCGGAGGTCAGGAGTTCAAGACCAGCCTGACCAACATGGTGAAATGTCTCTACTAAAAATACAAAAATGAGCCGGGCTTGGTGGTGCGCTCCTGTAGGGAGGCTGAGACAGGAGAATTGCTTGAACCTGGGAGGTGGAGGTTGCGGTGAGCTGAGATCGCGCCATTGCACTCCAGCCTGGGTGACACAGAGAGACTCCATCTCAATAAATAAATAAAGAGGCATGAGGAGGGGTGAGGTATCGTGCCGTGGGCTGGAGGAGACGTGGAACCCAGCAGGGTTAGTTCACCAGATGCACAAGAGGGGAAAGGAATTCCAGGCAGAGGGAACGGCATGTGCAGGAGGCCAAGAGGCCTTTGGTGGGGGGTCGGGGACAGAGCTCAGAGGGTCTGGAATGGCCCATGTCCCGATGAGGTGCTCACAGCTTTGGGGTTGCCATGGGGAGCCAGTGACGGGTTCTAAGCAGGGAAATGATGAGCTTTTGATTTCAGGATGATCACGGGGCAGCCAAACAGAATGGATTCCACGAAGGAGACAGAAAAAAAGATGATTCTCTCAGATCTGTGACCTTGGGCAGTTATTCTGCCTCCCTGAGGCTTGGTGTCCTTATCTATAGATGGGTGCTGCCCACATCTAAGGATTTAACAAGCAAATTTGTACCAAGTGTTTAGAGCAGAGCTTGGCATTGAGCACTCCATATGTTATTTTTTTAAACTGATAATTTTCTACTCTCTCCCACCCGAAGGGAACTGTGTGACCTCAGTCTGGTAGTGGCAGGAGTTTCCTGGCAACCCCCTCACATGCAGGGCGGCCGAGTGCTGCTGAGTAAGCAGGGCATGTGGCCTGAACCCGGCTTGAATTCTGGGCCCCAAATGTAGCAGCTGTTGGGCTCTGGGTGAGTGACATGATCTCTCTGTGTCTGGACCCCTCTGCTGTAATGTCTGTGTGGGACCCCATGACACCGAGGGTGAAATGGGATCTGCAGGACAATGCTTTGTAATCTAATGTCTGGCTTTACAGCTTCCAAAGAACATCTGAGAATCCCCCAGGAACAACTTCTGGGCTTTAAAAATCAGCCTGACAACCTGGTTCTCATTCTGATCTTTCTTGATATTCACGCTTAGGAAACAGTCTCTCATCAGAGTGTGGGAGGCCAGAAAGAGCAGTGGGTAAGAGTTTCCTCATCTGATGACCTGGGTTCACAGTTGAGCTCTGTTGCTTCCTGGCTGTGTGACCTTGGACAAGTTGCTTACCTTCTCTGAGCCTCACTCTGCTCCCCTGTGAAAAATGGCATCAATGACCTGTCCTCAAAGGACTCGTGTGAGTTTCATTCAACCAATGTCCACTGAGCCCCTTCTGTGGGTCAGCCCCAGTCTGCCTCCCTGGGCTGGAATATTGCCACAGCACCTAGAACAGTGCTTGGTACACGAATGTTAGAACAACACAACACAAAACAAAACAAAACAAAACAAAACAAAACAAAACAAAGCAAAACACAGCTCCATGACGGCCAGCAGGGGCAACTCTGAGAGAGGTGGACAATGCAGCTGTGGCAGTTGGAAGGGGCTCTAGAGGGCTTCGAAGGTCAGACTAAGCAACCCAGACTTTGTACTCTGGGCACCAGGGAGCCAGTGAGGGTCTCAGCGGGAGGCGGGGGTGCTGTGGTGGTGCTCTGTGTTAGGAAGGCTTCGGCAGAGAAAGAGACAATGGAGAGGGCATTGCCATCGTGAATTGTCCCAGCAGATGTCTCTGCAGGCCAACTGTGGCTAGGAAGCGAAACCAGTGCTACTGAACCCTCAGAGAGGGTCAGGACAAAGTGAATTTACACCAGTGGCTTCACTCCAACCTTCACTCAGGCAGAACCTTTTACAAAAGTGCAGAATCATTCCGCTGGGAAAGGTGCCATTCACTAATGGATGTTTTCACATCCTCTTCTCCTCTTAGTTAACAGGGCTGGAAAATGCCAATTTCAGCTGGGGCTGGGCAGGGGACATCACTGCACCCTGTGGGCCAGATTCCAGGTGAAATACAATGGTAATGTCCACAGCAAACTGGGAGACTGGGAGGGTCTGTCCATGGTTGAAGCGGGTAGCTAGTGCTTGGGCCAGATCAGAAGTGGGGTGAGTGTTGCCAGAGCACCTGGTTGTGTTAGGTAGTGTCGCCCGTGTTGAATACATGAGTGTTAGGGATTATGATGAATATAAAGGTGAGAGAAGACATGATAATGATTAGGTTGGGTTAGAAAAGCCAAGTGCAGCAAATGTTAGCTAATATTCATTGAGTGCTTACTTTGTGAGCACTTTAGATAAATTCTCCATTGACCGCAACACTTCAAGTTGTGTGTGTTGATTGTACCCATTCTACAGACAAGAAAATTGAGGCTCACGGAGGTGAACTAACTTGCCTCAGGTCACACCATAACTAGGGGCAGGATTTGAATAAAAACCTGTCTGACCCGAGAGCCTATGGCTCCTAATGCTGCATCATAGCTTTCCATATATAAACTTTAAAACGTTAATTTTTATGTTCCTGGAGGGGAAAAAAATCACTGTAATGCAGGTTTGAATTCCTTCTCTTTGGGAAAAAAAAATGTAGGTTTTGCAATACTCTTTTGAAAATACCAGATTTCTGGAGACTATCAAATGATAGCAACTAGCAAAGAATCACAAAACATCAATAGTTAACCCTCAGGGGATCATGCAGTGTGGAGACCAGGGCTCTGGCAGTGGACTCAGGATGGGCCTGGCCTGGAAGGGTCACTTTGTGGCTAGCTGACCTTCATCCAGCTGTTTTGTCTCTGTGCCTTCATCTCTCCCTCTGTTTAAGCTGGTTTGAAGACTTAATCAGGTAGCCAAACACCTGTTTTCAAACAGGTGTTTTAGTGAGGCTCATTACAACCACTGTTCCAGGGTGGTGGTTTCTCTGTAAAATCCTATATACAGGGTACTACTTTTGAATCCATAGTGGTCTGCACTTATTGACAGCAGTTTACAAGTAATAATTATCTAAACCTTACCATGCCCCAGTGAGACAGGCATTGTCATCATCCCCATGAGGAAGACAGTGAGGCCCAGAGAGGTTAAATAATTTGTCCAAGGCCACACAACTAAATGGGGGATCCAGAGTTCAGAGCCCGGCCGTCTGGTCCCAGTGTCTGTGTTTTCAGCTTCTTTGCTGCCTAAGCTGAACCACACCATGCTGCTCTGCTGCCCAGAATGCCCTTTCCCTTTGATGGTGATGATGATTGATTTTATGTTAACTTGGCTAGGCCATGGTACCCAGATATTTGGTCAAATATTCTAGATGTTGATGGGCACGGTGGCTCACTCTTATAATCACAGCACTTTGGGAGGCCTAGGTGGGTGGATCACTTGAGGTCAGGAGTTTGAGACCAGCCTGGCCAACATGGAGAAACGCCGTCTCTACTAAGAATACAAAAATTAGCTGGGTGTGGTGGCGGGTGCCTATAATCTCAGCTACTCAGGTGGCTGAGGCAAGAGAATTGCTTGACCTGGGAGGCAGAGGTTGCAGGGAGCTGAGATCGTCCCACTACACTCCAGCCTGGGTGATAAAGTGAGACTCCATTTCAAAAAACAAACAAACAAACAAACTAGATGTTTCTGTGGAGGTCTTTCTTAGATGAGATAAACACCTAAATCAGTAGACTTTGAGTAAAGCAGATGAGCCTCCATAATGTGTGTGTGTGGTTCATTCAATCACCTGAAGGCCTTGAGAAAAAGACTGAGCTCCCCGAGGAGAGGAGCATGCTGCTAGCAGATGGCCTTCAGGCTTGAAATACAACAACTCTTCCCTGGGGCTCTAGCCTGCCCTCCAGATTGTGAACTTGCCGATCTTTATCTACAGTTGCGTGAGGCAGTTCCTTAAAGTAAGTCAACCTCTTTCTCTCTCTCTCTCTCTTTCTCTTTCTCTCTCTCTCTGCCCGCATCCCCCTTCTTTTTTCCTTCTGTGACATCCCTCCCCACTGGTAATCTAGATCCTTACTATCTGGGTGACCTTCAGACACATGAGTTAACCTCCCTGAGCCTCAGTTCTCTCGTCTGGAAAATGGACGTCATAGTGCCTACCCATAGGGTCCATGAGATAAAGGATCTGCAGCGCAGGGAGCCACTGCCCGACACATGGTGAGCGCCCGACAAATGCTCTGCATGATGCTGCTGCTTCTTTCCCTTCCTCGTCAATCAGGAGTCATGAAGCCCTCAGCTCCCCATGTGCTCAGTAGCACATGAAACTCACACGCAACATCGAACCTTGGAAGACATTGAGGTTTTCAGACCTACAACTGGTACAGCTTCTAGGCCCAATGCTCCAATGAGCCGCCATCACAAAAGGTAGCAAAAAAGCAAACCATTCAGCGGATGCCTCCCCGTAACCAGCATCTGACCTGGAAACAGCGTGCAGATGCTGGAGAAGGAGGGCCGAGGGAGAAGGCACTTTGGTTTGGATGAATGTTTCAGCGTTTGCTCTTTAGAATGCCCAAGTGCCCCACGTCTTGCCCCGTCACGGGGAGATATGATGGGCATCTATGAAATCTTGCTTCTTGGAAACTTGCTTTACCACCAACTCTCCCTGGAATGAGCCTGGGGCACTCAGAGGCCCATCAGGGTGCCAAGGTGCACACAGGACAACAAGGGTGCCGGGGTGCTGTGGGCACAGCCGCTGTTGCCGCCTACCTGCTGGGCCTGCTGCAGCAGCTCCATGCGCTCCCGCAGGATCTGGCTGTCGAACTCGCGGCTCTGCCTGAGGATCTGCCTGCGCACCTTTTCCACAGCAGCCTGCAGGTCCTCCCGCTGGCCCTCGCTCAGCGCCTCACCGGCCCTCCGCCCCGGCTCCTGCTGCAGCGCTGTGTACAGTGTGGCCTCCAGGTCTTGGATTTTCTGAGGACCCCAGATCACACAGACAGAGGAAGGTCACAAGGAGGTGGACAGGAACCACCAGAAGGCTGCTGCCAGTGGAGGCAGAGCCAGGGAGGGGGGTTTCGGGCAGGGAGGGGCAACTGGCAGGGGCCAAGCACAGGGCCAGCAGTGCCCGGGGGAGCAGGCTGTGAGGGAGCAACTCGGCCCCGCACACTTGTCATTTTTTACTCTATTCAACCCAGATGCCCCTACTATGCACAAGAGGGGACAAAGGCAAGAAGAAAAAGTAATCATAGCATTCCCTTAAGATGCATGACTCAAACAGAGGTGCAATTCACCTGGGTTTTATTCCATCCTTGGTTTCCAATTGGCTCTCCTCACCCTGGAAACAAATCTCCCCTTTTCTAATGGGTGCCAATGGGGAAATATGTCTGGATTTGCACACATTTGGTTTTCAGCTGCCTTAAGAATGCAACTCTAGCCCAAAGCAAATAGTGGCAATGTTTTAATTGCCCCTAACCCCCAACAAAAGCAAGCCACCCTTTTTGGCAAAGCTGAATGAGGCATTAGTGACCAACTGGGGATCCTTGTGAAAGCTGAGTTGTCATCATTACAGGATGTTACTCGTTTTCACAGCAAGACACTTAAATGTAGCTATCTTATGGCAATGTCTAAGGACAAAAGACAATTACCTCCTTTTCTGCCTTCCTAAATCTCCACCCACATTCCTTACTAAGGAGCAGCTACTTCTCTCCCAAAGAAACTACAGGTGGTATAGAGAAACCATGAGTTTCAATAGAAACATGGTACTGAGGCAGAGGTTAACCATTAGCCCTCCATCACCGAGGTAGAGGCTAACCGGTATCCCTCCATCACCGAGGCAGAGGCTAACCAGTATCCCTCCATCACTGAGGCAGAGGTTAACCCAGTAGCCCTCCATCACTGAGGCAGAGGCTAACCGGTATCCCTCCATCACTGAGTCAGAGGTTAACCCAGTAGCCCTCCATCACTGAGGCAGAGGCTAACCGGTATCCCTCCATCACTGAGTCAGAGGTTAACCCAGTAGCCCTCCATCACCGAGGCAGAGGCTAACCAGTAGCCCTCCATCACCGAGGCAGAGGTTAACCCAGTAGCCCTCCATCACTGAGGCAGAGGCTAACCGGTATCCCTCCATCACTGAGTCAGAGGTTAACCCAGTAGCCCTCCAACACCAAGGCAGAGGCTAACCAGTATCCCTCCATCACCGAGGCAGAGGTTAACCCAGTAGCCCTCCATCACCGAGGCAGAGGCTAACCAGTATCCCTCCATCACCGAGGCAGAGGTTAACCCAGTAGCCCTCCATCACTGAGGCAGAGGTTAACCCAGTAGCCCTCCATCACTGAGGCAGAGGCTAACCGGTATCCCTCCATCACTGAGTCAGAGGTTAACCCAGTAGCCCTCCAACACCGAGGCAGAGGCTAACCGGTATCCCTCCATCACCGAGGCAGAGGATAACCCAGTAGCCCTCCATCACCGAGGCAGAGGCTAACCGGTATCCCTCCATCACCGAGGCAGAGGTTAACCCAGTAGCCCTCCATCACCGAGGCAGAGGCTAACCGGTAGCCCTCCATCACTGAGTCAGAGGTTAACCCAGTAGCCCTCCATCACCGAGGCAGAGGCTAACTGGTAGCCCTCCATCACTGAGTCAGAGGTTAACCCAGTAGCCCTCCATCACCGAGGCAGAGGCTAACCGGTAGCCCTCCATCACCGAGGCAGAGGCTAACCAGTATCCCTCCATCACTGAGGCAGAGGTTAACCCAGTAGCCCTCCATCACTGAGGCAGAGGCTAACCGGTATCCCTCCATCACTGAGTCAGAGGTTAACCCAGTAGCCCTCCATCACCGAGGCAGAGGCTAACCAGTAGCCCTCCATCACTGAGGCAGAGGTTAACCCAGTAGCCCTCCAACACCAAGGCAGAGGCTAACCAGTATCCCTCCATCACCGAGGCAGAGGTTAACCCAGTAGCCCTCCATCACTGAGGCAGAGGTTAACCCAGTAGCCCTCCATCACTGAGGCAGAGGCTAACCGGTATCCCTCCATCACTGAGTCAGAGGTTAACCCAGTAGCCCTCCATCACCGAGGCAGAGGCTAACCAGTAGCCCTCCATCACCGAGGCAGAGGTTAACCCAGTAGCCCTCCAACACCGAGGCAGAGGCTAACCGGTATCCCTCCATCACCGAGGCAGAGGTTAACCCAGTAGCCCTCCATCACTGAGGCAGAGGTTAACCCAGTAGCCCTCCGTCACTGAGGCAGAGGCTAACCCAATAGCCCTCTGTCACCGAGGTAAAGGCTAACCCAGTAGCCCTCCATCACCGAGGCAGAGGCTAACCGGTATCCCTCCATCACTGAGGCAGAGGTTAACCCAGTAGCCCTCCATCACTGAGGCAGAGGCTAACCGGTATCCCTCCATCACCGAGGAAGAGGCTAACCCAGTAGCCCTCCGTCACCATCAGGCCACTTGCTCTTCAAGTCTCCTCTGGCTTCTCCCTGCTGGGATCCAGGCCCATCAGGCCAGACTGATTTTAACCAACAAACATGATCACCTTCAGCTCTACCCACCCCAACAGTTGCCCTTGGGGAACTAGAAGGCTGGAATCTGTTCCCTGGCAGAGCTGCGGGGCCCCCAGGTGGGCTCCACATGGAGCAGAGCTTGCTGGTGCCTGCAGGCTCACCCCTTCTCTACTCAGCAGCCGAGCTCCCAGGAGACCCCTGCGTGGCCAGTTTCCAGATAGAAACGCACCACTCGATTCTGGAAATCCCGTTGTGGGCCTGCCCCGCCTCACTCAGCTCAGTGACAAAGGGACACAGGCTTGCATCTGGCATCTGCTGTCCTGGCCCCAGCATGGACACATGGCCCTGTCACCCTCTCAGAGCATTTCA